>NC_000014.9:69005652-69308682 GCF_000001405.40 Homo sapiens
GACCTTATGAAAGAGACTGTGTAAGAAATGCAGATGCCTGGGCCTCACCCCAGAGATCCTGATTCCACTGCCTCTTCCTTGCCTTGTGGCTTCACCCACTTCCAAACCCCCTGATTCTGGTGTGCTGCCAGGGATGAGAGCCACGGACTTACCGGGTGCTCAGGGAATAAGCATTGACCTGAATGAAGCTGCTGGGTTGACACAGGCATCCTTCCGGGAGGGGTGAGTCATTCAGCCATGCTGCCAGCTGTGAACAATTCAGTCTGGGGAAATACAAAGAGACGTGGTCCCTCTCAGAGTTTCCATTCCCACATGGAAAGCTGGTGCTGGGAAGTGGCTGGGCAGCCAGGCTGGGCGCTGGGAGGAGTGCAGGGTGAGGATGAGAGAAGGGCTGTACCCACACTATGCTAGGCCGACTCCAGGCACTGGCTGTGTCCAGCTGGTTCAATCTTTCCAGCAAACCTGCGAGGAGGGATGTCATAGGTGAGGAAACCAGGTCTGCAGAGTTGAGGTGTCTGGTCTTGAACCCACGTGTGTCCTAACCATGACATGGTCCTCCTCCAGGAACTGTGCGGGGGCAGAAAGAGGGCTCAGGGATCCAGCCTCAGGCATTGGCCTCAAGGGATACGGTGGCAGGGGTGTCTTAGAAGCCTGCTGACCAAGGGTTAGGATCTCTCCATCAATTGGTGGCTGAGGGTGAATCCCACCACCTCCGCCCTCCACCCATCCTCTGTGTCTCATTCCACCTACTCTGGCCTTATCACCCCTGCCAGACTGTGAGATCCAGTGGAGGGGCCAGGCCAGGCCCCTTATCCACATTTATTGCTCACCCCCACCTCCCCAGTTCGGGGCAGGCCCTCAGCAAATCAAGTGCTAGGGCTGTGAGTAGCGGGAGAGTTCTGAGGGGACCCAGGGACTGCAAAGTTAGAGGCAGCCCGGGGTTGGAGAGGCAGCATAGAAAAGCCAGTGGTCCAGAACACAACCTGCCCAGCCTCGCTGAGTGGCCCTGGGCTGGCCACTTCACCTGCCTGTGCCTCAGTGTTCTCATCTGTAAATGGAGAGATTCATTGCACCTCACTCATAGCATTGCTGTGAGAAACAAATGAGGTAAAGTACGCAAGGCGCCTGCTACGTCACAATAAGTACATTATTGAAATACTGTTTGAACCCTGGCTATCATTATTGTCACCATTATGTTGTTACTATTATTGGTGCCTATTTCCCAGTTTGGCTCTGGGCAAGCAGTTACAGGCACCAGTTACGGACCTTGGACTTTGAGGTGGGCTCCTGTCCTGGACTTTTCTGGTCTTCTTTCCAGTCGTGGGGATGGTCAGGCCAGGTGACATTTACAGTCAAGGACCTTGGTGGATGTGGGATTTGGAACCCACTAAGCCAGTGGCGCTCAGCCTTGGATGCCTGTTAAAATCACCTAGGGAACTTCAGAAAATCCTGATTTCCCATTAAATAAAAATCTCTGGGGGTAGGACTCAAGCATCAGGATTTTGTAAAGCTTCCCAGGAGAGTCCAGCAAGCAGTCAAAGTTGGGAACCAGGGCTCCAAGAGAATTTCTCATTCACAGGAAAGAAAATCCTTTGGCAGCAGGAGACTGGGCTTGGGAGTTAGAGGAGTTTAGCCCTTGACCTATCAGCTACAGGACCTTGGGTAAGTTACTTACGATCACTCAGACTCAATTTCCTCATTTACAAAGTGGGGGATGGTACCCACCTAGCAGTTAATGAATAGCATTAAACTAAAGAGGGTGTCCGACACAATAGGCATTTAATATATATTATTATTATAGTCCTTAATGGGTTATCCTTCTAATATGTCCAAGGAGATATTACAACACACACACACACACACACACACACACACAAATCAGTGTTCAAATTCTGTTTCCAGGCCAGGCGCGGTGCCTCACACCTATAATTCCAGCACTTTGGGAGGCGGCCAAAGCGGGCGGATCACCTGAAGTCAGGAGTTCGAGACCAGCCTGGCCAACATAGTGAAACCCTGTCTCTACTAAAAATACAAAAATTAGCCAGATGTGGTTACAGGTGCCTGTAATCCCAGCTACTCTAGAGGCTAAGGCAGGAGAATCACTTGAACCTAGGAGGCAGAGGTTGCAGTGAGCCAAGATTGAGCCACTGCACTCCAGCCTGGGTATCGGAGCAAGACTTCATCTCAAAAAAATAAAAATAAAACCACAGTGCTGTGGCTGTTCTGGTGGAAGGGCTGACCTGGTACTTTGGGAAGTGGCAAGAGGCCACACCCACAGAACCTGCCTGCCATCCTGGGCCAGGACTACTGTCTGAGGTGAGGGTGGGAGCTGAATTGCAGGGAAACTATCATTCAAGCTTTTGCCTTAACAGACAAATTATGGTGATGGCTACCTTTCCTGAGTTGCCACCATATAGCAAGCATATTACATATTCTCTTGTTAAATTCTCCCAACATCCCTAAGATTTAGGTATTAATGCCCCTAGAGGGAGTATCTTTGTTCATTATTCAAAAATATTTATTGAGGGGCCAGGTGCAGCGGCTCACATCTGTAATCCCAGCACTTTGGAGGCCAAGGCAAGAGGATCAGTTGAGCCCAGCAGTTCGAGACCAGCTTGGGCAACATAGTGAGACACTGTCTATATATATATATATATATATATATATATATATATATATATATATCCCTTGCCATGTGCTTGGTCCTTTTTAGAAGCTGGGAATTCAGCAAAGTCAACAAAGCCCCTGCCTCATGGGGTTTATGGTCTAGTGGAGAGGACTATATTCCTTGAATAATCACAGGTCAATGCAGCAGAAGGTTTTTGGCAACATGCCAGATTGCACTGTTTCAGACAGCCCCTCTCTCATTACTATAAAAATGCTGTATAAAATACAAGAAAAACACTTGAACATACAAAGCTGAGCTCAAGAGAAAGGAAAACCCCAGATTCCAGAAATAGTTCCAAGAACTCAAAGCCAGAAAATGGAGTGAGAGCTAAGCCTCCGGTTTGTGAGGTTTTGACTAGATATAGGCCCTAAGGCCTAGAGCCCAGAGTTCTAAAGCCCCTTCAAAAACAGGAGGCAGCCCCAGGCTGTTTGAGGCAGGAGAGTTGGAACTGATCCAGCTGAATACAGCTTGGAGCCTTGAGGAGTATCCCAGTCACAGAAAAGAAAGGCTGGAAAAACTACCAACTGGGCCTGCAGAAGGAGCAACAGTTTTCTCACTGTAGAAGTCTTGGGTGGGAGAAAAGTTCACGTGAAAGATGGAAAGGCCAGGCCTCCCTCACTTGGAGGAGAGAGATGGACTGCTCCCGCCTCATCCCCTGCTTTGGCATGCCACTGGTCCCAGGATTCCTATGCCAAAAAGTTAATCTAAAAGTTAGTCCAGAGGCCGGGTGCGGTGGCTTACGCCTGTAATCCCAGCACTTCGGGTAGCTGAGGCAGGCGGATCATTTAAGGCCAGAAGTTCGAGATCAGTCTGGCCAACATGGTGAAACCCCTTTTCTACTAAAAGTACAAAAATTAGCCAAAGGTAGTGGTGTGCCCCTGTAATCCCAGTTACTCGGGAGGCTGAGGCAAGGAGAATCAACCTCACCCAGGAGGTGGAGGTTGCAGTGAGCCAAGACCATGCCACTGCACTCTGGCCTGGATGACCGGAGACTCTGTCTCAAAAAAAAAAAAAAAAAAAAAAAAAAAAAAGTTAGTCCAGAACCTAGGGCCCTGACAGAAGCAAAACCCAAGGTACTCTGTACATTTTCACAACCCAGCCTCACAGGCATTCCACAGCAAAAACAACCTTCCACTGGAAATGAGTTTCCCAATTGAAAATTACAAATCACACAGGGAAACAAACCACCATAAGAGATAATCAGTAAATACAAAACCAAAGCCAAACCAAACCAAACCAATCAGAATTCATCCCCTAAGAAGCAGGAGTAGTAGAGAAACCTGAAGTTATAAAATAAATAGGTTAAATAATTCTAGAGAATTTTTAAATAGAAAAGAAATAATAATAAGAAACAAGATAATATTAAAAAATGTTGGGAAACAAATCAAACAAAGTTCTAGAAATGAAAAATACAGCTTTAAAAATTATTTAGGGCTGGGTGCAGTAGCTCATGACTGTAATTTTACCCAGCACTTTGGGAGGCCAAGGTGGGCAGATCACTTGAGGTCAGGAATTTGAAACCAGCCTGGCCAACATGGTGAAACCCCTCTCTACTAAAAAAATACAAAAAAATTAGCCAGGCATGGTAATCCCAGCTACTCTGGAGGCTGAGGCAGGAGAATTGCTTGAACCCGGGAGGCGGAGGTTGCGGTGAGCCAAGATTGCCCCATTGTACTCCAGCCCAGGCGACAAGAGCAAGACTCCGTCTCAAAAAAAAAAAAAAAAAAGGATTATTTATTAAAATTAATGGATTAAACAGCAGAACAAGATGGAGCTAAAGACACGCTTAGCAAACTGGGTGATGCCTCTGAAAAAAATCACCCTCTCAGCAGCACAGCAAGAACAGTATGGAAGCAATTGTGGCTAAGAGACATAGAGGGAAAAATGAGATCAAAGAAGAAATGAGGAAGGAGCAATATTTAAAGAGAAAATGGCTGAGAATTGATCAAAACTAAAGAAACACCTAAATCTTCAGTTTAAATAAGCATCTGAAGACTTAAGAATACATAACACAAATTCACACCTTAGGAATGTTAAAAGGTAAACTGAAGCACATTAAAATGTTAAAGAGTTTATTTGAGCAAATAGCAACTCATGAATTGGGCATCTCTAAAACAGAGGGTTTTATAGGGTGATTTTAAAATAGACTTTTTTTGTTTGTTTGTTTGTTTGAGATGAAGTCTCCCTCTGTTGCCCAGGCTGCAGTGCAGTGGAACAATCTCAGCTCACTGCAACCTCCACCTCCCAAGTTCAAGTGATTCTCATGCCTCAGCCTCCCAAGTAGCTGGGATTGCAGGCGCCAGCCACCACACCTGGCCAATTTTTGTATTTTTGGTAGAGACAGGGTTTCAGCATGTTAACCAAGCTGGTTTCAAACTCCTGACCTCAGGTGATCTGCCTGCCTCAGCCTCCCAAAGTGCTGGGATTACAGGCATGAGTCACTGCACCCAGCCCTAAAACAGAGACTTCAAAGCAGGCTTGGGGCTCTGCCAATGGGGTACAAGGGGAAGGCTTTTATAGGGTGAATGCAGAAGAGAGCAAAAAAATTATTTGACTGGTTAATGTTTGAGCAATTGCCTTATTCAGACTATCCTATGGGAATTTCGAGATGATATAATATACACCCAGTTGGCCACCTGTGATTGGCTGAACTTAAGTTTCATTTTCTTGTTCTTTTCTTTTTTTTTGTTTTGTTTTGTTTGGTTTTTGAGACAGGATCTCACTCTGTTACCCAGGCTAGAGTGCAGTGGCACGATCACAGCTCACTGCAACCTTCGCCTCTTGGGCTCAAGTGATCCTCCCACCTCAGCCTTCTGAGTAGCTGGGACTACAGGTGCACACCACCATGCCTGGGTAATTTTTTTTATTTTTTGTAGAGCCAGGGTTTTGCCATGTTACCCAGGCTGATCTTGAACTCCTGGGCTCAACCATCTGCCTGCCTCAGACTCCCAAAGTGCTGGAATTATAGGTGTGAGCCACCACACCTGGACGGTTTTATTTTATTTTTAATTTTTTTTATCTTTTTAAACATTTTCATTATTTTATTTTTTGAGTAAGGGTCTCACTCTGTTACCCAGGCTGGAGTGCAGTGGTGAGATCGTGGCTTACTGTAGCCTTGACTTCCTGGACTCCAGCGACCCTCCTGCCTCAGCCCCCC
Source organism: Homo sapiens (assembly GCF_000001405.40). Lineage (NCBI taxonomy): Eukaryota > Metazoa > Chordata > Mammalia > Primates > Hominidae > Homo > Homo sapiens. The sequence continues at coordinate 69,011,478 of NC_000014.9, forward strand.
AAATGGCTGGAACCACAGGCATGCACCACCATGCCCAGCTAATTTTTGTATTTTTGGTAGAGGTGGGGTTCTACCATGTTGCCCAGGCTGGTCTCAAACTCCTGAGCTCAAGTGATCCACCCACCTCAGCCTCCCAAGGTGTAGGTGTGAGCCACTGCACTGGGCCAATTTTCTCTTTAATTTTGAATTAGGATTCAGTTTACTTACATAAGAACCTAGGACTTTAAAACCACCTCAGTCTAATGACCTTCTACTTAATTATTTTAATGGAAGCTCAGTGGAAAATCGGGAGAACAACAAAGATAAACAGATAAATAGTACAAAGTGCCATAGTTCTATGAAGAAGGGAACACAGCCCCCAGAATAGCATGTAAGTAAGGACGGGGGAGCAGATGAGGTGCCCATCTTCCCCAGAAGCCAGGGAAGGTGTGATGGTTAGTTCTACCTGTCACCTTGGCTAGACTGTGGTACCTAGTGGTTTGGTCAAATACTAGCCTAGTGGTTCGGTCAAATACTAGCCTAGATGGTGCTATGAAGGTATTCTTTATATGCGGTTAAATTTTTTTTTTTTTTTTTGAGGAGTCTAGCTCTGTCACCCAGGCTGGAGTGCAGTGGTAGAATCTCTTCTCACTATAACCTCCGCCTCCCAGGTTCAGGTGATCCTCCTGCCTCAGCCTCCCGAGTAGCTGGGACTACAGGCATGTGCCACCATGCCCAGCTAATTTTTGTATTTTCAGTAGAGACAGAGTTTTACCATGTTGGCCAGGCTGGTCTTGAACTCGTGACCTCAAGTGATCTGCCTGCCTCAGCCTCCCAAAGTGCTGGGATTACAGGTGTGAGCCATCGTGCCTGGGCTATATGTGGTTAACTTTTACAGTCAGTAGGCTTTCAGTAAAGCAGATTACCCTCCATGATGTGGGTGGGCCTCATTCAATCAGTTGAAGGGCTTAAGAACACAGGCTGAGGTTTCAGAAGAAATTCTGCCTCAAGATTGCAACATCAAACCCTTGCCTGGGTTTCCAGCCTGCTGCCCTGTGGATTTTGAGCTCAAGATTGCAACTTCACTCTTAGCTGAATTTCCAGTCTGCCGACCTGCCCAATAGATTTGGGACTTGCCAGCCCCCACAATCACATGAGCCAATTCCTTAAAATCAAAATCTCAATCTCTCTCTCTTCATATATATATTTAGGCAACCAGGCTGATGAGGCTGTGAGTGAGGCCTGAAGGCTGAGGAGGTGTTAAGTATACACAGAGGAAGGGAAGGGGGAAAGCTCTGTAGAGAGAAGTAATGGCTCATGTCCAGGCAATGAGTCTGGAGGTAGAGCATGCAGAGCCTTGAAAGAATTGGAGGCTTTTCCCCAGGAGCAAGTGGAAGCCTGGTGGGGTTTTAAGTGGGGTATGTCCACAGTGCCAGCCGTGCCAGGGCTCGGGTTCTAACCCATGTCTCCTTGGCCCCAAGTCCATGCCCTGTCCCAGCACCACCCACCTCCCTCCTAAACCAGTGGAATATTTGCTGTTATTTGTTGGTCCAGCTTATATTCTGCCCTTCCTTTGAAAGCAGGGCCCAGCTTTGATTTTTAGGGGGAATCCTTCTCTCCTTGTGCACAGTCTTGCTGGGGCTGTCATTCCAGCTTCCTCCCCTGGGACTCTGAGTTCTGAGCAGAAAGACCCAAAGATGGAATAAGCAAGTGTGGGGGGCAGCAGCTGCTATGAGAGTGGTGTGAAGCTCCTAGTTGACAGGTTTGTCTCCATTACATGCATACATACATACACACACACACACACACACACACACACACACACACACACACACATATATATGTATTTTTTTTTTGAGATGGAGTCTCACTCACTCTGTTGCCCAGGCTGGAGTGCAGTGGCATGATCTTAGCTCACCGTATCCTCCACCTCCTGGGTTCAAGCGATTCTCCTGCCTCAGCCTCCCAAGTAGCTGGAATCACAGGCACCTGCCACCATGCCCAGCTAATTTTTGTATTTTTAATAGAGACGGGGTTCCATCATGTTGGCCAGGCTGGTCTTGAACTCCTGACCTCAAGTCATCCACCTGCCTCACCCTCCCAAACTGCTGGGGTTACAGGCATGAGCCACCATGCTCGGCCTCCATTATATATTAAAATAAACCTCTAACCATGACCCCCCCTAGAGTGATTTCGTGTTCAGTAACATTTGGAATGGCTAAGTGAGATGAAGGCAGGTCCTTATGCAGGAGTCTCGGGCTCCCAAATAACACTCTGGTCGGAGCTGGCGATGGTCCTGCATGCTGCAGGATGTATCCCGCTCTCTTTAATGTGAAGCCTCTTTAGCCTTATTAGTTCCTATGTATATTTTCCACTATGAGGCCCAAAACAAGACTGTGGGGGGCCTGCATGCAGGACTAGGTCTGGGTTCTCTGTGTGCCCCTTGACCAGCACTAACCAACCTGGCCCCTCGACAGCCTAGCACTGGGGCCAGATTATCGAGAGGACATCTCCTGGGAAAACAGGCCCGAGCTCCTTGGGGGCAGGCAGGGCTCTGGATTTTATTATCTTCTTATCTTCAGTATTGTGCCTGGCACTAAGGGGCCCAGTTCACATAATGCAAAAGAGGGAGGGACAGAGAAAGGAGCTTCCTCATCTTCTGCCTCTGAGAAGAGTGAATACACAGGAGCCCTCTTGAGCAAGGCTGGCATGCAGCCACAGTGTGTGGGTATGCAATATGGATTGTTTACATATGCAAGTGCTTCCTTCCTGGTTGGTCAGTAGCCACCGTCCTGAGGCCCCACAAGTGTCCCCAGTGCACTGGCTGCTGTGATGCCTCCTCAGGAACCACCCTCCGCCCCGCCTCCAGGACCCTGCCCCCATTCCTCAAGCTGAAGTTAGTTCTGTTCAGTCAGTGCCCTTGCAGGCCAGGTGCTCTGTGGAATATCACCCCTGCTCATGGGTCTCCTGTGCCTGGGAGGCCAGCCGTTTCTGGCTGAGCAGTTGGTCATGGAGATGGGCGCAAGAACCACTCAGCTGAGACCACTGAGGCAGACCTGTACAAGAAGAACCAATGAAATTGGGTGGCACTTGGCACGCCTTCCTGGGTTCTCACACCTGGGCAGCAGGTGGCACAGTGCTTTTGGGAGGTGCCGTACTTCCTTGCTATGTTGGAAAAGGCTTTGACCTTAGAATTAGAAGGCCTGGGTCCTCCTCTCACTCCGAATGTCGTAGCTGTGGGGCCTTGAGGAACTTTCCTGGCTTCTCTGAGCTCCTATAAAAATACCCCTTGCACAAGGTTGCCGGGGGAAGAACATATTGAACACTTTGGATCTCAGTCCCTCGCCTCAAGGTCCTGTGCTAAATCCAGACCTGTAAATATAGCAGTGAAGGATCTGCCCCCGCCTGCTGCTCCCAGAAGTACTCCTAGTCCCTGGTGATGGTTACCAGGCTGCCGGGCCGTAACCAGGTACTCCCTGGGCCACTGACAGAGCCTTCTCTCCTCTGAGGGCCTGTGGGCAATGAGCAGAAAAGGGGGTGGGGGCCTCTGCCCCACACGCCTTTCCTCTGCCCTGCCTGGTTCCTGGTGAATGTGGCTCATTGCCGGGAATTGTGGGTCACCCAGACGAGGACTCATCATTGTGTAGTCAGCCTAGACTTCCTCCAGCCCCATCCCACACTACACTCACACACCACACACTCAGGCACACACACTTGCACATTCCCAGACACTCACATACATGCTCACCACTCACACCTCCACACCCACACTCACCCCCATACCCACACTCACCCCCACACAGACATGCTCACACACATTCCTACACAAGAACATGGAAAAACCCTAAGTGCAGTACATGAAAGCATTTTAGGTTGTTCACACATTTTAAACATTTACGGTTACAATTTATTCTAATACGCAGTGGAGAAAAATGACAAACCTATCAAACTAGGAATTTCACAGCAGTGATTATTTAGGACAGGGCTAAAATAGATAGGACAAGACGTAAGTGAAAAGGATACGCTTTACACTTTGGGAGGCCGAGGCAGGTGGATCACCTGAGGTCAGGAGTTCGAGACCAGCCTGACCAACATGGTGAAACCCCATCTCTACTAAAAATACAAAAACTAGCTGGGTGTGGTGGCGTGTGCCTGTAATCTCAGCTACTTGGGAGGCTGAGGCAGGAGAACTGCTTGAACCCAGGAGGCAGAGGTTACAGTGAGCCGAGATCATACCATTGCACTCCAGCCTGGGCAACAAAAGTGAAACTCTGTCTCAAAAATAAATAAATAGGCTGGGCACAGTGGCTCATGCCTGTAATCCCAGCACTTTGGGAGGCTGAGGCAGGTGGATCATGAGGTCAAGAGATCGAGACCATCCTGGTCAGCATGGTGAAACCCCCTCTCTACTAAAAATACAAAAATTAGCTGGGCGTGGTTGCGTGCGCCTGTAGTCCCAGATGCTTGGGAGGCTGAGGCAGGAGAATCACTTGAACCTGGGAGGTGGAGGTTGCAGTGAGCCAAGATTGTGCCACTGCACTCCAGCCTGGGTGACACAGCGAGACTCCATCTCAAAAAAAAAATAATAAATAATAAATATATATAAAAAAAGGAGATGCTTTAAAGGGAAATGTTGAATAAATCGTGGCAAAAGTTGTGAAAATGCTACCCAATGACCCTCAGCTTTCAGAAGCCCATGGTGATGGGAGTGCAGGGCTGGGGGCTCTGCATGGAGCATCAGGGACAAGTATTAGCACCCGGAGGTGCAGGAGGGGCTGCCAGCCCAGAGGGAGATTCTGGGAGCAGAGGGAAATTTTCTTTTGTGCTTATTTAGCTTTCTGTCCCTACCTTAACAGTCTTTGCTTACTCCAAGTTTGTGAAGATAGTCTCTAATGTTTTCTTTTAGAGGCTTTAGAGTTTTAGCTTTCATGTGTAGGTGTATAAAAAAATTGAATTAATTGTTGTGTATGGTATGAGATGAAAGTCAAGATTCATTTCTTCTATATGAATAACTACTTGTTCCAGCACAATGTATTGATGTAACGGCCCTTTACCCATTGAATTGCCTTGATATCCTCATCAAAATCAGTGGATTGTATTTTGTGTGCTGTTTTTGAACTCTCCTGTCCCATTGATGTCATTGTTTATCCTTTCCCAGTACCACACTGTCTTCATTATCATAGTTTTATTGTCTTCAAATCAGGTAGTGTAAGTCCTGACATTTTTTCTTCTTTTCCAAGATTATTTTGGCTACCCTAGATCCTTTTTTTTGTTTTTTTGTTTTTTTTGTTTTTGAGACAGGGTCTAACTCTGTTGCCCAGGCTGGAGTGGAATGGAGTGCGATCACGGCTCACTGCAGCCTCAACCTCCCAGCCTCAAACTATCTTCCCTTCTCAGCCTACCAAGTAGCTAAGTAAGTAGCTCAGACCACAGGCACATGCCATCATGCTTGGCTTTTTTTTTTTTTTTTTTTTTTTTTCTGTATTTTTGTATAGAGACAGGGTTTTGCCATGTTGCCCAGGCTGGGCTTGAACTCCTGGGCTTAAGTGATCCACTCACTTTGGCCTCACAAAGCATTGGGATTACAAACGTGAGCCACCATACCCGGCCCCTTTGCATTCCTTTATGCATTTTAGAATTAGCTTGTTTTGGCCAGGCACGGTGGCTCACACCTGTAATCCCAGCACTTCGGGAGGCCGAGACGGGCAGATCACCTGAGGTTGGGCGTTTGAGACCAGCCTGACCAACATGGAGAAATCCCGTCTCTACTAAAAATACAAAATTAGCTGGACGTGGTGGCTCATGCCTGTAATCCCAGCTACTCGGGACGCTGAGGCAGGAGAATCGCTTGAACCTGGGAGGCGGAGGTTTCTGTGAGCTGAGATCACGCCATTGCTCTGCAGCCTGGGCAACAAGAGCGAAACTCCGTCTCAAATAAAAATAATAATAATAATAAATAAATAAATAAATATAATAAATAAATAAATAGAATTAGCTTGTTTTGATGGGATTTTGATTAGGGATTGCATTGAATTTAAGGAACATTGATATATTTATAATATTGATTCTTTCAATCTATTGAAAATCACATGAAGTGCCTAGAAATGATTTAAATGAAAGACGAGCAAGACCTGTATACACATTGCCGAGAGAAATTAAAGACCTAAGTAAATGGAAGGATGATACAGCATGTTCATAGAATGCAAGAATCAATAATGCCCACTTTGGGCCTAATCCTCCCCTGCCTCTCCACCCCACCCCCCCAACCCTCCCCTGCCTCTCCACCCCAACCCCTAACCCTCCCCTGCCTCTCTACCCCACCCCCGCAAACCTCCCCTGCCTCTCCACCCCACCCCCACAACCCTCCCCTGCCTCTCCACCCCACCCCCAACCCTCCCCTGCCTCTCCACCCCACCCCCGCTAACCCTCCCCTGCCTCTCCACCCCATCCCCCTAACCCTCCCCTGCCTCTCCACCCCACCCCACCCACCGCCCACAGCATTGACCTTACAACTGAAAAGTCAGGCAGTCTCAGACATACAGCATTTTTTATCCGTAAAATGGAATTTGGCACATTTGCCTTGACTAGTTCATATATTCATTTAAATAAGTTGGTTACTAGGCAGGCCTCTGTTATGAATACATGCCCTTCTTTTGAGAAGCTCAGAGAAAAGTATAAAGTTCATTCTACAAAGGCAGTTTGGGCTAGATGTGGTGAGGACATAGAAGTCACCGGGAAATGAAATATGTGAAATCATTTTGAAGAATAAATGGAGTTGCTAGAACTTATTAAGCACTTAGAATATTCTAGGTACCATGCCAACTGCTTTACATACATTATTTTATCTAATTCTCACAGTAACTGTATAGGCAGTGATTCTTGAAGTATAGATTGCTGACCCCGACGGTCCCCAAGATCCTTTCAGGGGATCCACAAGGCCAAAACTAGTTTCATTATAATACTGAGATTTATTTACCTTTTTCACTGTACTGACATTTGCACTGATGGTGCAAGAGCAATGGTAGGTGTTATGGTTTGAACATGTCCTCCAAAACTCATGTTGAAATTTAATTGCAATTGTGACAGTATTAAGAGTTGGGATCCTTAAGAGGTTATGGCGAGGGTGGGCTAGTTATGGTGGGAGCAGGCTCCTCATAAAGGCATGAGTCCAGCGCCCTTCCTTTCTCTGTCTCATGTGCTTTCTTGCCCTTCCACCTTCTGCCATGGGATGACACAGCAAGAAGGTCCTCAGCAGATTCAGGACTCTCAATCTTGACTTCCCAGCCTCCCTTTTAAGAAATGAATTTCTTTTCTTTATACATTACTCAGTCTCAAGTATTGTTTGATAGCAACAAAAAATGGACTAAGCCAGTGGGTAGGACTGCTGGTGACTGAGCAGAAATCAAGGCAGTGGCACCAAACTGTACTAATGATCGCTGCATTCTTCACCACACTTGCAGGAAAAATATTCATTTCACTAAAAATGTTATTAGGAAAGCAGTAAAAATTATTAATCTTATTAAATCTCCACCTGAGTCCATGTCTTTTTACCATTCTGTGCAAAAAAGTGAGAAATACACAGAAAGCACTTCTAGCAAATTCTAAAGTACAATAGTTGTCTTAAGAGAAAGTACTTGTGAGCTGGGTGCGGTGGCTCATGCCTGAAACCCCAGCACTTTGGGAGGCTGAGTTGGGCAGATCGCTTGAGTCCAGGAGTTGGAGACTGGCCTGGGCAACATATAAAAAGATACAAAAAGTAGCCAAGCATGTTGGTGCATGACCGTTGTCCCAGCTACTCCAGAGGCTGAGGTGGGAGGATTGCTCGAGCCTGGGAAGCAGAGGTTGCAATGATCCAAAATCCCATCACTGTATCCCAGCTTGGGTGACAGAGTGAGACCCAGTCTCAAAAAAAAGAAAGAAAGAAAGAAAAAGAAAGAGTACGTGTACTTTTGTATGATGTATGATTGTTTGAGTTGCAAGCTAAATTAGTCACTTTTCTCATGGAACATCATTTTTACTTGAAAGAATGCCTGCAGACAAACTATGGTTAATCAATCAGATTTGAATACTGGATAGACATTTTCTCAAAAATAAACAAATGAGACTGCCACTTCAAGAAAAACAACTGACAGTATTTATTGCCAATAATAAAATATGAGTTTTCTTTTTTTCTGTTTTTGTATCCAGCTGAAAAATTTGAGTTTTCAAGTGAAAATTAGAATTTGGGAAAACTTGTGTCTACCATGTTGAGCCTGACAGCTTCCTGGTACTGACAGACTTTTCTGATGAGATTGGTGGTAATATTAGCCATATGATTATTCTGTGTTGAGAATAAAATGTATCAACTTTTGGAAAACTGGCATATTCAGTAAATCAATACTTCCCAAATGCCTAATGTAAAAAGTTACAAAATCATGCATAGGTAAAAGATCCACTTAAAGTAGATTTTATTTTTATTTTTTATCTTTTTTTTTTTTTTTTTGAGACCAAGTCTTGTTCGGTCGCCCAGGCTGGAGGGCAGTGGTGCAATCTAGGCTCACTACAAGCTCTGCCTCCCGGGTTCACGCCATTTTCCTGCCTCAGCCTCCCAAGTAGCTGGGACTACAGGCGCCCGCCACCACGCCCGGCTAATTTTTTTTTTTTTTTTAATTTTGTTTAGTAGAGATGGGGTTTCACCGTGTTAGCCAGGATGGTCTCGATCTCCTGACCTCGTGATCCACCCACCTCAGCCTCCCAAAGTGCTAGGATTACAGGCATGAGCCACCATGCCAGGCCTATTTTTTATGTTTTTTGAGACAGAGTTTTGCTTTTGTTGCCCAGGCTGGAGTGCAATGGTGTGATCTCAGCTCACTGCAACCTCTGCCTCCTGGGTTCAAGCAATTCTCCTGCCTCAGCCTCCCAAGCAGCTGGGATTACAGGCGCATACCACCATGCTTGGCTAATTTTTTTATTTTTATTTTTAGTAGAGACAGGGTTTCACCATGTTGGTCGGGCTGGTCTCAAACCCCTGACCTCAAGGGATCCACCCACCCCGGCCTCCCAAAGTGGTGGGATTACTACAAGTGTGAGCCACTGTGCCTGGCCAGACCCATGGAATTTAATGTAACAGAGTATGGAAAATTTATTGACATAGGTGCAGATTTCGTATGGCAACTGACTCTAAAAAACTGCCACTTACTGACTTTTGGTGTAGGGCCAAAGAGTATCTATAATAATTTGAGAAAACTACTAAAATACTCTTCCCAACTGTACATTTGCATGGGGTTGTATTTTCTTCATATACTTCAATTAAAAGTACATATCTCAACAGATTGAATGTAGAACAAATGTGAGAATGTAGAACAAATGTGAGAAGCTATCTCCTATTAAAGAAATTTGCAAAAATGTAAAGGAATATTCTTCTTGGTAAATATTTTTGTTTGGGAAAATAGAAATAACTATTTATTTATTTGTGGAGACAGAGTCTCGCTCTGTTGCCCAGGCTGGAGTGCAGTGGCGCAATTTCATCTCACTGCAACCTCTGCCTTCTGGGTGCAAGCAATACTCCTGCCTCAGCCTCCTGAGTAGCTAGGACTACAGGCGCCCGCCACCACGCCCAGCTAATTTTTTGTATTATTTTTTTTTGTTAGTAGAGACGGGGTTTCACCATGTTGCCCAGGCTGATCTCAAACTCCTGAGCTCAGGCAATCCGCCTGCCTCGGCCTCCCAAAGTGCTAGGATTACAGGCGTGAGCCACCACGCCTGGCTAAATAACACCTTAAAAATTAAAAATAGGCCAGGTGTGGTGGCTCATGCCTGTAATCCTAGCACTTTGGGAGGCTGATGTGGGAGGATTGCTTGAGGCCAGGCGTTTAAAACCAGCCTGGACAGCATAGTGAAACCCCATCTCTACAAAAAGAAAAGAAACAAATTAAAAATAACTATGTTGTTGGGCGTGGTGGCTCACACCTGTAATCCTAGCACTTTGGGAGGCTGAGGCGGGTGGATCACTTGAGCTCAGGAGTTCAATACCTGCCTTGGCAACATGGTGAAACCCTGTCTCTATGAAAAATACAAAAATTAGCCAGGTGTGATGGTGTGTGCCTGTAGTCCCAGCTACTTGGGAGGCTGAGGTGGGAGGATCACATTAGCCCGGGAAGCAGAGGTTACAGTGAGCCGAAATCATGCCTCTGCACTCCAACCTGATCCTACAGAGTAGACCCTGTCTCAAACAAACAAACAAACAGTTATGTCAACATGTAATGGGTTTCCTATTGTGATTTTTAAACAAATAAATAAATATGTTTTAATTTCTCAGTTATGTTTCTAATATAGTAAATATATGGATAATACATGGATATAACCGGCATAAACAAAAACTCTTTGTGGTCCTTAATTGTTCAGAGAATAAAGGGGTCCTAAGAGGTGGAAGTTTAAGAACTGTTTCCTGGGGGGTAAACGTTATTAACCAAAATCTGTGGATTAGAAAACTGAGGTTTAGAGAGGTTTAATGCTTGTGCAGGTCACATAGCCAGTGGGTAGGGAAGTCACAATCCAAGCCTTGCTCACTCTACCACAGGAGGCCACCTTGCAACAGGTCAGCAAGCAAGGGAAAGCCCTCCTGAAGCACAGAGAGATCTAAGTAGGAGATGCTGGAGGCCCTGAAGAGGCAAAGAGCACATCTGGGGTGGGGTGGGGGATCTGCACAGGGAAAGGAACCAGGGAAAGCCTCTCAGAACAGGTGACACCCACGCTGGGATTGGAAAGACAAGTAGGATTTTGACGGTTCAGAAATCATGAGAGACTCCACAAATCAGTATGCTTTATCTCAACCACATCCAGACCTGGGACCAATGAGGACACTCTGATTGACTCTGTTTTGTTTTGTTTTGAGACAGAGTTTCGCTCTTGTCACCCAGGATGGAGTGCAGTGGTGTGATCTCGGCTCACCGCAACCTCCGCTTTCTGCGTTCAAATTATTCTCCTGCCTCAGTCTCCCAAGTAGCTGGAATTACAGGCATGCACCACCATGCCCGGCTAATTTTTTGTATTTTTACAAAAAACCCTTCAAAAAACAAAAATTGATCATTTCAGTTTATTCTGGTGTGGGGGACTGATGACTTATGATACAGGGATGGGGAGATAATTATCTTTACTGTGTATCCTTTTGTACCTTTTGGATTTTATATGTGCACACGGATTAACTATTTACACAAGCATATTAAAGGATGTTTATAAATGAGGTCAAAACCCTGTCTCAAGTAGAGACAGGGTTTCACCATGTTGGCCAGGCTGGTCTCAAACTCCTGACCTCATGTCATCTGCCCGCCTCGGCCTCCCAAAGTGCTGGAATTACAGGTGCAAGGCACTGCGCCCGGCCCACCCTGAATGACTCTAGTAACATAAAAGTGTGACGTGCTCCAGCCAGTCTGAAAGTTCCAGGCTCCTGTCCCTTGCTTGCGTAGGCTATCCTTCCATTAGTATGGGCTCTACAATTCACTAATTTAATTTGAACTTTATAAAAGCCTTGGATGGGAGGCTGAGCGAGTGTCATTGTTCTTATTCTACAGAAGAGAAATTTTGGAGGGAAAGTTGTTTTTTGTTTGTTTGTTTGTTTTTTGTTTTTGTTTTTTTAATATACAAAGAGCTAGCATGGTTTCTTTCACTGGGTGGATGTTTTGGATAATCTATTCAAGCCAGATCACATAGCCTGGCTTAATGAAACCTATATCCTTTGCAGACTGACAGAAACACTGGCAGCACACATTGAGGCTGTATTTCCAAATCAGGCCAGTCCAGTTTGAGCCAACACAAGAGTGAGAACTCTGACCCAATTTTCGAGGCTGGCCCCAGTAGAGCTGCTGGCGTCCCATCTTGAGGTGCACTTTCAGGAGTGCAACGAGGCAAAAGGAAAGAGCTCTGGAAGATAAAATGGAGACTCCAAAAGGTTAAGTAAGAAACTGATCATTGCAGGCTGGGTGCAGCAGCTCACGCCTGTAATCCCAGCACTTTAGGAGGCCGAGGTGGGTGGATCACGAGGTCAGGAGTTGGAGACCAGCCTGGCCAACATGGTGAAATCCCATCTCTACTAAAAATACAAAAACTAGCCGGGCATGGTAGTGGGTGCCTGTAATCCCAGCTACCTGGGAGGCTGAAGCAGGAGTATCGCTTGAACCCAGGAGGAGGAGGTTGGGGTGAGCGGAGATCGCACCATTGCACTCCAGCCTGGGCGACGAGAGCGAAACTCTGTCTCGAAAAAAAAAGAAAAAGAAACTGATCTTTTCAGTTAATTCTGGTGTGGGGACTGATGACTTATGATACAGGGATGGGAAGATAATTATTTTTACTGTGTATCCTTTTGTACCTTTTGGATTTTATATGTGCGCAGGGATTAACTGTTTACACAAACATATTAAATGATGTTTGTAAATGAGGTCAAGGTATTTTCCCATGTGGTAGAATTGGGGTTCCAGCTCCAATCCTTGGGTTCCAGAACCACATCCTAACTGTAATGCTTTCCAGCCTCCTAGAATATGCCATTTTCCAGTTTTAAAAGCTGTGAAGCCTAGATGTCAATGTAAAACATTTTTATGATTATTAATAATGCCACTAGATAGAGGGCCTTTCAAGAGGCCATGATTTGGGCCTGTTAGGAGCTGCTTTTATCTAATTAATGGTGGTACATCAGGCCAGATCAAAGCAGAGGGGACAGCATCACAGGACACTGGAGAGGACAGCTCCTTTCTACCCCAGCTCCTTTTCAGCCTGGGGTGAGGTGAGGGATCTGCACAGGGAAAGGAACCAAGGAGAACCTCTCAGAACAGGTGACACCCACGCTGGGATTGGAGAGACAGGTATGATTTTGACTTTTCAGAAATCATGAGAGACTCCACAAATCAGTATGCTTTATCTCAACCACATCCAGACCTCGGACAAATGAGGACACCCTGATTGACTCTGGTTACTTAAAGGTGTGACGTGCTTGATTCAGGCAAATGTAGCCAGCCCACAGAGACAGCAGGTGAGAAATGATTGACAGCTGAAACCCATGGATGGGGAGTTTTACCAGCTGAATTGCCAGGTCCTAAATCCAAATTCCCTTCTGTCTTATTAACTACTACCTAGGCCCGACTGTTTTTTGTTTTTTTTTTTTTTTGAGACAGAGTCTTGATCTGTCGCCCAGGCTGGAGTGCAGTGGCACGATCTCAGGGCTCACTGCAACCTCTGCCTCCTGGGTTCAAGAGATTCTCCTGTCTCAGCCTCCCGAGTAGCTGGGATTACAGGCGCATGGCACCACACCCAGCTAATTTTTGTATTTTTTGTAGAGAAGGAGTTTTGCCATGTTGGCCAGGCTGGTCTCGAACTCCTGACCTCAGGTGATCCACCTGCCTCGGCCTCCCAAAGTGCTGGGATTACAGGCGTGAGCCAATGCGCCTGGCCAGGTTCATGCTTTCTGCTCCTGGAAATGCAGCCAACCCTGACAGAGTCCATGCATTAGGCATCTTCTGGGCAGTGCACTTGCTCTTGCACTGGATGTGCATCTATGGCTGGGATGATTGCAACAGCCCCCCAGCTGGTCTCCCTATGCCAGACCTTTGCGCACCCTCCTTCTTTACTCTCCACATAACGGCCAGGGGATTCTGCTAAAATGTCAGACAGAGCCTGTCATTCCTTTATACAAAGTGCTCCAGTGGCCCCAGCTCACTCAGAGCAAAACCCCAAGTCCTTCCCACAGCCTGTAAGACCCTGAACAATCCAGGTCTTGACTCCTCTTATCTCATCTCCCACCACTCTTTTTTCCTTCAACTACAGCCCTGTGGGCCTCTTTCTTCCTTGAACAACATCAGTTGCACCCTTGCTTCAAGACCTTTGCATTTACTGTTCTCTCCAGCTGGAACCCTCTTATCCAGAGACCTGTGTGCTTCGCTCCCTCACCTCCCTCCATCTTGACTCAAGGATCGCCTTCTCACTGAGGCCTTCTATTCATATACTATTTGAAAATTGAACCCTGTTTTAGTCTGTTCAGGCTGCTACAACAAAATACCATAGACTGCTTGGCTTATTCACAACAGACACCTGTTTCTCACCATTCTAGGGACTGGGAAGCCCAGGATTAAGGTGCTGGCAGATTTGGTGTCTGGGGAGGGTCCACTTCCTGGTTCCTAGGTGGCCATCTCCTTACTATGACTATGTCCTCACATGGTAGGAGGAGCAAGAAAGCTCTCTGGGACCTCTTTTTTGAGGATGCTAATCCTGTTCATGATGCTCTGTTCTCATGACCTAATCACCTCTTGAAGTATCCACCTCCTAATATTATCACCTTGGGGGGTAGGATTTCAACAGAGGAATTTTAGGGGAACGCAGGCATTCAGTATACAGCATTCCCCAACATTCTCAGTCTCCTTATTTGCTTTATTTTTAATTCAATTTTATTTTTAAACAGGGTCTCATCTCGCTCTGTTGCCCAGGCTGGAAACGTAGTGGTGTGATCTTGGCTCACTGCAACCTCCGCCTCCTGGGCTTAAGTGATGCTCCCACCTCAGCCTCCCAAGTAGCTGGGACTACAGGCATGCACCACCATGCCTGGCTAATTTTTGTATTTTTTGTAGAGACAGGGTTGTGCCATCTTGCTGGTCTAAAACTCATGGGCTGAAACTCCTGGGCTTAAATTCTGGGGCTCAAATGATCTACCTGCCTTGGCCTCCCAAAGTGCTGGGATACAGGTGTGAGCCACTGTGCCTGGCCTGCTTTATTTTTTTTTTTAACCTAGCACATAACACCATGTAATATACCATACATTTCACTTATGTCTCATGTACTCTTTGCCTTCCTCTACTAGCATATAAACTCTATGAAGTTGGAAACTTTTGTCTGTTTAGTTCTTTGTTGGGCCCTAGCTACCTAGAACAGTGGCTAGTACATAGTGTATGATCAATAAGTATGTGTTGAATTAATGCACCAACTCATTCATCTTTATGACAACCTGGAAAGATAGGTCCCATCACTTCCAACAACCCATGGTTAAGTTTGTGTCGTTGTTGAATTTGGCCAAACAATTTGATTTACCAATTTCACCCCTTCCTTACTGATCACCTCAAGAAGGGGTGAAAATATGTTTCAAATGCAAATATGTTACTTGGACATGTCATCATCAACATATCATCAGTCATCTGTACCTTGGCAAGTATTCACTTATGAAATGTAATCCTCCTATTGGAACTTCTTTATACTTCTCCCATATGGATGAGCTAACAGCTGTGGGAAGCCACAAAAAATGAGCAAGATGTGGGCCCTGCCTGCGAGCATCTTACAGTCTTTGCAAATTAGACAAGTCCAGCTTGCCCCCAGCTGGGATACATACCTAGTCTCTCTGAGCCCAAAGCCTATGCACTTTACTAGTACCCTGCTGTCTCCATGATAGTGTGGAGAATGGGATATTGCCAAAGATCAAGGATGGTAGCACAGCTCCTGAAGTATTTTGATCTTGTGTCTCAGAAGATAAGAACACCCATCTTGAATTTTCTTCTTCCCTGGGTTTGGGCTGGTTAGTCCCTCCAGATATGTTCATTTTTTCCCCCAAAAAACATTCCCAGAGTTTCGTTTCTATTAATTTTTAGAGTTAATGAAGGTGTGTTTTATTGTATTATATCTCTTATGTTGTATGAAGTTAACATATGTGGAAAAATAGAATAAATGCACATCTACCTGGCAAAAATAGTAAGTGAGGTAGGTATAGAACATTCTTAAATACAATAAGGTTGGGTATTCTCCCTGTGGTAAAATTAATAGGAAGTTTTGCTTCTGTCTATGAAGGATCAACAGTTATGGGAATTGCCCTTCAACCATAAATTGGACAAAATATATGAAATGCCTATTTCCAGACATTGGATAACAGGCAGCCTGTGATCCCTGGGAGCAGGGGAGCAGAGGAGGTGAGCTGTGTGATTGCCTCTGCCTG
This sequence comes from Homo sapiens, assembly GCF_000001405.40. NCBI lineage: Eukaryota > Metazoa > Chordata > Mammalia > Primates > Hominidae > Homo > Homo sapiens. The sequence continues at coordinate 69,027,394 of NC_000014.9, forward strand.
CTTCCTAGAGGCAGTTTCCAGACTGCCTCACCGATGGGGGAGTCTGGGGAAAGCTTAGTCTTACTGAGTTAAGGAGAGCTTCAGGCAGCTAAAATTGCAGGGCAGTGTTCAAGAGACAGGGAGCTACACAGAGGAAGAGTCCCATAGACCCACACAGGGTCCCCTAGAGCCTTTGAGTGAACAACAATCTGCACACACTTAGGACAAAACCCATGAAGTGGAGCAAAAGCAATTTCTGGGGGAAAAAAAAAGTATTACTGGGTAGCTGTAAACAGAACAATTCCTAGAGCCTATACAAAGCCTGGAATGGGTAAACATCCCTCTAACCAGAGTGGAGAAGCTGTGTCAAACACACAGGCATTCAATGGGGACTCCAGAAGAGCTGTGTCTTTGAAGTGGAGCTAAATTAGCCCTGGGATAAAGGTTACTCTAGTCCATCTCTAAACAAGCTCTATTTATTTATTATTTATTTATTTGAGGCAGGGTCTTGTTCTGTTACCCAGGCTAGAGTGTAGTGGTGTAAACTTAGCTCACTGCAGCCTTGAACTCCTGGGCTCGAGAGATCCTCCCATCTCAGCCTCTGGAGTAGCTGGGACTATAGGCATGAGCCATCACACCTAGCTAATTAAAAAAATATTTTTGACTGGGCATGGTGGCTCACGCCTGTAATCCCAGCACTTTGGGAGGCCAAGGTGGGTGGATTATGAGGTCAGGAGATCGAGACCATCCTGGCTAACATGGTGAAACCCCGTCTCTACTAAAAATACAAAAAAAATTAGCTGGGTGCGGTGGTGGGTGCCTGTAGTCCCAGCTACTTGGGAGGCTGAGGCAGGAGAATGGCATGAACCCAGGAGGTGGAGCTTGCAGTGAGCCGAGATCGCGCCACTGCACTCCAGCCTGGGTGACAGAGCGAGACTCTGTCTCAAAAAAAATAAAAAATAAATAAATAAAATAAAAAATGTAAAAAAATAAAAAAATAAAAATGAAACTGAAGGCCAGGTGCAGTGACTCACACCTGTAACCCCAGCACTTTGGGAGGCGGAGGGGGGGCAGATCAATTGAGTTCAGGAGTTCGAGACCAGCCTGGCCAACATGGTGAAACCCCGTGTCTACCAAAAAATACAAAAATTATCTGGGCATGGTGGGTGCACACCTGTAGTCCCAGCTACTCTGGAGGCTGAGGTGGGAGAATCGCTTGAACCTGGGAAGCAGAGGTTGCACTGAGCCGAGATCGCACCACTGTACTCCAGCCTGGGTGACAGAGTGAGACCCTGTCTCAAAAATAAATAAAATAAAGAAAATCGAAAATATAAATGTTGGCAAGGATGTGGAGAAATTGGAACCTTCATTCATTGCTAATGGGAATGTAAAATAGTCCAACCACGTCGGAAAACAGTTTGGCAGTTTCTCAAATCTTAAACAGAATTACCATATGACCTAGCTATTCCACTCCTGGGTATGTACCCAAGAGACTTGAAAACATATATTTACATGGAAACTTGTACATGAATGTTCATAGCAATATTATTTATAATAGCCAAAAAATAGAAACAACCTGAGTTTTCATCAACTGATGACCAAATAAACAACATGTGGTATATCCACACAAGGAAAGGTTAGTCAGCAATAAAGGGAATGAAGTACTGACACATGGCACACATGGATGAACCTTGAAAATATTATGCCAAGTGAAAGAAACAGACACAAAAGGCCACATCTTTTGTTATTTCATTTATTTGAAAATGTCCAGAATAGGCTAATCTATACAGACAGAGGTACATCAGTGGTTAACAGGGGAGGGGAGAAAAGGGAAATTGAGGGTTATGAAATTCCTTTTTTGGTTGATAAAAATGTTCTGGGGCCAGGCACAGTGGCTCATGTCTATAATCACAACACTTTGGGAGGCCGAGGCGGGTGGATCACCTGAGGTCAGGAGTTCAAGGCCAACCTGACCAACATGGTGAAACCCCATCTCTACTAAAAATACAAAAATTAAGGCCGGGTGCAGTGGCTCACACCTGTAATCCCAGCACTTTGGGAGGCTGAGGCAGGTGGATCACGAGGTCAGGAGTTCGAGACCAGCCTGACCAAAATGGTGAAACCCTGTCTCTACTAAAAATACAAAAATTAGCCGGGCATGGTTGTGCGTGCCTGTAATCCCAGCTACTCAGGAGGCTGGGGCAGGAGAATTGCTTGAACCCGGGAGGTAGAGGTTGCAGTGAGCCAAGATCACACCATTGCACTCCAGCCTGGGTGACAGAGCGAGACTCTGTCTCAAAAAACAAAAAACAAAACAAAACAAAAATTAGCCAGGTGTGGTGGTGTGTGCCTGTAGTCCCAGCTACTCGGGAGGCTGAGGCAGGAGAATCACATGAACCAGGGAGGTGGAGATCACACCACTGCACTCCAGCCTGGGTGACAGAGCAAGACTCCATCTCAAAAAAAAAAAAATGTTCTGGAATAAGTGATGATGATTGCACAATATTGTGAGTATAGGAAAAAAAAAACCACTGACTTGTAAACGTTAAAACGGTTAAAATGGTGACTTTTGTTTTACATTGAATTTATCTCAATAAAAATAAGATTTTTAAGTTAATCAGATTTTTAAAAATCTTCCCATAGAGAAAACACCAGGTCCTGATGGCTTCAATGGTAAATTCTACCTAACATTTAAGAAGAAATAAGATCAATTCTACACAAACTTCTTTAGAAGATGAGAGAAAAAGGGACACTTTTCAGCTTTTTTTTTTAGGCTAGCACTACCCTGACACCCAAATCAGAAAAAGGATTTGATTATAAGATTACAAGAAAAGAAATGAATCCTTAATGAGCATAGACACATAGATGCTTAACAAAATTTTTGCAAATCAAATCTAGCAATAGCTAGAAAGGGAAATGAGGCATGACCAAATCAGGTTTATCCTAAGAATAAAAGGTTTGTTTACCATTAGAAAATCAGTCAATGTAATTCACCATACTAACACAATTTTTTAAAAATTATGAATATCTCATTAGAGATATAAAAAAATTTTTGGCAAAATTTAAAAGCCTTTCAGCAAACTAGAAATAGAAGGAAACTTTCTTAACTTGGTGAAGGATGCCTATGAAAAATCTTCAGTTAACATAATACCTAGTGGCGAGAGACTGAATACTTTACCCCAAAGACAGGGAAAAGGGCAGAAATATCTGTCACTTTTTTTCAACACTTTTTTTCCCTAGACAGTGCAGTAAGACAAGTAGTACTAATAAAAGGCATCCAGATTGGAAAGAAAACCATCCTTATTAAAGACAACATGGGCCGGGCACGGTGGCTCATGCCTGTAATCCCAGAACTTTGGGAGGCCGAGGTTGGCAGATCGTTTGAGGTCAGGAGTTCGAGACCAGCCTGGCCAACATGGTGAAACCCCGTCTCTACTAAACATACAAAATTTAGCCAGGCGTGGTGGTGGGCTCCTGTAATCCCAGCTACTTGGGGAGGCTGTAGTGGGAGAATCGCTTGAACCTGGGAGCAGGAGGTTGCAGTGAGCAGAGATCATGCCACTGCACTCTGCCACTGCACTCTGCACTCTGCATGCCATCTGCCTGGGCAACAGAGTGAGACTCCATCTCAATTTAAAAAAAAAATTGCTATGAAATTTTCAGGCCAGGCATGGTGGCTCACACCTGTAATCCCAGCACTCTGAGAGGCCAAAGCAGGTGGATCCCTTGAGCCCAGGAGTTCAAGATTAGCCTGGATAACATGTGAAACCTCATCTCTACAAAAAATACAAGGATTTATATGCAGAATATATAAAGAACTTTTACATCACAAAAACATGAAGGCAACCTACTTATTTTAAATAGGTAAAGGCTTCAGGCATCGCCAAGCAGATGGACAGCAAAGAAGCATATGACAAGATGTTCAGCATTATTGGTCATTAGGGAGGCAGAAGTTATAGCCACAACGAGATACCACTGTCCACCCACTAGAATGGCTAAAATTAAAAATACTGACAATTATAGAGACTATCCTGGGTTTGGAAAGAAAAAATAATAATATAATAAAAATACTGACATTACTTAAGTGTTGTCGAGGATATAAAGCTGGTAGGCATGGTAAGTGGTACAACCCCTTTGGAAAACAATCTGGCGGTTTCTTTTTTTTTTTTTTTTGACTAAGTCTCGCTCTGTCGCCCAGGCTGGAGAGCAGTGGCGAGATCTCGGCTCACTGCAAGCTCCACAAGGTTCACGCCTTTCTCCTGCCTCAGCCTCCCGAGTAGCTGGGACTACAGGCGCCCACCACCACGCCTGGCTAATTTTTGTATTTTCAGTAGAGACGGGGTTTCACCGTGTTAGCCAGGATGGTCTCCATCTCCTGACCTTGTGAGCCACCTGTCTCGGCCTCCCAAAGTGCTGGGATTACAGGTGTGAGCCACCGCTCCCGGCCAGTGGTTTCTTACAAAGTTAGACAAACACTTATATGATTCAATAATTCCACTCAGGTATTTGCCTAAGAGAAATGAAAACTTATATCCACACAAAAACGTGTACACAAATTTTAGCTTTATTCATAATAGCCCATCAGCTCAACTGCCCGTCAACAGATGAACTGATAAATACATCTGGTATATCCATACAAGAGAGTACTATTCAGCAATAAAAGGGAATGAACACAACAGCATGGATGAATCTGAAAAATATGCTGAGAGAAAGAACACAGGTACAAAAGCATGCATACTACATGATTCCAATGATTTGAAACTATAGAAAAAACAAGTCTGATCTAGAAGGAAGGAAAGTGATCAGTGGTTGCTTGGACAGAAGGAGATTAACTGAGATGGGGCACAAGGGAACATTTTTGGGGTATGGAAATGTTCTGTATTTAGATTGCATTGGTGATTACACAGGTGTATAAATGTATAAAAACTCATTACACATTTAAAGTTGGTATAATCAATTTGATTAAAATTCTATTGAATCCCCCCAAATGTAGTATCTTATTATTATACAGAATGTGACAATGTAGAAAGGTAGAAGAAAGAAAAAAAGAAGCATCTTATGGTACATCCCAAATGCATTGAGTATTATAAATTATTCTGTAGAAATTTAAATTACAACCACTATGCTTTCATGTACTTCTCTTGGCATTATTATTATTATTATTTGTGACAGAGTCTTGCTCCATCACCCAGGCTGGAGTGCAGTGGCGGGAACATGGCTCACTGCAGCCTCGACCTCCTGGGCTCAAGAAATCCTCCTGCCACAGCCCCCCAAGTAGCTGAGACTATAGGTGCACACCACCACACTCAGCTAATTTTTTTTATTATTTATTTATTTATTTGGTTTTTTTGTAGAAACAGGGGTCTCACTTTGTTGCCCAAGCTGGTCTTGAACTCCTGGGCTCAAGTGAGCCTTCTGCTTCAGCCTCCCAAAGTGATGAGATTACAGGTGTGAACCACCGTGCGAAGCCTGGCAAATCTTCGATAATGCTATATGGTTCATTATCATCAGCAGTACATGAAAGACATTGTAGATATTAGTAAATATCTACCCCTGCGAATGTATACAATGCACACATGATGTGAAAGGAAAGTAACATTTATTATGTACCACAGTATATGCCAAAACCTTCTCATGTATTATTTCTCTTTCATGATAAGAAATTTAAGTATTGGCCAGGCGCGGTGGCTCACGCCTGTAATCCCAGCACTTTGGGAGACTGAGGTGGGGGCAGATCACGAGGTCAGGAGTTCGAGACCAGCCTGGTCAATATGGGGAAACCCTGACTCTACTAAAAAAAATACAAAAATTCGCTGGGTGTGGTGGTGCACACCTGTAGTCCCAGCTACTCAGGAGGCTGAGGCAGGAGAATCTCTTGAACCCCAGAGGCAGAGGTTGCAGTGAGCCGAGATTGTGCCACTGCACTCCAGCCTGGGCGACAGAGTAAGACTTCATCCCAAAAAAAAAAAAAAAAAAAAGAAAGAAAGAAAGAAAGAAAGAAATTTAAGTATTGCAGAGGTTAAGGCACTGTGAGAAAGGCAGGTAAGAGAGCAGTTTCTAGAATCATAATTCCTGTTTCAAATTCCAGCTCTCTCATTGGCTGCATGACTTTGGGCATGTCACTTAAACCCCTGGAGCCTCAGTTTCTTCATCTGTGTAATTGAACAAAGCCAGTATCTACACAGAGATTTGCTGAAATTAATGAGTGCACGTTCATAAAATTCGTAGCGCTGAACTAAGTGCACAATAAACAACAACAACAACAAAATAGTTGTAATTAAACTGCTGGAGAGGATAGGCCAAAGCCTTCCAGAGGTTCCCATCTGACTTCAAGTTCCCGTCTTGAAAAGGGACCTAGGATGCCGTAGGGTCTGTGCCCAGAAAGGACATCCATAACCTGCATAGGTTAGCAGTGCCTTTGGGATTGAGGATCTGCCATCATAACAGCAAGGTTTCCTTATTTTTATTTATTTATTTATTTATTGAGATGGAGTCTCGCTCTGTCACCCAGGCTGGAGTGCAGTGGCATGCGATCTCGGCTCACTGCAACCTCCGCCTCCTGGTTCAAGCGATTCTCCTGCCTCAGCCTCCAAACTAGCTAGGACTACAGCACACACCAGAATGCCCAGCTAATTTTTTGTATTTTTAGTAGAGATGGGATTTCACCATGTTGGCCGGAATGATCTTGATCGCTTGACCTCGTGATCTGCCCACCTCAACCTCCCAAAGTGCTGGGGTTACAGGTGTGAGCCACCACGCCTGGCCTGGCACTTGATAGTTTATATCCATTATCTTGTGAAGAAGGTATCATTACAACATCCATTTTACAGACAAATAAACTGGGGAGGTTACACAGCTAGAGAAGAAGGACGAAATCCCAGGGCGTTGGACTCCAGTTCCACATGACTGAGCCTTCCTGACAGAGGTAAGTTTGTCCTGCCCCATCACACTTGCTCTTCTCCGGAGGGCCTGGTGGTCAGCAACCACCTGACCGAGAGCAGGAGGGGTGGGGACAGGCCCTGGTCTCACTGGGTTGTGTCTTCATCAAGCCAGCTGTCTGCACAACTGGTCTGCCTGGGGTCAACTGGTGTAGAGACCAGGGAAAGTCAGAGCCAAGTCCCCCAGCAGATTACATCCATATTGAAAAGTTAAAGAGTAGCCAAAAGAAATTTGTGATGATAGGAGTCAGAAGAGTGGTTTCCTGGCAGGCTGGGGGTGAAGGGCATGGTGGTTAGGACAGGAAAGGGTACAGAGAGTGGGGTGGTAGGAGTGCCCCCACATCTTGATTTGGGGTATGGTATGGTTACACGGGTGTACGAATATGTAAAAATTCATTGACATTTTCGCTGGAATGCATCACTGAAGATTAGTGCATTTTGTATATAAGTTATGACTCAATTTTTTTCATTATGCAATGTCCATGTAATATAACTCCATTTTTAGTTTTCACAATGCAAAAAAAATTTTTAACATTGTTACCAAAAAAAGAAAAAAAGACCAGCCCTTCCAAAAAAAGCATTGCCTTATCCCTTAACCCTGAAATAAGAAATTTACCTAATACTGAAGTTGAGAATTTAAATTTGAAAGGAGGGTAACAGCCCCGTGGGTCTGGAAGCCTCCAGGACCCGTGAGTCTCTAGCCCTCTCTCCTGGCCCATGGGCTACAAAGCCTCAAGAACCATGCCTTTTGAGGGAGCTCTGGATCCTGAAAGCTGTGGGGAACCTTTCCTGGTGACGTTAGCTTCCTCTGACATAGTTTAATTGTTGTCAGTCCATGGAATCCGGATGGAGGGTTTTGGCATTTCATTCTTTTCAGTTAGGGCTGAAATAGCATTTTCATTCTCCACTCTCATTTTCAAGGTCTGGTAATTTTCTGAGACCATCACCATTTGGGCTGAGATGTTCTCATTCTAGATGCAAATAGGATGAGGAACTTTTCATCAGCAGGCCTGAGAGCAGAATGGGTCTCTCTCTAGACCCATTTTTAACCTAAATGCTCAATAAATACCAGCCTGTGGATAGCTATAAACCTGTGTGCACCAAACAAATAGCTGCTGATTATAGATGGCAAAAACTATTAGAAATGCAAGGAGAAGTTTGTAAAAATTAAAGTGAGATGTTTTAGTATACCTCTTCCGTAATTAGCATGAACTAGTCATCAAAAAGAATTAGGCCGGGTGCAGTGGCTCACACTTATAATCCCAGCACTTTGGCAGGCCCCGAAGTGGGAGAGGGTGTGGGCTGTCTGTCTGGGTGAGTAGGGCATGGGAGTCATTCATCACTTTCCTGACCTTAGCTGGGGGTCCAGCAGCCTCCCTCACAGCTACTGGGACAGAGCATGTGTCACTGTGGGGCACTTTACACATTTACTCCTTTCTTTATTTGTTGCCTGTTTGAATCTGTGCCATGAGTGCATGGGAGCTCCATGTTCTATAGGGTAGATTATAGGATCCCCACTTGAGGAGCATCACTTGAGGCCAGGAGTTTGAGACCACCCTGAGCTACATGGTGAGATCCAGTCTTTTCAAAAATAAATTTGAATTACCTGGGAGTGGTGGTATGCACCTGTATTCCCAGCTTCTCAGGAGGCTGAGGTGGGAGGATCACTTGAGCCCAGGAGTTTGAAGCTACAGTGAGCTATGATCATGCCACCGCACTCCAGCCTGGGTGACAGAGTGAGACCTTATCTTTTAAAAAAAATTATAACAGGTTAAATAATACAATTAAAAGACTCAATTGAACACATACACATATATCATTCTTTATCTATTCAATAGAATGCATTTTTCCCGTCTGATCATGAGGCATTTTTAACAAAATCAATCCTGTTGGATATTTGTTTCAAAATAATAGAAAGGGTATTAATGAAAAAAGGTTGACCATGAGTTGACAATCATGGAAGCTAGGTGATAAGGACATTAAACTTCATCTAATATTCTCTCCAGTTTTTTTTTTCTTAGAGCTCAATTTCTAGAGAATTCTCTCTACTTTTGTGCATATTTGAATGTTTTCAATATAAAATGCTTTAAAGTGATCAATCATATACTTAGGTACAAATAAAACTTTTGTAAAAACTTTAAAATAGAAGTTTTTTTAATTTTTAATTTTCTTTCTTTCTTTCTTTCTTTCTTTTTTTAAGAGATGGGGTCTTGCCATGTTGCCTGGGCTGGTCTCAAATTCCTGGGCTCAAGTAATACTCCCACCTTAACCTCCCAAAGTCCTGGGGTTACAGGTGAGAGCCACCACACCTGGCCTCAAAAATAGAGATTTAAGTGGGCCATATTCTCTGACCCTAATTCAATAAAATCAGGCACAAAAATGATTCCCCAAATTTTAATTGTATAAAAATTAAGAAACACATTTAAATAACCCCTGGAGAGAAAATCAAAATTAAAATTATCTATAAAACATTAACAAATAATCTTTTCATTTATTCATTTATTCATTATATACCGAGTGCCCACTGTGTGCCTGGGACTGCTCTAGGCACAGGGACAGAGCAGTGAACAAGAGATCCAAGGCCCTGCCCCCGGAGCTCACATTCTTATGACACAGATAGACAAATGAATGAGCGAACATACCACGCAGTGGTACGTGCTCCACAGACAAAGCAGTTGGGAGGGGAAAGTGGAGTGGGGGCTGTGTGTGGGGCTGGCTAACCTAGATCAGGTGGTCAGGGAAGCCCTGCTGGGAAAGGTGACATTTGGGCAGATTTGAATGAGGTGGGGCAGCGAGCCCAGGAAAGAATGGCCTGGCGTGCTCTCAGAGGGGGAGATAGTACCTTGTTTCCAAACCAGTCCCCAAGCCTGGCCAGCTCCTGTGCTCACAAGAATGCTGGCAGCAGGAGCCAGGGGCTACAAAAAACAGCCTGAGAGAAGGGGCTTCCCACGGCAGAGGGTCATGCAGGCTGTAGCTGTGGGTACCCAGACTGATTCTGGCAGTAGGCTGGCCAGCCGCCTAAGAGAGGGTGTAGGCTGTCTATCTGGGTGAGTAGGGCGTGGGAGTCACTCATCACTTTCCTGACCTTAACTGTGGGTCCAGCAGCCTCCCTCACAGCTACTGGGGCAGAGCATGTGTCACTATGGGGCACTTTACACATTTACTCCTTTGTTTGTTACCTGTTTGAATCTGTGTCATCAGGTCATGGGAGCTCCATGTTCTATAGGGTAGATTATACAATCCCCATTTTCCGATGAGGAAGCTCCAGCTCAGAGTTTAGGTAACTCGTCCAAGGTCCTAGAGCCAATGGGGGCAGAGCTTCCTTCCTGCCCTGGTGCATGCCCTCCAGGATGCCTGGCAGGCTGGGCTTTAGAATGGGGTCTACAGAGGCCAGTTTTCATGGCAATGGGGCGGGATGGTGGAGGTGAGCTCCAGTGGTTGGAGTGGCTATTGGCCCCTGTTAGACACCAGGAATCCTTGGGTGGGAGAGGAGATTTGGGTCAGATCCTACTTCACACTCACACTTCATACTTCACACAGGGCAGTAATCTTCCCCTGGAAACAAGGCTGCTCTTGAGGATCACACAAGAACTGGTGAAAGTCCTCCTGCACAAGGGCAAGTCCATTCCAATAGAGGGAGAATTGCATGACAAAAGGGAGGTAGCCAAGTGTTGACAGTCCCAGGCCTCGCTGGCAGCACCTCTGGGCTTCCAAGGGTGACATCATACCTAATGAGTCATCAGAGCCACAGCACCCAGCACTGTCTGACACATAGTAGGTGCTTAATCACTGGTTGCTGTTATGATAATGAAGCCTTAACGTCCTTATGCAGAAATTGAATTGGAAGCTGAATTTCCTTTTGGGCTGAGACCAGGAGAGCTCTCCAGGCCCAGGGCTTGGTAACCAGATGAAATTGGTTCCTAATGGGGGCTCTGTGGAAGCTCAGCAAGTGGCTCTATCAAATTAGCAGGCTCGATGGACACGAGGGAGCAGAACTCTTCCTGAGCCTGGACCCTGCCATCCCTCGTCCCTCTGAAATCAGATTATGGAGATGGCAGGGCCAGGGAGGAAACTGAGCTAACACAATTACCAGCCCCGGCCGGTCCATCTCAGCCTGGGAATAGGGCAGGGAAGAGGAGAGGGCAGAGGGGAAGCCAGAGCTTCCCTCAGGAAATTACAAATCCAAGAAACTGAACAGGATAAGCCTTTCCCTGCCTTGCTGTGGGGCTCCATCCTGGGATTAGTGAGCTAATCTCCCTGCTGTTCTTACAGAGCATCAATTCCTCCTCCCTTGGAGATCAGGGTGGTCATTCCTTTTATAGCTATGACGTCATCAGCCCTGGCTTGAACCTCCCTAGTGAGGGGTGTTTGTTAACCACCGAGACCTTCTATTCCATGACTGATTCAAAAGCAACTGACTGGACTGTAGCCAAGACTGCCACTATCTGGTCTTGGATCTGCCGTCATCTGGATGTTGAACCTTGGGAGGTCTTCAGCCCATTTCCCCATCTGTAAATGAGATTTATGACCCCATGGTAGGCATGTGCTCGTGTTCTCAGCGTCCATCCACCCCTTTCCCACTGTGAAGCAAGCTGCAATCTTCCAGTTGGCTTCTGATTTTAAAGCCCATCAGCCCCACACCACGCCTCTTGCCCTCTTGGCCTCAGGAGTTTGGGCATTGCCCTGGCTGTGGTGGTCCAGGCAGAGCCACCCTTCAGACTTTCCTTTCTGCAGGAAGATTTGCTTGCCCTGTCCCCAGATGAGAATGAGGCAGTGTGTTGCCCTGGCTGATGATGTTGGCTGCCTTAACTCCTCGGAGGAAGCCAGCCTGAGACAAGGCAGATACACATGGAGGGCAGAGCCAAGAGAACTGCAGAGAAAGAGACAGAACTCTGATACATTTTAAGGCCACTCTATCATGGAATGTTTCAGTTATGTTTACAGCAAAAAATCATCATTCTTCCATGTACTTTGAGCTGCATTTTCTGACACTTGCCATCACCCATCTTCTAATAGGCAGAGACTTCTTTTAGGGTTCAGAGTGCTGGGATTCCTGATCAGAGATTGATTTCTTTGTCATTTCTGCTCAGTGACTACAGTCTTAGCCTGTGTGACTCACCACTGGATGCACCCACTGTGTTTCCACAGGAAGGGAGACTAGGAATGTGTTTGAAGAGTTGCCTCATTTCCCACCTATGTCTGTAAGCTAAGAGGAGTAGGAATAGGCTATACAGCAGAAGCCTATCCACAGAGAATGGTGCAAAAGAAGAGAAGAGCAAGTTCCAACAACTCAGTTCAGGGAGCCATACACTCCCTTTCCAGCTGCTGCCAGTTTACGCTGGGTTTCTGTCTCTTGTACCCAAGATAGCTGGCTCAGAAAATCATTTTATTCATCTTCGTTTTCCCAGCACCCAACACTGACTGGCACATAGTAGAATTCCAGTTAAGATGAAGACTTTACTTCCCATTATCTGGACCCTTCTACCAATTTCCCCAAACTCAATATTACATTGGTGTTTTTAGTTGTCTGTTTGGAGGAGCAGATTAGGTTTTGGAAAGGTAGCTTCAGCAAATACCTACCAGGTGTCATCTATGAGTTAGGTACACTGCTAGGTGAGTTCATGTATATTACTTCATTTACTATCCCGAACTGCTCCAGTTAATTTTATGCCCACTTTCCAGAGAGAGGAACTGAGGCTCAGAGAAGTTAGGTGGAATTTTAAAGTCACTCAGCTAGCCAGGTTCAGTGGTATATGCCTATAGTCCCAAAAACTTGGGAGGCTGGGGTAGGAGGATCACTTTAGTCCAGGAGTTCAAAGCTATAGTAAGCCATGATCACATCGGTTAATAGCCACTGCACTCCAGCCTGGGCAACATAGCAAGACTCTGTCTCAAAAATAAAGTCACAGCTGGTACTGGCAAAATCAGAAAGGAAACAAATACCTTCTTATACTCACACTGCTGATAACAAACTTATGTTCAGTTAACAGAATACCAAAGGCCCTGAATGTCCCTTCCAACTTCCATTGTGAGAAAAGCCTCCAACACAGTCTGGCCATGAGTGTCTTTAGGGAGAGGAGGAAGTGGTCTGGTAGCTGGTAGCTATGGAGTTAGCCAGTCAGTCCACCCCTGGAGTCAGCTTTGAGTCCATTTCAGGGAGCCCTTGGCCAGTGCTGGTGTTCAAGCCTGAAGGACCAGAGGCAAGTGTGCATCATTTGAGGGCAATGGCCATGGGCAGGGTTAAGGTAGGTGAAACCCAGTTCCCATATGAAACCAGAAGCACAAAGAGGAATTACCCAAGGGCAACTCACGTGAGCATCCTATCTCATTCTTCTCGGTTTTTCTTTTTAGACATCTTAATTTATTTTTTTAAATAGAGAAGGGATCTCACTATGTTGCTCAGGTTGGTCTCAAACTCAAGCCCAAGAGGCATGATTCTCCCGCCTTAGCCTCCTGAGTGATGGGGGTAACAGGCACACACCACTGCAGCCAACTTTAAGTATCTTTACTGAAATATAATTTATAATTTATATACCATAAAATTTACTCATCTAAAGTGTACAATTCAATGGTTTTTAATTTATTTACTAAGTAGTTGTTACAATGATGCTACAATCTAAATTGAAAACATTTTCATCACCCCAAAAGAGAACCCCCTATATTAGTAGTCACTCCCAAGTTCCCCCTGAACTCCTCCTCTTACCCTTGGCAAAGCTAGTCTACTTTCTGTCTCTATAGATTTGCCTATTCTGGACATTTCATATGAATGGAATCATATGTGTCCTTTTGTGACTGGCTTCTTTGTCTTGGCATAATGTTTTCTTTTTCTTTTCTTTTTTTTTTTTGAGACAGAGTCTTGCTCTGTTGCCAGGCTGGAGTGCGGTGGCATGATCTCCGCTCACTGCAACCTCCGCCTCCTGGGTTCAAGCGATTCTCCTGTCTCAGCCTTCCAAGTAGCTGGGATTACAGGTGCCCACCACCATGCCTGGCTAACTTTTTTGTATTTTTAGTAGAGACAGGGTTTCACCATGTTGATCACGTTGTTTCGAACTCCTGACCTCAAGTGATCCTTGTGGCTCAGCCTCCCAAAGTGCTAGGATTACAGACATGAGCCACCGTGGCTGGCCAGCATAATGTTTTCAAATGCTCATGTGAGCATTCATCCATATTGTAGCATCAATCAGTACTTCATTCCTTTTTATGGCAAAAAATAACATCCCCTTGTATAGACAGACCACGTTTTGCTTATCCCTTCATCAGTTGATGGACACAGTTGGGTTGTTTCCACTTTCTGGGTATTACGAATAATTATGCTCCGAACAGAGTGTACAAGGTTGTGGGTGGTCACCTCTTCTCTTGATTTATTTATGTATAGTAAATAACTCCCCACTCCCCACCCTCATTTTCCTCCCCACATAGGTCACAACTCTAGTGTGTGTAGTGTATATCCTTCATTTTATGGCATTTTATGAAAAATGTGTATTCCTCTTTTGCCTGCATGCATTTGTACATTTCACATACATGCTATTGTGTTTTAGCTATTATTCTGTCTTAATCTCTTCACTCAACACCGTGTTTTTAGGATCCACCCATGTTGCCAGGAGTACTCCTGATCCATTACTTCCAGCTGCCGTGTGGCCCCCGGGGGGTGGGCTGCGAGCACGTGTGCACGTCCACTCCCACAGGGATGAATGCCTCATTTCCCCCAGCTCCCTGTCACCACACACAAACCCACAATGGCCATCTCGGCATGTGTCCCCTTCAGGACCTGGGGGAGAATGTCTAGAATTTATGTTCAGGAGTGGTTTGCTGGGTCATAGAAACATGCATACTTACTTTGAGTTGTGCTGGATCATGAAAAATCTTTCCCCTACCAGCAGGCAACAAGATTAGGGACACATGGATTCATGCATTTTACCAAGCAGAAATAATAGCTGAAATGCACTCACTATCCAGGTTGGCAAAGCTTCAGTACATCAGTGCCGAGGTATACCGTGCCTACTGAAAGCTAGAGGTAGACTCCTCTTTTTATTTGTCTCATGTCACTTTGCTGTTTCTAGAGCACTGATTCCCTTTAAACATTCTGGTCTCATTAAGGGAGGTTGTTCTTTATCCCTTATGGATAAAGATTATTAAGGGAAACTACTTCCCAAGAACTTTCCTTTGTCTTGGGGTGCAAAGTCCTTTGACCTGTAATGAACATTTCTGTGTTTTATGACTGGGGAGGAGATGCTGGGAAATAACTGGTTCCTAAAACACTTCCCAGCACCCAGAATCACCAAGGAGACGAAAGGAAAGGGAGAATTCAAATGATTAGCTAGGAACTTTTACCTCTGACTTCTGGTTGTTTCCTAGAGAAAATAAAATCCTCACGAGCAGAAGAGCCTGAAACATTTCTTTCTTGTGGAAACTTCCTATATTTGGGGACAATCAATCATTCCAGCAAACCTTCAGGTTATCACATCACTGTGAGTCTACTGACGAGAAGTCGTTTCTTTTTAAAGGACTCACTCAGAGTTTACCCTAGATCCCTACACCCAAGGGTGCCTCTTTTTACACAACAGATGGGCATCATCAGAAGTCTTTTGCAAAGAACCCATTTGTATGTCATGTGAATCCCTTTGTCCTCGTTATGGTTTCCTAAGTTTGGATTTCTCATAATTGGCTTTTCTTAAAGTGAAAGCCATACTCCTGCTCAACAGGCTAGAGGTGAGAGTGAATCGGGCAGTGTTGGGACAGACTGGGCAGGTCACTGTGAGCGCCTGGCTGGCAGCTGGGAGGGGAAGCAGGGCTGGGAGCGCCTCGGGCTCCCTCCAGCTGCTGCCACTCCGTTCCCCTCACCAGCTTCTGGTTTTTGAATCCTAGCTCTGTGGAGCAGCTCCTGTGGCTGGCTTTATTTGGAAGTATTTAGGGCAAAAAAGGAACCCTGAATTTCACAACACTGAGCTTCATTTCTATTTATGTTCTCATAAACGCAGAGAGGGAGGAAGAGATGACATTTTTGGAGAAGTCACCAGTACTTTCTACCTCTATTTGTCCCCGACATTTTGCTTAAGGACAGTATCATGGCAGTGGAGCCAAAGTCAACAGGTCATTGGACCTGAAAAAAGACAGGATTATGATGACAATAACAGCTGCTCTTTCTACCCAGTTCCTACTGGGCATTGTGCTAGGTGCTTTGTGTATGTTTTCACTAATCCACAGGAGAGCATTGCAAGGTAAGCCTCGTCGCAACTTTGTGGATGAAGAAATTCAAGGTCAGAAGAAGAAAGTGACTTGGCCCATGCCTCAAAGCATCACACTGTGATTAAACATCACATTCTTCCTACTACCTCATGCTCTCTGGGACCCCCACTTTCCACCCCACCGAGGCCCTCGTCTTTCTCTGACTTCCTACTTCTGCTCTTCTAAGACAACTAAGCTGTGACTCAGAGCATGAGGGGAAGAGGTTTCTTGGCACCAGGAAGGGACTCAGGGCTCAGGGAGACAGTTTAGAGCCAGAATAAGCTCATTAGGTCACAAGAAAGCAGGAATGACGGGAAGACACTTCTTATTCTTGCCCTCTGATCCCATTGTCCCTGGCAGAGAGTGGCACCCTCACCCCAGCAATGCTTCCTCAGGGGAGTAAGTTTGAAGCAGTCTGGGAAACTGGGCAGCTGAACCCCTCCTGACCCCTAAAGTCACAGTGGGGGCTGAGAAGAAGAAGAAAGACCTTGTAACTGTGGGCTTGGCAAGGGTCCAGGGATGTGCGCTGGGCTCAGGTTTTCCCTCCACCCCAACTTTGCAACAACCTGGGCTCCTGCGCCTGCTGTTTGGGGCTAGTTGGCCTGAGGGGAGGAGGGGAAAGAGGGCGTTTGGGCAGGGGAGGATGCAAGCCTGCCAGGAGAGCCCGGAGCGTCCTCAGCATGGGCAGCAGGGAGTGAATGAAGGGAAGGAGAACTGCAGGGCTCAAGAAACTCCCTTTCCTGGACTGGCTGCTCCAATGGATGGAGCTTGCAGGATAGTGGCACACAGGTGAGGAGGCACTGTTCCTGTGGGCCACAGTGTGGCCTCTATGGACTGCAGACACACACAGAGCAGTTTTGCCCTTAGTTACCCATAGATCATCTTAGAGTTTCCTGTTATTCTAAACATTGAAGGTGGGAACGCTGGAGCTTGAGGAAAGTGGAGACCTGGCACCAGGAATTCCAGGAATCCAAGAGGCTGTCACCTGCCATGAGGTCAGGTGCTCATGGTAAGGGCCTGGCCAAGAGATCTTCCTTCTGCCTGTCAAGGACTTGTCCCTGACCCTGTAGGCACCCACGGCTGAAGTGCAGAGTCCTTGATCCATTACTGGATTAGCAATCACAAGAGTCAATTCCAATTAGAACAGAGAGTCTAAGTTATCTGGTTGGACACAAATGAGTTAATCCTCTTGAATGAAGACCTAGCTTGGCCTCTTAGACCTGCTGTCCTGGCAATTCCAGTTTATCCAGTAAGTTTGACTTCTTTTCCAAGGAGACCCTAGAGGCACGTTCACCATTGGTCCTCCACCTTTTCAGGGTCCCCAGCCTTCCTCCTGGCTCCCCTTCTCCCTAGTGCACCAGCATTAGAATCAGTCCAGCCAACTCTTTCCTTCCTTCCAAGTGAAATCCAAGAACTCACCTTTTCCTGAATTCTTTAAGCCACCCATATTGACCCAAGGGATGAAGCAGCAGAAACAGTGTAGTGTGTAGCAGACAGAGGGTCCACACTCCTACCCCTCAGTGATCCCTCAAGCATGTTCGCTGGTCTTAGCAGGGAGTGAGGTTGCCTACTGGACCCCAAGTCAGGAGAGGAGAGGGAGGGTCAGTAGATCAAATGTAACTGCTGACTCAGCCAGCCTCATGAGAAACATGCCACACACCCTGGTTCAGTGGGGCCCCAAGCTTGGGACATCTCCACGGGTCTCTCCAAAGAAGGACAAGCTGGGGGAGTTGCAGGATTTGGACACCAGCCTGAGCAGAAGGACAAATTCATCTTTATGCCAACTCTCGCCCCCGCAGTCAGCCAGACCTGGAATGAGACAGTCTGGGCCAGCTGTTCCACCTATTGGCGCTGACCAGCCTTCCCCACTGAGGCTAAACTTGGCAGCTTCGGCCCATAGAATTCCAACCTAGGCAGCTGCTTGAGAAACAAAGTGCTTGAGTTTGCTTTGAGCAGGGATGTTTAAAACTAGGATAAAGATAACAGGATATGAGCTATAAGCTGCTTATCACAGCTAGTTTAGGAAAAAGACCTTACCAGGACCCAACAGGCAAGAAGGGAACAGCAATTTGAGCCAGTCTTCTTGGGTCTGCAACTGGGCATATTCCATTTAAAACTTGTCCTTTCCTCTTCTGGCCCTTGGGTGCTTACAACTTGAAAGGTCTTCTCCCATTCTAAAGCCTCTGCATACCTAAAACCTAATGATTCAGCTCCCACCCTCTGGTCCCTTTTGTCTTTTCTTCCAGTACCCCAACATGTTTATTGCTTTTCTCTAAAAGTCATCCAAAGGATTCATTTACATCTCCAGGGGGCTGAAACACCAGGACAGCATTCAGCAACCTGGGAATGGTTAGAGTTGCTAAGCGAGGTGCAGACAAGTCACGTTAGTCTGAGTGATGATTTTCTAGGGGTGAGGGTGATCCAAGCACAGCTGACTCTGTTTTTTCCTTTGCCAAAGGCTCCACCCTCACCCTGCCTCCTCACAGACCATATTCAGTTCCTTGCTACTGCTGCATGTTGTCGTAAGAGTCCCCGCTGGAGTCATGCTGGGTGAGGGTGGGGAGGTCAAGGTAAGCACTTCCCCAACCAAGAATCACATCTTAGGGAAGGAAGCAGCAAGATGTGCGGAGAGCATAGCCTCAAAGGCCAAGCCCAGCCTCTCACTGGCCTTGCCTCTCAACCTCTAAAATGAGGGAGCTGAACTGGGTGATGCAGCTAACCACTCCCTCTCCTTCAGGATAAGCTCAGAAATGCTTATTTCGGCCTGGACTCCTTCTCTGCCCTCCCCATGTCCCCACCCTTGCTCTGGCTTCTCTTCTGGCAGATGTGTCTTATTTGAAAAGCTTTTTTCCCTAAGTATAATTCCATTGCCTCTTTTCCACCAGCAATTCAAAACTTTCCTCTCATTCTGCTGCCTCTCCAAGTGCCACGCATGTGCTCCTGGGATCCAGGTTCCATCTAGATCTGTCCTGAGGGTTTAGTGGGCCAGGATTGCACTCTGACCCTTCTTCCCCTTGGCCTAGTGAGACTTCTGTTTTTGTTTTACGGTTTGGCTTCTTCTTGAATCAGATGTTACCGAATGCATACGTGTGCATGCACACCCACACACCAATCCTGCATGGAAAACTCTGGTCAAAACTTTTCTTTGGCAGAGACGCAAAGCATTTCCATGGCTCGCCACTTTCCTGATTCTCTTAGCGCTGGCCCAATGCCAGATAGGAAACTTTTAGCTCTGAAGGCTGGAGAGAAGTTTGCCGTCCCAGCCCCTGAGGCCTGTCATCTTCAGCACCACCATATTAAGACTATAGTTTAATAAAATCTGCCACTACTCACTCCAACCCCTGCAGACTTGCAGAAAGTGGAGAGTTGGCACCAAATTCCAGGAATCAATGAGGCTGTCAGGAGGTCAGGCACTCAAGGTAAGGGTCGTCATAAGCAAGGAGCTGAGAGGCCTCTGTCAGCCAGGCCTGGCTTCAGGTGGAGCCTCTAGACAGTTGGCTCCCCAAGTCGGAGGTCGTGTACAAGGCCCCAAACTCTGCTTTAGTCAGGTCCACCATAATGGGAATAATTTACTCTTTTTTTGTTTTCAGGTTAAGACTTACTAGGGTACAGTACATTCTTTCTCGGAAGGAGAGGTTACTTTCTCAGCAGACCCCATCCAAAAAAGTCTTCTACATGGTGTGCACACTGGTATCAACAAGCAATGAAAGCAAAAAAGAGAGAATGTACTAATGATAGCAAACATTTCAGTGCTTTCTAAATAACAGGCATTGTCCCAAGCTATGTATAGCTTATATATATTATATAATCATTGTATATTATATCATAGTTTGTATATAACATATATATAGCATATATATACATATCTGCCCATTTGATCTCTTGACAATGTGCTGAACCCATTTTACAGAGGTAAAGCTTGAGGCTCTGAGCAGCTGTACACTCGCCAAAGATCTTGGCTCACTGGTTCTGGTGGGCACTACAGAGATGTTTTAAGAATGACAGCTCATCAGAGTGGGAGCTAGAAAGCCCTCTGATCCCCAGGAGGGACACATAGAGGAGCTGGAACAGAAGGAATTGGATTTGAGTTGAGAGGGATTTGTTTCACAGTTCCCAAGAGTCTGAGTGACTTGCCCGAGTCTCATGCAGCAACTCCACGGGAGAACATGTACAGGATCCGCTTCTCTTGCTAGTTCAATGCTATTTCCACCTAATTCACAGTTCTCTTGGGAGGAAGAGAAAGGAACAGAAGTTAGCCTTAACTATTTAAGGTGAGGTCTTGGAGAGATAAGAGAAAGAATTGACTCTGAGAAATGAAGAGAAAATAAGGTAAGAAAGTTACAAAAAAAGAAAAAAAGAAAAGGAAAGAGATAGGGGTAGGACCCAAATATTGTCACTAACCAGTCTAGGAATAGGCAAGCATGTAGATGTATGTTACCCTATGAAAGCCTATGCCAGTCACCAACAACCACACACTCACCTATTTTAGGAGCATGTTTAAGTACATATGCTGGTGTTAGGGTTATAATACAATCCTTTTTTTAATGGCATTTATGCATTCTAGCAAAGAGGTCTGAAAAGATAATTTCTCCCAAACTAATCTGCATTTTTTTCTTCTTCTTTTTGAGACGGAGTCTCATTCTTTCACCTAGGCTGAGATCTTGGCTCACTGCAACTTCCGCCTCCCAGGTTCAAGTGATTCTTGTGCTTTAGCCTCCTAAGTAGCTGGGATTACAGGCATGCACCACCACGTCCAGCTAATTTTTGTATTTTTAGTAGAGACAGGGTTTCACCTTGTTGCCCAGGCTCGTCTCAAACTCCTGACCTTAAGTGATCCGCCCACCTCGGCCTCCTAAAGTGCTCCAAGTACAGGTGTGAGCCACCACACCTGGCCTCAATCCTGCATTTTTTGACCTCTATTATTATTATACAGTCCCTGACTCACGACACAGTTTTTTGACTTTATGATGGTGTGAAAGTGATATGCATTCAGTAGAAACAGTATTTCAAATTTTGAATTTTGATCTTTTCCCAGGCTAGCCACATGTGCATTAAGATACTTGCTCATAATGCTGGGCTGTGGCAGCAAGTTTTGGCTCCCAGCCAGCTACTGATCACAAGGGTAAACCACCAATACTCTGCAGTGTACTGTGTTGCCAGGTGATTTTGGCCAACTGCAGGCTAAGTGTTCTCAGCACGTTTCAGGTAGGCTAGGCTATGACAATCAGTAGGTTAGATGATGGCTTTTTCGTGTTTTTTTTTTATTATTGTTGTTGTTTTTGAGACAGTCTCACTCTGTTGCCCAGGCTGGAGTGCAGTGGTGCGATCATGGCTCAATGCCGCCTCTACCTTCCCAGGCTCAGGTGATCCTCCCACCTCAGCCTCTCGAACAGCTGGGACTATTGCTGTGCACCACCACTTCTGGCTATTTTTTTTCTATTTTTTGAAGAGATGGGATTTTGCCATATTGCCCAGGCTGGTCTCAAAATCCTGAGCTCAAGCAATCCACCTGCCTTGGCCTTCCAAAGTGCTAGGATTACAGGCGTGAACTACCACGCCTGGCCTAAATGCATTTTTGACTTACAACATTTTTTTTTTTTTTTTTTCCTGAGATGGAGTCTCTGTCTGTCGCCCAGGCTACAGTGTAGCGACACGATCTCGGCTCACTGCAACCTCTGCCTCCCAGGCTCAAGCGATTCTCCTGCCTCAGCCTCCTGAGTAGCTGGGATTACAGGCATGCACCACCACGCCCGGCTAATTTTGTATTTTTAGTAGAGATGGGGCTCCATCATGTTGGCCACGCTGGTCTTGAACTCCTGACCTCGTGATCTGCCTGCCTCGGCCTCCCAAAGTGCTGGGATTACAGGCGTGAGCCACCGCGCCTGGCCGACTTACATTTTCAATTTATGATGGGTTTATCAGACATAAAACCCCATCCTAAGTTGAGGAGCATATGTACTGGGGGATTTTGGTTGGAGAATCTTGATGACCAAGTGTTTCAGAGGCCAGTCCCATGGCACATTGAATGCTAGTTCTGTGGATCCAGGAAGTTAATGGACCCACCTAGCACTTTATTTCTTCCCTTGCAGTCTTCCTAATCCCGTCCCCCAGATGTCTTCCCTCCCAGCTTCCCTAGATAACAAAAACTTCCCTTATGCCTAAGGAGTCTGGGTGAGCCCCTGGATATCTTAGGGGCTTTATTGTCTTTCCCAGCTTTAGTAGGGGAACTAACAAAGGCAGATAGACTTCTAAGCTAGCATTCTGTACTTTGGCTGGAATATTCCACAAGCTCATGGCTTTGGGCCATAAGCCCAAAGGAGTCATTTCCCAACTTCAGTATTTTGAAACATTAGATATCCTGTTTCCTTACAACGTGACCATCTTGCAGATAAGCACTGCTAGATCATCTGCACATTCGAGTAAATCCTGTTGTGAATTGAACAGAGTAACTCCTCTTGCTTATCCAGGCAATGTTAAGTGCAGGGCACAGGGAAGTTTAAGCTTTGCCTCTAAGCCTCCATTCTGAGAAGCATCTTACCACCACTGTTCTAACAATGAAATGCAGTTAGGATTCAGACAGGTTTTCGATCCACGTGCACTATTGCATGTGAGAAGCATCACTGAGAAATTCAAAATTACTTTTAACTATTTGAATTCATGTAATTTAATTCCAATATGAGTGCTCAAGGACAAATTAGCACTCAGATCGGAATATCCCACCTGAGAACCACACAGTTTGTTCAAAACCACTATCCTGCTGCTGCAAGGCTGGGACTCACTGAGCCTTACTTCACCTTGGTGTTTCAATCATGGCATGTTGTCTTGCTTAGGTCATGGGGGAAGGACAGTCTTCCTTTGGAAGCGTCTGTTTTCCTGACAAGCCTTGGTTGGCAAGAATTTTTCAGTTAACTGTAGCAGGCAGCTTTACAGGCAGGAGATACGAGTTTTGCTTTTTTTTTTTTTAGAAAAAAGTTTGCAGTGCATGCCTGGAGCAAGGCAGGAAATGCAATTTGGTATTTGGAAACATCAGAAAATATTTCTTTGGGAGCTGTTTGTAATGTCACTTCACTGCATTGTTCCCTCTGTTCCAACTAATAAAATTATCAGTTCCAGAGTCTCGCTATCTTAAGTCCCTTTAAACCTGTTAAGGAGAACAAATAAATACCTCCTCCTACCCTGCATTTTGTTGTCCAGATGTGACCTTTGTCCCAATACCTAAAAGTGACAATGACCATTGTCATGGATGTGGAACACTGCAGTTTTTCTTCTAGTTTTCAGCATAGCTTTCAATCAAGTTTCCAACTAGGCAAGAATTAAAACAGAAAAGAAATAAAGGAGAGGTGTCTAAGCAACCAAGTCTTCCCTGGAAGAGAAGAGGAAGACGTGAGAAGTGAATAATAGGTTTATTTGCATATACACAAGAGAAGAGTTAACCGTTACTGGGTGAGAAGGAGGTAAGGCTTCAGCAGAGGAAGGCACCTTGACAGACAAACAAGAGACTCTCAGCTTATTAAATCAAGCATAGTCACAAACTTCACTTGCCCCAAGCCAACAACTTAACTCATTTACCTGCTGTCCTAGAGAATCATTAACAAAACCAGCTGGAAAATAGAGAGAAATGATTTTACATATCTGGACCTGCCACTTAAAACTTTATGTACAGAATGCAGGAAAAAAACATAAGAGGCACTTCCAAATAGTTCTTGATCTAATCAGTGCCATCTGTCCTGCTATTAAAAATATCTATTATGGAAGAAATTGGGTATTAAATGTGCCATCAAAGTTGGGGCCTCAATTCTAAAAGAGTTTAGGCAAAGGTACTCTAGAAGTGGTTCCTGCCAGGTTTCCAGACCCACAACCATAGACACAAAATCTCTGGAGATGAGGGTGGAGCAGCTATAAAGCAAGCATTTCTCACCCTGCTCATGTGTGTGTCTTATGGGGCCTATCACCCGGTAAGCTGAGCCTAGGATGCTGGGAAGCCTCTGCCAAGGATGGAAGGCATACTTGCTAAAAATGATCTTTCTTGGCTTCTCAAGTTAACCAGAATAAACTCTGATTTCTCTTTTGAGTACCCAAATGAGATTAAGGCTTTTAACATGAAAAGACCAAGTTCTGCATTTGGGAATTGTAACTACCAAGTAGCTAGTTCCCAAGGGAACTTTAACTACTTCTTTTCAGGAAGATATGTATCCGATTGTCCTTTGAGAAGTCAGAAGAGGCTAAGTACTTATTAAAATAAAATAAATAGAATAGAATAAAATAAAGGACTGGGTGTGCTGACTAAGAAGGGGAAGAGAAACACACACTGAGTGATCGTATTTTTTTTGTATATAAAGGATTAAAAAATTCCAATTTAATACATTTTGGAAAAGCAAATGTAAAATGACTTGGGCTTATAAAACCAGCATTTACAATTATCTGTGAATAGTCAAAGACAAATCATAGAACCAATCTGATTACAAATCCAAAGTAATTCTAATGTTGGTTACAGAATCACTTTCCCACTCCCCCAGTAAAAGTCCAGGTGTTAAGTTGTACACACCCCCATGCTACACACACTCCTTCATCTCCTTCTCAGTGTTTTCATACCCCAGCCGCATTACACACACCAGGCACATCTTCTCTTTCACAGAGCTTATCAGGATGGTATCTCCTTTTGGCTTAAACCAACCACCTTGTGTTTATAAATAACCCCCCCACCCCCAGTGCCTGAATTCATCCACATCTTCTGCCTTCATAGGCAGCCTCCCCTTGGCTCCAGTTCCAGCAGGACAGGCCTTCCTCTGAAAGGAAGCCTGGGGCAGTGAGGCCACACTAGTCAGCGTTCGGCCCTCCCTACACCAATCCCAGCTGGGCTCCTAGTTGTCTAGCACCTTTGCACTCAAGAAAGTTATATTGTTTTTCTCTCTCTTCCTCATTTCTTGCCAGTATTCTGCCTTTTCATAACATTTATGCCAACAAGATATCTGGTCATTCCCAGACCTTCCTGTTTTGCACAACCCTTCATAGATAACCGAGTGACTGCAACGCTGAAAATCTGTTGCTCTTTTCTCTTCTAAACCTGTATCTACCTCAATAAAACTGAGTCTTTTATGGGAACCAGAAGACTTAAGACTAATGGGAACCAGGAGTCATAAGCCAGAGACTCCTCCCCAACACCTTCTGACTCCTAATAGACCTACTCAATAAGAATCTGTTACCTTGAGATGCCTACTGCTCTGCAAAGTCTAGTGAGAACACCACAGCCTCTATCAACTGCAAGTCTGAGGGAAGATGCCAGTCCCACCAATTCTGACCAATGGTTCTGGGTTGAGTTAAATGAATATAGTACCACATTCTGCTCCTCACTAAGCTTCTTCGTTAACACACCTATAACAACTACTTTAGTAGCCTGAGCACAAAGCTCTGGAAAGCTGTCTTTGCCCTTCTTTCACTATGCCTCGATCGATCATGGGAGCCAAGGAAGCACCTGCTGGCCTTGTGAGTGCCTCTTAGGATCTAGCACCTAACTGGTTAAAGTCTGTTATCCATGACTAGCTCTATTTTATGGCCTTCATACAGTACATGTTGCAGCACTGCTCAATTTGCAAACAGTGAAATTTATCAGGAATCTATATTCTCTTGAATCTGATCTTAAGTGCTAAACCTCTCATTAGCATTAAAAATTCTTTTTTATAGTATGTCCACATTAAATGCTCAATAAAGAAGTGTTACTTAGAGAAAACATGGAAGATTTCTTTAAGAAAGGAACCATGCTTTCCTCTCCAGCGCAGCCAATGGGCTGAAGGCCTGTTTCCATTCTCCATTCTTCCAGCATAAATCTACAACTCACTGGCAGCACAACCTGATTTAACAGGCACCCATCATCCAGACCAGAACACCTATGGCATGTAAACAGGGTGAGATGGCAAAAAGTACAAATTCATAGGTCCTTTCTGATGGAGAACTAAAAGGAAGGTCTTATGAGACAATAAGCGCACACGTGCCATTGTGCGTACACAAGAACAAGTCGAACGTCTCAACAAAGATTTACTTCCACAGAGCCTTGCGCGGCACACTACGCTCACGTCTCACTAGAAAGGAGTCACTTGGGTTATTTTTTTTTCCCCTTTCTTAACACAGCACAAGCCAATGGCCAGCTAGACATTCAGACCCGTTGTTGAATGTTGGATAGAAGGGAGCAGCATCAGACACAAAATTTCAGGCCCTGGTTTCATGTGCCTTTAATACTTGTTTTTCCTTTCCTCTGTATTCACTAAACAATTTTTTTTTTTTTGTAAGGCTACTTTTGTAGCTTTTTGTTTTCCCTTTGTATTTATCATGTTTTTAATTTCTTCTCTGAGGAGGAATTCTCTGAATCTGTATCTTCCAATTCAATTCGTTGCCTTTTGAGGCCACTGTGGCCATGAACAGCCCTGCTACTATCTGTGGCTGGGGTGTCAGTGGGGTCCTCTCTTGTTCCAGCATTGGGGGTCTCACAGGCCATTTCAGACCCGCAACAATCTTTGTGTAGGAGTGTCCCTGTCAGGGACGAGTTATCACGGTCAGTGTCTGAGTGTCCTGGGGAAGAGTAGGCCACCACCTCCAGCTCCCCCAAGTTCTGCCCGTTATTGTGAGGGTGAGGGGGACGAGGGTGTAAGCGTCCATTGTTGTGGTTGGCACAGATGGTTTCGAGGCTCCTCTCCTCACTGTCATCAGACTGGGTCCTGGGACAGTTGCCAGACCCGCTGTTGAGAGTGGAGCCAGATGCCTTGGGGACAGGAGGAGAAGGCGGCTCCTCAGCCCGACTGCTCAGGGCCTTTCCATTGAGCTTCTTGGTTTCAAAAGGGTGCTCTACAGAGCCGCTATTGCCAGTGTCCTGAGAGGTACCCTCTGGCACCTCTGCCCAAGCATGGCTGCTGTGCTCATGGCCTGGGCCATTGCTGGGAGTTCTAGGAGTCTCTTCTTTAAAAGTGTCCTTGCTGCAGCCTTCAGGTGGCAGGTCCTGGTTCCTCTGGGCCATTGCTATGTTTAGACAGGCTTCCTTACTGGAAGAAGGGGCTGGGTTGTCTTTGTGGCTGGTTCCTGCTCTCCCTTCATCTGCCTCCCCGGTCACCAAGGAGGTCTCTCCATCTTTGTTATTTGAGTAGGAGATATAAGAGTAGCGGAGCCACTTGTAAGCTTTATAAATTTTTCGCTCAACTGATTCTATGTCAGAAGTTGGTGATGCCCGGCTTGGTTGAATCTCTAGCGTGGAAGTGCTCCGCTCAGGGGACGAGGTTGGGGAGGAGGAGAGGTCATCCACTTTGATCTGGGGGTAATCATAGTTGTCTTCTCCAATGTAAGTGTTGGTGGGCTTGATTGGGGCACTGGGCTTGTCTTCTCGGGTTGTCTTCTGTCGGCGCCGCATGGCATTCCGCTGCCAGGTAGAGGCTCGGCGTTCATTCAGCTCCTCCTCATCCTCAGAGCTGCTAGAGCTGCTGGAACTGCTGGATTCATCTTCGGGGCTGGGTGACCGTGGCCGGGGAAAGAGATCTGTGTCTAGTTCCACCTCACAGACATTCTCCTCAGAATCGGACTCATTGGAAAGGGCCAGGAGGCGTTTGTCTTGGTAGCGCCGCAGAGCAGACAGACGCTGCTGGCGAGAGGCTGCATCCTCACACGTGGGTGTTGGTGGAGTTGAGGCTACTGTGTTTGTGGTGGTGACCCGCAGGGGCCCCAGGTGGAAGGCGTTGTCGGCAGACTCATCTACTGTGGGAGGCGGGGAGCGAGGCAATGAGGCCGAAGACTCTGAGTCAGTGTAGCCTGAGCGCTCGCTGACCCCAGCGTGCAGTTGGAGGATAGTACTCTCACTGAGGTCACTGTCTGAGTCAGAGCTCCAGCCCTCGATCTCTCGGCGTACCAGTGAGTCAAAGAAGGCCATCATCCGGGGGTCTTCCTGGACCGACTGGTTGGCGTAGTCATGCGACAGGCCACTCCCACTGTTCAGCACAAGGCTGATGTACTCTTCATGGGTATAGAGGCAGCGGGAATCGTCCTCAATCCGACCGTCGAGGTCTCCAGTACATCCTGGCTGCTTGTATGGGCTCCAGATCTGAACAGAAAATGAAAAACAAAAGCAACAAGGAGTAACTGGAAAGTATTCTTTCACTGGTGGTGATAAAGAACACCAAGGCAGAACTTCCCCAGACTCTCCCTGTAATTTAACTAGGACTTGCTAACCAACTTAAAAATAAGTTCTTTACCAGACTGGATCATGTGGGTTATGTATGAAAACTGAGGTTTTTAGAATCAGATGTGGGGAAATGCATGGTCTAGAACACAGTATTAGCCTAGTGTCAAGAGACCTACCTAAGTCCTGTCTCTTGGCCCAGGGTAATCACATACTTTCTCCACCAGAATCTTCCTCCCTTTTAGTTTCATCTATTAGTAGTTGGACATTATAATAATAATCCTGGAGAATAGAGGATGACTTGAAGATTTCCCAAGGTGTTAAAGACTTTCAGAAGACTGAAGCTGTGCACAGAGAGGTACCACTTTTCCCAAATGAAAACAGACCCAGCACTCAGCCCTCCATGGTAGTTAATATCTGAGCCTATAGCTCCACTTCTGCCCAACTGCAACATTCCTATTTTTAACTAATGGGAATTGCTCACTGGAGCTTGATAAGAATAGCCAACTGCCTACACTGCAGTTCCCTCTTGGACATACAGGCACTAGTTACCCAGGAAACTGGGTTCTCTTAACCAGGGAGCTGCTGGCTTAATCCCCAACAAGTCTGTTAGCTATAGGAGTAGGTAGGACACATGCCCCAAGGACAGGTAACTGCAGCCCCACTCATAATACCCCTCCACTCCATGGTCAGGGACATGGACTCATAGCTAAAAGGCAGCAGAGCTAGGATTCAAACTCAGGTCTGCCTGACTTAAAGGCTTAACTTTACTGTTATGCAAAATCAAGTGCAAGGTAATTAAGCTGTCACTGCAAACGAGAACGATTAGCTCCACCTGACTGCCAGACTGGTTCACAGCAGCACAGAGCAGCCCAGTTACATCAGCCTGTAGTCATGGCAACTCAGATGAAATCCCAGGCAATCTTCTTGCCTGACAGGCTGGTGTCTATCTTTAGATGGCATCCAACCCAGAAAACAGTGGCCCCTCAATTCCCCATCCTTCATCTAGACCAAGACTTCGTTTCCCCAAAGCTATCTAAGGACAAATGCACCTCCCTGTGGGAATTCTCCTGAGTCCCATTCCTGCCATGCTTTACTTGGCAATTCCTGAGAGGTGGTATCTCTGCAGAGGACCCCCCATTTCCAAAGAGGCTGAAGAAACCTTCTAGATTAGCATCTCTCCACCAGTTTCCAACTCAGATTCATTCCTCCTTCAACTTTGTTCCCTACCCATAACTCTAGATGTGGCTCAGATGTTCTCTCCTCTCCAGCTTCATAATCTTACCCTAGAGAGTTTCAAGGGATTGGTTTTCACTTTGGAGTGCACAAGAATCACCAGAAGAGCAATTATAATGTTGATTCCTCAGTCCCACTCTTAGAGGTTCTGATTCAGTAAGTCATGAACAGGTATCAGGACCATGCATTTTTAACCACTCAAGGGATGAGTAAGTAGGGAGATCAACTTTTGAGAAACACTAGACTACAGTTACCATAAAATAAGCAGAATAAAATAAAGGGTTTATCTGAAGGTTTACACATGGTCTCCAGCATGTGGCTTAAGCTATAATTACTATCTCTGCAAAGAGATGTCTAAGGGAATAAAAGAGCTTGGTGGCTTAGAAAGGAAGCTGAGGGGTCCAAAAGGGAAAGCCCTTAGGATTTTTTTTTTTTGCATCTTATTTGTAATTCTGAGCCAAATCTCTCACCTCTCCAGTTTAAAAGTGGTAAAATGTCATTAACCATGTTCTCTAATATGAAGATAAATCTATTTGTACCTCACAGAAACTCACAACTAGTTAACTAAAGTACAAAATAACAACAGTGAGATGCTGGCTTAACTCCTTACTAAGCCCATTTTTAAGTTCCAGTGTATTACTACCCAGCTCCTACATTTTCCCTTCAGGAATGAAAGTCATAACACTGAAAGTTAGTTTGCATTTGAGCTCTGGAATGTATTAAGCTGAGGTAGACTGTTCATTCCTGAAGCCTGGAGTAATGGAGTGAAACACAGGATTAAGAGGCAGGAGTCTTGAGTAGGGGTTCCCACTGACTCCTAGTTAGTGGGTGATGCGCAGCTCCTTCCTCTAAACAGTAAATTAGATGGGTCTCATCCAATCCTAAGATTCAGAGCAAAACAAAACCTTCACTCCAGACACACAGTACAGCACTTCAGCAGTAAGGGGAGCAGGTAGGAACCCCAGACCTGTCATTTCCTGTGGCCCTGAGCAAATGACCTCACACTTGAAAGCCTGTTTCTCATATGTGTAAATGAGAATGATACCAAAGCCCATACCCAACACCAATAAATGTGATGTTTTCTCTTTCATTTGGCAATTGAATGCCTCAACCAGAATGTTAAAACCCACCCTCAGAGAAACTTCTGAACATTATAAGTACTGACCGTTCCTATTATCTTGGTCCTAATCCTTAGTATTAATATATAAATTCCAACCATTTGTGAAATTGGTAATCTCTTTACACTGGAAAGTTAACAACTCAGAAGTGAATCAATGAAAAACCAACTTCCTGTTACATGTTAAATGTGGCAGCCGGGCGTGGTGGCTCAAGCCTGTAATCCTAGCACTTTGGGAGGCCGTGGCGGGTAGATCACTTGAGGTCAGGAATTCGAGACCAGCCTGGCCAACGTGGTAAAACCCTGTCTCTACCAAAAATACAAAAATTAGCTGGGCGTGGTGACAGGTGCCTGTAGTCCCAGCTACTCGGGAGGCTGAGGCAGGAGAATTGCTTGAACCCAGGAGGAAAAGGTTGCAGTGAGCCGAGATCGCGCCACTGCACTCCAGCTTGGGTGACAAGAGCGAAATCCTGTCTCAAAAAAGAAAAAAAATACATATATATATATATGGCTAGACATGTCTCATAATCGGGCAAAGTTCATGAGAAAGAGCCAGGCGTGGTGGCTCACACCTGTAATCCCAGGACTTTGGGACGTCAAGGCAGGAGGATCGCTTGAGCCCAGGAATTTGAGACCAATCTGGACAACATGGCAAAACCCCGTCTCTACAAAATACAAAAATTAGCCAGGAGTGGTGGTGTACACCTGAAGTCCCAGCTACTCAGGAGCCTGAGATGGGAGGATCACCTAAGCCTGGGGAGGTTGAGGCTGCAGTGAGCCATGATCGTGCCACTGTACTCCAGCCTGCTGGGTGACACAGTAAGATCCTGTCTCAAAAAAAAAAAAAAAAGGAAAGAAAAGAAGGAAAAGAAAGGAAGAAGTGAAGAGACAAGACGAGAGATGAGACA
The DNA here is from genome assembly GCF_000001405.40 of Homo sapiens. NCBI lineage: Eukaryota > Metazoa > Chordata > Mammalia > Primates > Hominidae > Homo > Homo sapiens. Next base: position 69,058,951 of record NC_000014.9, read on the forward strand.
AATATTTTCCTCTCCATGCACAGTGAAGTTTAGCTTAAGGGGCTGCTGAGAAAAAGGATGCAGTTCAATTCTTATTCAAACATCATAAAAATGGAAAGCAATTAAGTGACAAGTGTTTGGGTTACACAAGTGATCATGATACGCTTTTATTTTTGGGAAAGGGTCTCACTCTGTCACCCATGCTGGAGTGCAGTGGCATGAACATGGCCCACTGCAGCTTCAATCCTGGGCCCAAGTGATCGTCCCACCTCAGCCTCCCGAGTAACTGAGAGCACAGGCAGGCACCACCATGCCTGGCTAATTTTTAAATTTTTCATAGAGATGGGGTTTCCCTGTGTTGTCCCTGACAATAGGGACTCTTCTCCTAGCCAGGAAGGTGGCAGTAAAGGACAAGGACAGAAAGAAGGGGGAGTAGAGAGAGAAAAGCAGGTCTCAGGCTGGACCAGAATGTGGTGGCTAACGCTCTTTGAGCCACTGATCCTCTCAGAAATAGCAGGCAGGAAAGTGACATTTATTAAAATAGGAGTTAGGCACAGGTAATTCACAAGGCACTCCTGGGTGGTAAGTCACTGTCAGCACCCTCACTTTCCAGATGGGAGACAGAACCAAGGGTCGAGACTCAGCGGCCTTTCAGGATAACGTAAGTGCAGGGTGAGGCAGTAATTCCAATTGAGATGAGGCCAGCATGGCCATTGGTCTCATCCTTCTCCTTACCACCTGCCTTCCTGCAATGCTTAGTGCCATGCCATTCCCAGCCAGACTGTGAATGGGGATGACACCTGTGAGACAGCAAAGCTGAGGACTCCAGAGCTTTTTGCTTTCCTTCTCACTATGATCATCTGTACATACTTAATGTTTCAAAGGGCTAAATGTGCCTCCTGGTGGAAGAGGGTTCAGATCCCATGCAAACTAGGGAGCAGTGAGCTCCATAGTTCAGTCTGGATAACCTCACAGATAAAACACTTTTTTCTCTTTTTCCTCTGAGAACTTGGCTAGTTTGCAACATATGACATTTAGGGCAAGGACTTCAGTTGACTAAACAATAAATAGGGAGATTTATCACAGAAGCATCCCAGAGTGCACACTCAAGCAGGAATTCCTCTTGTAAAGGAGATACCCAAGCAGAAAGCTCTCTGAGAAACAGAATGACGTCAACAGGCCCGGAGAGGACACGTTACAGAGTCAACCCATTAGTCATCAGCCAAAGGAGAAGGGAAAGCAATGCAAGGGACTGGGCCATTTCAATGACTGCCCTACTGAAAGGATAGAATCCAGCAGCAGAATCAGGATGCTTGCTGCCTTCCCACCAGCATGGCAAATGTGGTGGTGACTGGGAAGAACAAAGGGCAGGGCTCTATCCTAGCTTTGCCACCAATTAGCTGTGTGACCTTGGACAGTTAATTTATAATTTAAATCTCATCATCTGTAAAACGAAAAAGTAAAAATGATTTCCTCATTCTAGCCCCACGGGGAAATGTGTGCTGCAATGAAAGTCAGCTCTGATCCACAAGACCAGCAAAGCCTAAATCAAGGAAGTTGGACTAAGGGCAAATAAAAATACTGACCTACATGCCAATATTATATTTCTTTTTTTTTTTGGAGACAGAGTCTCGCTTTGTCACTCAGTCTGGAGTGCAGTGGCACAATCTTGGCTCACTACAACCTCCGCGTCCTGGGTTCAAGTGATCCTCCTGCCTCAGCCTCCTGAGTAGCTGAGACTACAGGCACACACCACCACACCCGACTAATTTTTGTAGTTTTAGTAGAGACAGGGTTTCACCATTTGGGCCAGGCTGGTCTCGAACACCTAACCTCAGCTGATCCACTTGCCTCGGCCTCCCAGAGTGTAGAGATTACAGGCGTGAGCCACCACGCCTGGCCTCAATATTTTATTTCTGACAGCTGCCCCCTGCCATGAAGTACAATTTGATTTAGCTCTGGATAGTTATTTTTTTAAGAACAAAAGAAAATGAAAATTATGAAATAAAATAATCACAATTTTTATTTTTTTCTCTGAAAACTCTCAGGTTTTCAAAGTCATTTTAATAAAAAAATTGAGGATTTTTTTTTTTTAAACAAGGGTCTCACTCTGTTGCCTAGGCTGGAGTGCAGTGGTGGGAACATGGTTCACTGTAGCACGACCTCCTAGGTTCAAGCAATCCCTCAGCCTTAGCCTCCCAAGTAGCTAAAACCACAGGTATACACTAATTTTTAAATTTTTTGTAGAGACCACGTCCCACTATGTTGCCCAGGCTGGTCTCAAACTCCTGGGCTCAAGTGATCCTTTTGCCTCAGCCTCCCAAAGTACTGGGATTACAGGTGTGAGCCACCACACCCAGGCAAAATCGAGGTATTTTAGCTTTTGGCAGGAACATCACCTATTCTTACTTAAAAGTCATTATCTCAGGGACCTCAAGAATTAATCATTTACCGTGAATTCTCATTTTCTCAGATGTGGAAAAAATGGTACTAGCAACTGGAATACAAGTGATGGGCAGTGGGTCATCCTTCTGTGGACACAGGCCAGGCTAGGACCCACTTTTGCAGTTATAAAAACATTTCCTGGTAGAGGTGAGTTCATTCAGCCAATGTGCAAATGATCCAAGTATTTAGTATTCATACCCAAGTAGCCTCAATTACAACCACATGCAGTAGTTTTTGTGATATATCCTGAGACAATTTAACTATGATTCTGGCAATCAGTAGTTTTATCCATGCCATATTAGGATGGCAATTAATGCAAAGTACATACAAAGTAACTGAGGGCATAGTGGCTCTCCTAACCTCCAGATGAGGTTTGGAAAACAGAATACATTATACTCAAGGCCAAAGGCTTTTGAAAATGTTGCAGCATACAAGGTAGTGTCTAGAAGACAACCTCTGTTTCAAAGCCTAGTGATTAGTTTAAAAAAATGGTTCCAAGCCAGGTACAGTGGTGCATGCCTGTAGTTCCAGCTACTTTGGGGGGCTCAGGCAGAAGGATCGCTTGAGCCCAGAAGTTTGAATCCAGCTTGGGCAACACAGCAACACCCTGTCTCTAAAAAAATTTTTTTAATGAAAAACTAAATGGTTCTGAAAAGAGCATTTTAAATCACCTTTCTTTCTTCTTTTTTTAAAATTTATTTATTTTTATTTTTTATTTTATTTTTTAAGATGATGTCTTGCTATGTTCTCCAGGCTGGCCTCAAACTCTTAGGCTGAAGTGATCCTCCTGCCTCAGCCTCCCAAGTAGCTGGGACTACAGGTACTGTCACTATGCCTGGCATCACTTTTTAATATCAGCTTTCTAATATTTTGTAATATGTTAAAATCTGAGAATTCTGATAGACCTTTAGTATGTTTAAATATGAGGTCCTACATAAATTGTTCTAGTTTCTTCTAATTATAAATTGTGAGAATTTCTCTAAAAGGACAGAAGGGGAAGGTGCCTCACCTTGATAATCTTTTCTACACCAGAAGAGCAGATCATGTAGGTGTGGGGATTAAATCGGACTTGGTTAACAATAGATCGATGCCCTTTCAGCACCATGAAGGCTCCGTTGACCACCCTACCAATGCCACCTGGGAAAACAGAAGGAAACAAAAATCAGATGATGAAATGAATGAAAGTAAATAGGTTCCAGTAATGGCAGATAAACAGCTCTGAATGGGAGCAAAGATTTTTGGATTATACCACCAGCAGAATGCTTAATCTTACAGATAAGTTGCTATGGAAAGAGAGAAGATGAAACAGCTCTCAGCATATGTGCTCTTATGAAGAGCCTTTATTTAGCCTTTAAGCATTGCCCACACTCACCCACTGCAATTCCATTGTCAATGAAACCAAAGCCACTTAAAACATTTCTCAAATTTTTGATCCCCAAGATAGAATCCAAGTGTTACCTTAGAAAAGGCCAACCATGAGCAAAATGAGACTGAACTGCTTGGGAATAGTTAGGCAGCTGGACCAAGGACACGCAGAACCAGAAGCATATAATGACTTAAATGTACAAAAAACATCTCTAATCCATTTGCCCTCAGTTTCTATGATGAAGACAGCAAACAAAACAAAACAAAAAACCCCATAAAAACCAAAACCACTGGGGGAAATAATAGAGAGAATACTTTTCCCCCCGATAGCAGGGAGAACTAAGGATATAGAAAGAAAGAAAAATTTGGATCACTTTCATAATAAGCAGGGTCCAAGTATTGAAAATCAGAATTAGAGAGTGGGCCTTAAAGATACCATGTATAGATTAAAGTCAAGAGGACATCGATAGAAAGCTGTATTTTAAGGATCATCCTATAGGCTTCCTTCTTCAGTGAATGAGAAAAGTGCCAGAGGCCTGGAACTTGTAACATAGATAAACATGTTATCATTTATGAACTTGGGATAAATTCAAAGTTTCCACTGCACTGGTAATGGTATCACATCCATCCAGAACACATGCACATAAATTCTGATCAAGTTCCTTCTGAGCAATCAGACAACTCAGGACACACAGAGAAACATGTGCATTTGGCTAACTGGCAAAATGTGTTGCATCCAGACACAAACAAATGAGTGTTCATTTATCTACTCAAGGGATCCCCTCTTAGTCCCTACCAGGAGCATGGCGCCACTAGGCCACAAAGTATCATTAGACAGTCTCTGCTCCAAGTGCCTCCTTCCACTCCCAACTCCACCTTGTTCAAACACTCATTCCAAATATTTCTCAATGTCTGTGTTTGGAGGGAAAATGACTACAACAATGTCCCTTCCCCAGAAATAATATGGCTCTAGGGGTATCTTCTGCTTTTGGCCCCCTAACACAACTCTTCTTTTGTCTCATGGAAGAGATACCTCCTTATTGCCACGTACATATCTTTTTTATGACAGCAAAAGGTTCCAGACTGCACCCATCTACTCACTCAGCCAGCTTTAGGTGCTCAATCTATTTGATGGGTGACAAAATTTTTCTCCATATTTGACAATAATATTTGAATTGTCCAGAATGGAAAATATATTTATCGTATTCATATCTCAGCCCAACATCAAGTTTGCTAATAAACCATAAAAAAAGAGAGGGACTAGGACACAGGATTAGTGGATTTTTCATGGAGAAAGAGGACAAGGAAAAGTTAGGCACTGATGTAGACTGCCATGGTGGGAACCCCTAGCACTGGCTTCCTAAGGTGGTATGAAAGGGAAGCTGGGCCAGTCAAAATGAAAATAAACTAGAGAGAATTAGGGAAGAGGGATAAATAGGAATCTAAAGAACCCAAAAATAGTTGTCTTGACAGAGAGATCCTACCATCCCCAAAAAGTTCCTTTGGGTCTATTTCTTCTAGATAAGGTTCATTATGACAAGTAGCATTTCTGCTCATGGGTGTCCTCTGAATTTTACTTTTTTAACATCCTACTTCTACCTCTACTCCCACTGGGGTGGTTAAGCAAAGAAACTTTGATTTAAATCTAGTAACAGTCTCTTGTTTAATCCTACTGCCTCAAAAAGAGGGGGGATGTGGGGGGATTTAAGTGACTTATCCCAAGTCATAAAGCTAGAAAATGGCAGAGCCAAGATTTGAACCAGAGTCTGGCTACAATGCCTAATATGCTTTCCACCATATCAGCTGCCTTTGGAAGATGGAAGAGTTTGAATAGGAATGGAGTTAGAAGCTTACATTCAAAAGATTTAGATTTCTAAATCTTTCAGGCAGTTATTAGATAGGTGGTTTTCTTCTGAAGTTCTAAATTAAAAGGAGGGGCACTGTATTCAATGGTATCCTGAGCACAAGCTCTACAGCATTACCATAAGCCATTTCATCACACCACTGACACTGAGTACATGATGAGAATAGAACTGGATCTGTCTTACCTACTCTTGCATACCTAGAACCTGGGGTGCAATGTCCAAAGTCCACCAGGTGCATAAATACTTGCTGAATGCATAGTGTTTGAAAAGAAAGCAATTTTAGAATAAGTATGTCAAAAGAAGACAGCTGGAAGGTCTCATATAAAGAATCAGCTATCATAGAACTAAAGTGCATCAACCAAACCAATCTTTCTGACTTGGAACACAATTAAAGTAACTATCAGATCTAAAGACTAATTGAAGGCTATCAATGCCTGAAAATTCAGACCATGGAAAAACTGTTTCTCTTGCACTTTCATGCAATATGACCTCTTTTTTTTTTTTTTTTTTTGAGACGGAGTCTTGCTCTGTTGCCCAGGCTGGAGTGCAGTGGCTCGATCTCGGCTCACTGCAACCTCCACCTCCCAGGTTCAAGCAATTCTCTGCCTCAGCCTCCTGAGTAGCTGGGATTACAGGCATCCACCACCATGCCCAGCTAATTTTTGTATTTTCAGTAGAGACGGGGTTTCACCATCTTAGCCAGGCTGGCCTTGAACTCCTGACCTCATGATCCACCCGCCTCGGCCTCCCAAAGTGCTGGGATTACAGGCGTGAGCCACCACACCCAGCCCTGATTTTTCTTCTTGGTAGCAATTTTAACACAAGGTCTTTTTTGCCCTTCTTTCCACCCATGCTGGTACCTAGGAAATCTGAAAAAGAAGAGGGAATCAATAAACCCAGAGACTGATGGTGAAAATAGGTACAGGCAGAATTATAGTGGCCATTTGTTTAAGGTAACCAAGACTGTGTACAATCATAGCAATAAATGGCTTCAGAGAGGTTTTTCATAGTTTCTTTCCTGGTTCCCAGGTTTGATATTATTGAATATAGCTGCTACTGAACAGTTTACGTACAATCATTTTTTGAGATTAGTCCTAGAAATTTGTATAAGCCAGATAGCTTCTCCTTTAATTTGAAATAGCTAAAGTCAAAATGCCAATATCAGAAAGAATCTAGGGTCTCCTTTCCTCTGTCATCTAATCAGACCATGCTGGTCAATAGTAGTATCAAATTGGAAGGAGACAGGAAGGGCATATTTTTATCCAAGAACTATATAACCCACATAATCTCCCTTCAGGGTCATCTCTTAAGACTGTGGGTAAGGGCCCAGGTAAGGATCAACTTCACCCCCTGGTTGCTGAACTAAGTCCTGACTGAATCGCTAATAATGGGTACCCATAAATAAAATACCACATACCCAGGAAAAAGGATCTCATTCCTGAGCTGCCATTTGTTTATAAAATTCTGTATAAACCAACAGTCATTTCTCTGGGCCATCTGCTTTGGTTGGCTTAGCCAAATGTGCTGACACTGTTTTTTTTTTTTTTTGAGATGGAGTCTTGCTCTGTTGCCCAGGCTAGAGTGTAGTGGCATGATCTCAGCTCCCTGCAACCTCCTCCTCCTGGGTTCAAGCAATTCTCCTGCCTCAGCCTTCCGACTAGCTGGGATTACAGGCGCACACCACCACGCCCAGCTAATTTTTTTGTATTTTTAGTAGAGATGGGGTTTCACCATGTTGGTTAGGCTGGTCTCCAACTCCTGACCTCATAATCTGCCCGCCTTGGCCTCCCAAAGTGCTGGGATTACAGGCATGAGCCACTGCACCTGGCCAGCTGACACTCCTTTTTAAGTTTAGTTCCTAAGTTGAGGCCAAAGTCCCCATATATTAATCTTTCTTTGATTTAGAAGAGATGGTAGGGGGGTAGGGAAGACTATAACCATATCTATTGCAAGATCTCAGAAAAGAAAATGAGAACAAGGTATCTCACAGAATTTCAGTATCAGTAATCCACTTACTACCGTAGGGGACCCCAGGATCCCAGGGGAAAACACCTTGCTCAAAATTCAGATAAAGATCTTTCTAAATGCCAAGGTCAAATGTCTCCCTAGAGAAGACTAAGGGAAATGTGTATGTCCTAATTTCCCTCCCTTCTCTACTTATGGCCCACTTTCATAACATTCAGCCAGGGGTTTATTGCCTCAGGCCTTTGAAGAGCCAGAATACTATTCCCATTTCTAGCCAATTTCAGTTGCTTTTGTTTAGTGTCAAGTTCATTTGCTTCATGAAGTCCTCCAAGAATGAGTACGTTTTTGACTCAAAAGCTGAAAGCAATGTGGTCAAGATTTCTTGATGTCTTGGTCTAATAGCAATTTATCAATCATGCTGGGACACTGTCCTCAATACCACTTCCCGTCTTCCTCTGTTCTACTTTTTCTATAGCACTTCTAACCTTTTAAACATACTACATAATTTACTATGTTTATTGTTCATTGTTTCCCCTGCTAGAACATAAGCTCCATGACAGCAGGGCTTCTGTCTCCACTGTATCCCAAGTCTCTAGAACTGTGCCTAGCACATAGTAAGGTTTTTAATAAATATATGATGAAATGAAAAGATGTGAGTGTATTAGATGGTGGAACACAAGCATGCAGGAAAAAAAAATCTTCACATATGGGCTCCATCACCCAATAAATGTTTCTTTTTTTCCATCTTCCTGCAGCCGATTTCGTATCTTTTTTTTTTTTTTTTTTTTTTTTGAGACAGGGTCTCACTCTGTTCCCCAGGTTGGAATGCAGTGGCATGATTTTAGCTCACTGCAACCCCCCGCTCCCAGGCTCAAGCAATCCTCCTACCTCAGCCTCCCTAGTAGCTGAGACTATAGGGACATGGCACCACACCTGGCTAATTTTTTGTACTTTTTGTAGAGATGGGGTTTTGCCATGTTGCCCAGGCTGGTCTCAAACTCTTGGGCTCAAACAATCCTCCTGCCTTGGCCCCCGGAAGTGCTGGGATTACAGGTGTGAGCCACCTAATCCAGCCCAGATATTCTTTTTTTTTTAAGATGGAGTCTCACCAGGCTGGAGTGCAGTGGCGTGATCTCGGCTCACTGCAACCTTCACCTCCCCAGTTCAAGCGATTCTCCTGCCTCAGCCTCCCGAGTAGCTGGGACTACTGGCACGCACCACCAAGCCCAGCTAATTTTTGTATTTTTAGTAGAGATGGGGTTTCGCCATGTTAGCCAGCATGGTCTCAATCTCTTGACCTCGTGATCTGCCCACCTTGGCCTCCCAAAGTGCTGGGATTACAGTCCTGAGCCACTGCACCTGGCCCAGATATTCTTTTACAGCATTTTTACTATAATGTAGTTAAGCAGGAGCAGAGAAATAAAGGGGCTGAAATCCTATCTATCCTTCAGGGTCCTTTGAAATGCTAACTGCAGGAAAACTTTACCAATCTTCCCAAATCTCTTCAAGACCTCCTTCATTATCTTTTTTATGGGCCTCAGAAGCCACTTTTACATCGAGTGCATATGTCTGTGTGTGTGCCCATGCACATCCTTTTTTCATCTCTGTTATATTGGAAGCTCTCTGAAGGCAAAAAATGTTCATTTTTCAGTGGCCCATAGAGCTTTACATGATGTCTTATCTAAGGATACTCAATAAGTGAACAAATTGAAGTTAAAGCCCTCATCATCCTCTCTGGAATAAAGCTTGAAGTTAAAGTTATCTGCTAAAATGAGGTTTGGTAAGTAGATTTAAGACAATCTATTTCATTCTTGACCCCACTGGTAGAATTAAGAGTTTACTGCAAGGGCCAGATGTGGTGGCTCATGCCTGTAATCCCAGCACTTTGGGAGGCCGAGGCAGGAGGATCACCTGAGGTCGGGAGTTCGAGACCAGCCTGACCAACATGGAGAAACCCTGTCTCTACTAAAAATACAAAATTAGCTGGGCATGCTGGCACATGCCCGTAATCCCAGCTACTCAGGAGGCTGAGGCAGGAAAATAGCTTGAACCTAGGAGACAGAAGTTGCGGTGAGCCGAGATCATGCCATTGCACTCCAGCCTGGACAATAAGAATGAAACTCCATCTCAAAAAAAAAAAAAAAAAAAGTTTACTGCAAGGCATAGACTATTTCTTTTCCTGGTACATCTAAAAAAGGTATCCAAGCCTCTTAGCATTTCAAAAAGGCCCAAGTGAACAGTTGCAGGGTCTTCCAGTGTCAAACCATAAAGAGGACCATCAAGGATACTGACAATACGGACAGAGCAGTGACTGCCTCCTGGAGACCACATAACTACTTAAGAAATGAGAAAAGCCAGATGGGGACAGCCAATGCTGTCAGTACAGCTCAAAGAGCTCCACAGGCATCAATGCTTAGTTGCACAAAAAAGTCAGTTATGCTGAGTTCTTCTTTCATCATATGTGCCTCACATGTGTTTATAACCAACTACTTGCAACCAATTAAAAACAGCTGTTTTTTCCAGTTACATGGGAGGAAAAAGCAGATACCTAGGCCTAAGTCACTGAGAGTGAATACATGTCTAGAAAAAGAAGACAGAGCACACAAACATATGCAGGCCCAAAAAAATGCATTTACAGCTGTTTCCAGCCTACTTCATCAGCCTACTGCCAGTGGGGGTGGTTACAGTGACTCGGCAGTAAAAATACATGTTTTTCCCTTCCATTCAGGGAAAAATTTGTCACATAAGAGAACCCTCCTGAACTACTGATGAGTCAAGGGCAGCCTTCATGCAAGAACAACTCAATCAGCCATTCCAGGTGGGTAGCAAGGAAGGACAATGTCTTGATCTCTAAGGAGTTATTAAAAGGTGAGTTTAAAAAGGGAGAAGGCCTTCTTTTTCTTCTTTTGTAGACACGGAGTCTCATTCTGTTGCTGAAGTGTGCAGCCTCAAATTCCTGGGCTCAAGCAATAGTCCTGCTCAGCCTCCTGAGCAACTGGGACTACAGGCATATGCCACCATGCCCAGTTTTCTTTCTGTTCTCTTTCTTTCTTTCGTTCTTTTCTTCTTTCTTTTTATTATTATTATTAGAGACACAGTCTTGCTGTGTTGCTCAGGCTGGTCTCAAACTCATGGGTTCAACTGATCTTCCCGCCTCAGCCTCCCAAAGTGCCAGGATTACAGGTACGAGCCATTGTGCCTAGCAGCAGTTAGTTTTAAAAAAAAAGTTTGTGAAGACAGGTTCCCACTATGTTGCTCAGGATGGTCTCAAACTCCTGAGGCATCAAGCGATCCTCCCACCTCAGCCTCCCAAAGTGCTGGGATTACAGGCATGTGCCACTGTGCCCAGCCGAGAAGGCTTTCTTAGTGAGGAATAACAGTCGTTGAGTAGCTACTAAGTACTCTCACAATAATCCTAAGAAAGTATTATTGTTGTTGGTGGTGGTATTATCCTTATTTCACAGGAGTTTGGTAAGATTAGGAAATTTTTCCAAAGCCCCCAGTTGGAAGATAAATGGATCAGGAATTTAAAGCCATTCCTAACAACTCTATCACATTATGCTTCTTTCCATAAATAAGAAGGTCTTAGAGTAAGAGGTAGCTCTGGAAAAGCAACTCAACCTGTGAAAACCCTAAAGCCCTTTCTAACAAGAATTCAGGGAAAGAGAAGGGAAAGGCAATATAAATATTTTCAAGAGACACCTACCAACCTTTCCCACACATTGCCAAATCCATTACTTTCATACCTAACTTACTAGGGAAAAAATGCTTTGGAAATGATGGATCTACATCGATCTTACTATACATAGCAATAACAATGTCTTGTATTTGAATACACATTGTTTTCAGAAAGCTTCCAAGATTATTAAATCAACACACAATATAAGGCAGAGGTAGGAGACATTTTATGTAAGAAACTGACGCTCAGACAAATACTATTATGTAACTTGCTAAGAATCAGACATGTAGTTAGTGGTAGTTAAGTTCAAGTTAGAGGACTTGAATCCAGGTATGATTTTAAGTCTAATGCTCCTTTCAATATGTAACACTGGCTCTATATGTAACTGCTGGTCTACTTATTTTATTTTCAGAATTACCACATAAAAACAGATGCCCTTCCTACCTACTTTAGAGGTCTTAGACATATTCCAATGGACTTCTTCTCTGCCACAGCAAAATTCCCAGTTCTAGTTCTATTCCTTCCTCTAATTTTTATTTTTCTTTTTTTTTTTTTGTTTTTCTTTTTTGAGACGGAGTCTCCTCTGTCACCCAGGCTGGAGTGCAGCGGTGCAATCTCGGCTCAGTGCAACCTCTCCCTCCCGGGTTCAAGCGTTTCTTCTGCCACAGCCTCCCGAGTAGCTGGGATGATGGGTGTGCACCACTACACCTGGCTAATTTTTGAATTTTTAGTAAAGACAGTGTTTCACTATGTTAGCCAGATTGGTCTCAAACTCCTGACTTCAAGTGATCTGCCCCCCTCAGCCTCCCAAAGTGCCGGGATTATAGGCATGAGCCACTGCACCCGGCCCCTTCCTTTAATTTTTAAAGGGATTTTTAGAATGAGTTGTTTGAAATTACTAAAAAATTGGACCTGATCTTCCCTGGTAGCAAGTTTTATAGTGGATATAGGTCTTACATCTTGAAATGATCTCCTCAGCCCACTAGGAAGTCCTATTGGAAAGACTTATATAGTATTGTTTATACAGTAAATAAATTTCATCTCTTTGGAGTTTGTATAGCAAAAAAAACAAAGACTGATTAACAGTCTTCCTGAGCAGGAGTGTGCAGAAGAAAAAGAAGGCCTTGACTTTGGCTCACACTCAGGACCACTCTCCATCTCGTTCTCTCAGCACTCGGCACGCACATGAAACACACAGCAGGCATCAAATAAATGCTGACTGCTTGTCATCTAGAGTCTAGTTCTGATCATGCCATTAGGTATACAATGGCAAGCCAGCTTTCCCTTACTAGCCTGCCTTAGAATCATATATCCAAAAGGTACACAGAGAATATGAGAGAGAAAGAGGGAGGGAGGGAGGGGGAAGAGGGAGAGAGAGAGAATGAATGAATGAATGAATGTGTACGCACTTATCTTTGGCCCATGATTATTTAAGTCAAAAAGACATTAGGTTGGATTAAGAGTTTCCTGACAAAATTTTCCTCATCTAAGCATTCAAAGTTAGAACTCAAGGGATGCATCCAGCCCACAGATATCTTGTTAGGCTTGCTGAACCTTGCTAAATATTTTTTATAGCTATGCATTAATTGCCAACATTTAAAAATTGAGGTATTACATATAAAAATGAGAGGTACCAAATAGTCCTGAAGCCATGTTGAAGAGTAGGGCTGAAAACAGGAGGAGTTAAAACCATGCACATGGCCAGGAAACCATCCTTTCCCCATATAAGCAGAAGTCTGGGGGTTGCCAATTGACATTGACCCAAAGAGGTTTTAGATTGGCAATACAAGGCACAGCTGGGGGTGTCATTAAACAAAAGTCTTCATATAGATCTGTAAGACCCACAGCCCCATTTCCCTATTTGGCTTTTAAGAGCCATAGTTTAATTACCAGGCAAATACTCTCTAGGTAGGAGAATGAAGATTCCTCTTTTGGGAAACTGACTGATTTCAATAGTAGAAAGTCAACAGAGAATGTCTAATATTGAAAATCCAAAAATATTATGAGCATGTTATAGGCAAAGGTAGAGAAAGGGACTATTGTGCTTTTAAAAAATAAGCTTTATAATATTATTTGATTTAAAAATTATATAGCTGTATTACTTTGATAAAAAGAAGTACTTAATTACAAAAATAGTGGAGGTAATAAAAAAGAACAAGAAGGAAGAACAGAAAGAAAAAGAGAAGATTCATGAATAAGAAAAAATAAAAGAGGCCAGGCACAGTGATGCACACCTGTAGTCCTAGATACTTGGGAGGCTTAGGCAGGAGGATCGCTTTAGCCCAGGAGCTCAAGGCTGTATGCAGTATGCTATGATTGTGCCTGTGAATAGCCACTGCACTCTAGCCTGGGCAACATAGCGAGACCCTGACTTTAAAAAAAAAAAAAAAAAAAAAACGAGAGAAAAGAAAAAAAATGTGGGTGGGATCTGTAAGAATAGTGGCAGAAGGGTTGAATCCCCAAATGAGTCAAGACATGCTAAAAATAATCTTAAAAGATACTTTAGTTACATACAGAGCAAGATGATGATCAAAGGGACAGACTTGCTGTGATTAACAATGTAATGCTGAAGAGTGATACAGAGAAAACAAACCCTCAATTACAGTGAATCCAACAACAGGGATAGTTATAAGGTCCTGTCCTTGTGCACAAAGAAGCCCAAGTACCAAGTAAAGGATGGGGATGCAGAACCAACCATAGCCTATGTGGAAAGTATTAACAGATCATGGGTTCTGTGGCCTCTAAAAAAGCTTATGTGACACTGGGTGTACTTTCTGAAACACTGCATAGTGCATTTTAGAATAAAGCAGCCAAAGATTCTTATCTGGCCTGGTCAGACTAAATCTGCTAGATGTATTCAGTTAATCCATAAATGGGGTAGAACAAATTCAGGAGAGAAAATCAGTACAGCAGAGGAATTGACATAACTATTTTTTAAGGAACTACTAAATAAACTTAGGGGTACTATCCCTGGAGAACATCTAGAAGGTGACATGAGAACTTCCTTATAAGAAGGGGAAGGGACACTAGGGATGCATGTGCACAGAGAAAAGTGAGAACACAGTGAGAAGGTGGCCAAGGAAAGAGACATCGAGAGAAACCAAACCTGCCAGCACCTTGATCGTGGACTTCTAGCCTGCAGAACTGTGAGAAAATAAATTTCTGTTGTTTAAGCCACCCAGTCTGTGATACTTCGTTATTGCAGCTCTGGCAGACTAGATGGTCGACATCCTAAATCAGTAAAGAAAGCAGCAGGGGGCTGGGCACAGTGGCTCATGCCTATACGCCCAGCACTTTGGGAGGCTAAGGTGGGACGATCACTTAAGCCCAGAGTTTGAGGCTACAGTGAACCAAAGTCATGCCACTCCACTCCAGCCTGGGCAAGAGAGTGAGACCCTGTCTCTTACAAAAAAAAGAAAAGAAAGCAGCAGGGAGAAGAAAAAAACCTACAATACTATTGCTAATTCTTTCCTATTCTCTCTATTCAAACGTGAAAAACATTCCAGAGAATAGTCCTGGGGAGAAGAAGGATTATCCACATTCTATTTTTAAAGTCATACTAACAAATTAAAAGCTTTTCAAGATCAGGTAAAAGATACAATTAAACCCAAAGATTACTTCTCAACGAATCAAGCTAGGAATTACAGGGGTGGGAGACTTGTATCCACAACCACCTCAAGTGCTAGAACATCACTCTTTGTTCAGGTAGACTACTGCTGTTCCATTTGCTTGTGTCAAAGGTAAGCTGTTTCACTCACACTTTCTAAATTCTAGAAGAGGAAAAGCCCTTTTGTAACTTGTTTAGTAACTAGACCACAGCAAATGTTGAGTTATGCCAAAAGTAGGCCCCAACAGGTTTTGAAAGGCAGATGTTTGGTAAGAATATTGTTAATTCAGCAACAGCCAAGAACTTCCCTAAACTCTGAGCACTACTATAGACACGTTTTGTGTAATATACTTGGCATAGTCCTCTAATTTTCCTAAAGGTCATTTTCCAGCTTAATGTCATGTATCACCTGGAACAGGTGGCTATATTGAGCTGTTTGAGTATTAAAAACAGACATTTTTCTACCATTAGGTAACACTCATTGAGCACATGAAGACACTATTATCAAAAATGAAGAAGATTAAGAAACAAACCATCCTAAGAAAAAGAAAAGGGGGGGGAAACTAAGTAAAAAGAATGAAGAGGTATGATCCACACTGTTTGAAAGCTCAGATAGCTTAAATACAAATTTATGGAAAGTTGCAGCCTTTTTTCAGAATACAATTATAGCAAATGTAAAAATATTTCTTCCTAATTTCTTTGACGTCCTGGGTCAACAAAGCCCCAGGGAACATACCTGTCCATCAACAAAGAAAGCCTCCCTTTAGTTAACATGACCAGGGAGGACAAAGGAAAGAAAGAGCCCTACCAACTGTTTGTAGAATAATAAGCAAGAATATGAAGATGGATAATAAAAGCAAAGCACATAAAAGCAAGACAAAAATATTCCAGGTGTGGGCTGGGTGCGGTGGCTCACACCTGTAATGCCAGCACTTTGGGAGGCTGAGGAGGGGAGATCATCTGAGATCAGGAATTTGAGACCAGGCTGGCCAACATGGTGAAACCCTGTTTCTACTAAAAATACAAAAAATTAGCCGGTGTGGTGGCGTGTGCCTGTAATCCCAGCTACTCAGGAGGCTGAGGCAGGAGAATTGCTTGAACCCGGGAGGCAGAGGTTGCAGTGAGCCAAGATCACACCAGTGCACTCTGGCTTGGGCAACAAGAGTGAAACTTTGTCTCAAAAAAAAAAAAAATCCAGGTGTGAAATAGGAGGAGACTGGAAATAAGGGACATAAAGGAGTTCTATGAAGTCTGAAGAAAAGTTTTTAGGAGGAAAAAAAAATCTAAGCATCATTTATGTCAGATAAGACTATGTCTGAGGGATATAGTTTAATCTGGTTTATAATTTTTATTTTTAAATTTCCTTTGGTCACAGCTTATGTTAGAAATGTTGTCCTCTACTGCTAAAGATCTGTCCCCTCAGGGCACAGCATGCCAAAGGTCAACAGAGCCAGCAATAGCAGTACATTCATGTGAAGGATATACTTGCCTGCTTCTGGATCTGCAGGAATTCTCCACATGTACAGGTTGAAGTCATCAGAGCCCGAAAGGATATACTGTTGGAACAAAAAATATATAGATAACATTATATATTATAATATAGAATAAATACAATATGTAACAATAAACATATTAATTTTTTTTGAGATGGAGTCTTGCTCTGTTGTCCAGGCTGGAATACAGTGGTGCAATCTCGGCTCACTGCAACCTCCGACTCCTGGGCTCAAGTGATTCTCCTGCCTCAACCTCCAGAGTAGCTGGGACTACAGGCACACGCCACCACGCCCAGCTAATTTTTTGTATTTTTCAGTAAAGATGGGGTTTCACCATGTTGGCCAGGCTGGTCTCAAACTCCTGACCTCAGGTGATCCGCTGGCCTTGGCCTCCCAAAGTGCTGGGATTACAGGTGTGAGTCACCACAACTGGCCTAAACATACTGATTTTTAATATATCTATCTGTACAGAGATTTCCTTTAAATAAACAAGATAAATGGGCATATATTTATAAGGCACCACACAGCAAACACCCTCTTAAAAATACCTGCAAATCAAAAGGCATGTTAGCTAAAACTCAGCAACGACAACAAAAAATGACCTAATTCAAAAAATTCAAAAAAGGGGCAAATTAGACAGTTCTCCAAAGAAATATACAAATGGCTAGTAAGTATAGGAAAAGATGCTCAACATCACTAATAATTAGAAAAATGCAAATCAAAACCACAATGAAATACTATTTCACACCCATTAGGATGACTATTACCAAAAAAAAAAAAAATTGACAAGTATTGGCAAGGATGTGGAGAAAGTGAGAACCCTTGTGCATTGCTGGTGGGAATGACTAACGAACGGTGCAACTGCTGTGGAAAACAATATGGCAATTCTTCAACAAGTTAAACATAGAACTACCACATGATGCAGCAATTACAATCCTAGGTATATATCCAAGAATTGAAAGCACGGACTCTAAGAGATATCTGTATACCCATTTTCATAGCAGCATTATTCACAATAGCCAAAAGGTGGAAACAACCCAAGGGTCTACTGATAGATGAATGGATAAACAAAATGTGGTAATACATACAATGGAATATTATTCAGCCTTTAAAAGGAATGAAATTCTGACACATGCTACAACATGGATAAACCGTGACGTTATACTAAATGAAATAAGGCAGAAACAAAAAGACAGATATTGTATGACTCCATTTATATGAGGCACTTAGAGTAATAAAATTCACAGAAACAGCAAGTGGTTGCCAGGAGCTAAGAGGAGGGAGAATGAAGAGTTAGCGTTTGTTGGGGAGTTTCAGTCTGGGATGATGAAGAAGTTCTGAAGGTAGATAGTGGTGATGGCTGCACAGCAATGTGATTGTACTTAATGCCACTGAACTGTGTATTTTTAAATGGTTAAAATGGTAAATCTCATGTTATGTATATTTTACCACAATTAAAAAAAAATTTTAATGCAGAACGTAAAAACTAGGAGCTTCCCAGAGATCTTTCACGTAAGGCCAAGTATCCTGAACTTCCTTACTGCCAGCTGATATCTTTGAGCAGGAAGCCATCACCAACATAGCCATGAATTAGTGCCTGGGCATAAGCAGTGGTCTCTTATGTGGCAGCTCCAAACTGCTTGATCTCAAAAAGGACACTGTGCCAGATCTACTCTAATGTGAACTCATAAAAGTATTGTCTAACATTGTCTAATAGCAACGAGAGAGTAATTTTGAGAGTTCATTTATTTCCAGTGATTAACGTGTTTTACTTTAAGGTGAGGTCAGCATTACTTCGTCCTGTCTTTTGCCCCCATCTGCTCATTTCCCTGAAAAAGAAAGGCCTACTGTTTTCCTTTTGTGTGTGTGTATGTGACAGCGTCTTGCTGTGTTGCCCATGCTAGAGTGCAGTGGCACGATTATGGCTCACTGCAGTCTCGACCTCCTGGGCTCCAGTGATCCTCCTGCTTCAGCCTCCCCAGGAGATGGAACACAGGCATGCACCACGACATGTAGCTTATTTATTTATTTATTTATTTATTTATTTATTTATTTGACAGGGTCTTGCTCTGTCACCCAGGCTGGAGTGCAGTGGCACAATCATTGCTCACTGCAGCCTCGACCTCCTGGGCTCAAATGATTGCCCTGCCTTAGCCTCCCAAGTAGCTGGGACTACAGGCAGGCACCACCACACCCAGCTAATTTTTTATAGTGACAGGGGTCTCACTTCCATTGCCCAGGCTGGTCTCAAACTTCTGGGCTCAAGGGATCCTCCTGCCTCAGCCTCCCAATGTGTTGGGATTATAGGAATAGGCTACACGCCTAGCCAGGTCTAGAGTTTTCTAAAGAAAATGTCATACTTGAAAATGACATCGAACATCCCCAAAAAGTGTAAGTCCAACATACACACAACCTCCTGCCTAACATAAATTACTAAATACTGTGCAATCATTTAAAATCAATTTCCTAGCCTTCAAAACACTTGTAGGAACATGAGAAAAAAGGCAAAGACAGGTGGGTTTAAAGATGAAGAAAATGCTATCTATAGGGATTAGGTAATCAGGGCACAGTGGAAAAAGCAGTGGGCTCAGTTTCTTTATCTGCAAAATGAGAGAACTGGACTGGTGGCTCTGTAAGGCTCATTTAATTCTAAGATTCTATGATTACACTGTGAAGGAATGTTGGAGGCTGGATTAGACCTGAAAAGTCCCTAAGCTGCCAGCCCAAGTGATTTGATAAGTCACTCCACAAACATGCTCAAGACAAGGAAACTCATAAGGCCAGTCTTGTTAAACTTTAATTTAAAAGTTTCCTAAACTACAACAACAACAAAGAAAAAACAACATGATTTTAAAAATGGGCCAAGGACTTGAACAGACATTTCTCCAAAGAAGTAGAACATGGCCATATACAAATGGCCACTAAGCACACAAAAAGATGTTCAACATCACTGATCATTAGGGAAATGCAAATCAAAACAATGAGATACCACCTCATACCCATCAGAATGGTTACTATGAAAAACAAAACAAAGACCCAGAAAATAGTTCCCCCAAAAATTAAAGATAGAATTATCATATGATCCAGCAATTCCAATTCTGGGTATATATCCAAAAGCACTGAAAACAAGATCAGAGATACTTGCAACCTATGTTCATAACAGCACTGTTTATAATGGCCAAGAGGTGGAATCAATCCCCTATGTGTCCATCAACATCATTCAGCCTTAACAAGGAAGGAAATTCTGACACATGCTACAACATGGATCAACTCTGAGGACATCACATCATGCTAACTGAAATAAGCCAGTCACAAAAAGACAAATACTATATGATCCTACTAGAGTAGTCATGAAAATTCAGACACGAAGTAGAATGGTGGTTGCCAGGGCCTAGTGGCAGGGGAAATGGGGAGTTGATGTTTAGTGGGCAGAGAGTTTCAGTTTGAGATGAAGAAGAAGTTCTAGAGATGGATAGTGGTGATGGTTACACAACAATGTAAATGTACATATATATTTAATGTACACTTTTTTTTTTGAGACAGAGTTTCTGCCGCCCAGGCTGGAGTGCAGTGGTGCAATCTCGGCTCACTGCAACCTCCACCTCCAGGATTCAAGCAATTTTCATGCCTCAGCCTCCCCAGCAGCTGGGACTACAGGCGGGCACCACCATTTCCTGTTACGTTACACGTTTAAAAGAGGCTATCAACTTCATGTGGAATTCCTGCTACCCTGCCCCCCATACCACTGCAAACTAAACAAACAAAAAGTAATATTTAAGAAGAGTGAGCCCAGTGGTCTTATCAGGGGTTTTACTATTTCATCGTGAAGCATCAGTGCTTTCCTATTTGTTCGGCTATTCATCAGGGCAAAGCCATGAGAAGGGAAAACAGGATTCTCAGACAGAATGCTGACTCAGAAGACTGCCTTAGAAGGAAGAAAACTCTCCCAGAGTTAAGGCCTGTTGGGTTTAATATGACAGCTCCTAAAATATGCAGAAAATGCATAGAATGTACAGGCTTCCTCTTAGGGATAAAGGCAACTCCTGATCTCTCTTCCTCTTGGAACTCTTCTTCCACCCACCATAAGAGAACAGCTAGGGATGATTTTTAGGGAGGGCGTCTTGCCTCGCTGCCATCTAGTAAGGGCATTTAAGTGTTCACACACTCTGGAATCACAAAACTGTCCTGCAGAATTCATTATGGCATTTCACGGTTGTCTGCTGGATGCCTTCTAGCATTAAAAGTTGGCTGCCTGGGATACTGCTGACTATAAGGACAGAAATAAAAGTGAGGTCATTCCTTTATTCATTAAACAAATATTTATTGAATGTCTAATATGTGTTAGGCATTGTTCCAGGGAAGGGAAGGCAGAGTTGATCAAAAGAGACCCTGTTCCTGTCCCATGAAGCTTACATTCCATTAATGGGAAGAGGAAAATATTACAGACATATATAATGTGGGTAGAGCAAAAAAAAGTTAAACAAAAAATAACATATATATATATAATGTGTCCAGTGGTGACAAATATTACAGAGGAAAATTAAACAGCAGGTTAGCGCATATAGGGAGTGCTGGGGGTTGGGGTGTTAGTTTCCGTTTTACAGAGGGTGGTCACAGAAGGCCTCTTTGATAAAATGGTATTTTGAATAGAGCCCTGAAGGAAATGAGGCAGCAAGTTATGTGGATATCTGGGAGAAGAGTATTCCAGGAGAGCAGACAGAGTTCTGGCTATTTTAAAATATAAGGTAGCCATTAAGAGCTCTTTTGTCTTTTTTTTAAGCTTTGTGGAAATAAAGATTATTTCAAGTGAGCTGAGTACAGAGATACATTTACTATCATAAGAGCAGCTAGAAAGATTCCTGTCTTCTAAAGCTATGCTGAAAGGATCATCCCCTCCTGGACTCAGGCTGGTTGGGGCCACTGAGTGGGGCGCTGCTGATGGTTAGTGCTTAAGAGGACCACCAGGACACTGCAGGTCTAGGCGGGCCATCTTACAAATATTTGCTGTGGGATACAAGGAAATATAAGCAAGAAAACAAAGACCAAACAGTGCCAGTGGCACTGTTTCACTACCAAAGGAAACAAACCCAAAGTACTTCATCGTATTAAAACTTAAGAAACACAGTAATTATTTCAATTAACCAGAAAACTGAACTTCACCTCAAGTAGTGAAATTGGAGGCACAGGTTTTTCTCTCTGTCTTTTCTTTTATCTTGATGATCTAATTTCAAATAGTACCTGCTCATTCTCACCCAGGAAATCTGGTGTTTGGGGTCTGAAGCTGACCTGGAGCAAAATGCTTCTGGCCTAGATAACAGAAAGGCTCAACAGCAGATACTCCTATATAAATAGGCAAGCTATAGAAACATAGTAGAAAAATTGGTTACCCAAAATTCCTATGTTTCATATTTTTTATTTCCTTTTATGATGTATGACTTCACAACCAACGTTCATATTTAATACACTACTGTGAAAAAAACTAAAAATTACTATTCAACTTTAGAAAGGCAAAAACTAAATAAAGTGATATGAAGTTTGTGGCCAAATGGGGACATGAATATGAAAAATTCATTGCCTTCTCTAAGTTATTTTTTTTAACGTCATTCTAAACATGACGAGGGGGAAACCACAGATTAAAAACTCACTTCATGTTCTGCTTTAGTACTAAAAAAAGGCAATAACAAATGTAAGAGGAAAAAATAAATAATAAGATTTAAAAGAATATAAGAAAAAATAAAAAACAAAAAAAATGAAACTCACTTCGCACAGCCTTTTATCTTATACTCTATTGAGAAGAACAGGGCGGGGCTCCAAGAGGAAGAAAGAATACTTCATTCTTTCTAGATAAATACTTCATTATCTAGGCAATAAAGTCCCCATTTCCCAAAACACCCTGAGTTGAGGGGGAGGTAGGAGATCCATAGACTACAATTAGATCAGCGTGGAAGATATATTTAATTTTTGTTTGGTTTTGTGGGTAAGGTGGGAAATATCAATGCTAAAATGAACATGAGTTGTGTGGACACACATTATCCATAATCTTTCCCAGCTGGCTACAAAGGTTAAAAGTTGGCCACATTCTGATTCACCTCACTTTTCATTCATTCTGTGGTCCAAGAGGGCAAGCTATTTACTGATCTGAATGTTTACTGATCTAGACATTTTAAGTAGGGTTAACCTGAGGCCAGTGCATGGTGGTGTTTCATCCAATCCACTGTCAGTGTGGAGATACTAACTTGCTCGAGCATAGGAAGAGATCAACAACTCTCTCTCAATAGATTTCAGGAAGGAACCACCATCATGACCACCACCAAGAACAACACTGAAAAAGATTACTGACTGGTATTTGTCACTGTCTCACTGACCCAAATGTCCTCTGTCAATCCATTGACCTTTATAGAAAATGTGTGTGTGTGTGTATGTGTGTGTTTGTGGTGCGTGCTTACACAGGATTTGATCTTCTCCAACATCTGTTGATGAAGAAGGAAACATATCAATCAGTTACTATTCATTGAGTACTGATCAACTTACCCAGTTCTCTCCAAAGGCTCCTTCCATAGTAATTGATTAATGATTCTCCAGTAAATGGCATGCCTGTCTAATTAGCTGTATTGACTAGGACAGAAAAACCAGATGGCTCGCTAGCCTGGATCAGTAACAGCAGAGAGACTGCTATTTAAATTTAAATCAAACACAGCTCTTATTTTCCCCTGACCTTCTGTCAGAAAGGGAAAAACAATGTGATTGAAAACTTTGTGATATGCTCTCTAGATGACTATTTCCAGAAAAAGGTTTGCTAACTGGCATATAATACACCTTTGATCATACCATTTATAACCAGTGCTTGCCACAAATACCAACCAAAGCAATCAGAGCAAATTTTCTTTGGAAATGGGCAAAGCCGTAGATTTATTTTATTTGTGGTAAGAGAAATTTCACTGCCTCCCAATAAAAGCATACAAATACGCATACCCATAAGATTAACACTATTTTTGCAAGTGAAGTTACATTATTCTTGCTTCTTTGAGCCATTTGCCATTTCAGCTCCATTAGGCTTCTGGATCTTTCAGTTTATTAAAATAACCAACCTTTATGGGTTCTGTGTAGAAAAAATTCTATTAAGGAATATTCCATAAAGGCAGCCAATAACAGTCAAATAATCAGCAGAAAAGGAAAAAAGTGCTGTAAATTACCAACAGCTGGTTATAACAAAGTGGCCAGCGTTACTTAAAGATGAATCTTTATTTGGCAAACCATTTTGGAAACCTGAGCAAGATGAGGGGCCATTAACCATTAGCCCCCCTCCATGGGCTTCAGTTTTTGTATGTGAGGACTGGGGAGTGAGGAGATGATAGCACTCACTTCAGTCCATATATGAGTATTTATACTCTTCATTCAAGCAAAGGTGTTCCAGCATTCTGAGGAAGTAACATTATTTTTTCTCCAAAGCTTGAAGATATCTCAAAAAGAGGCAAAGCTCTTCTACTAAAAGTAAAATTTCTAAGGAGGAGGATGAGACAGGTTATACTCTGTTCCCCTTCATTAACATCTACCAGGGATTTCCTAGTGGGGCCAGACTCTTAGCCAGGAGCCATGCATTAAAGAACTGCCATGTCCTGTCACCAGATTACATCAATTCCACTTGTTCCTAAGAACAATCCAGGTCACCTTGTGTTCCTTTACAACTGAACGATTACAAACCAGACCATACCTAGCAGGCCTCACATACTCCAAAACCTTTTAAGCTTTTAAGTTCTAAAATTGCATCAGTAAACAGACTAAAAGACAACATAATCCAAAGGTAAAATCTTAATCCAGGATTGATAATACCTGAGCCTCTAGGTTTCAAGAGTTCCATAAACACTTTATTATTATATGGAAAACAATGTAGATGTGTACATTTTTCTGAGATGACTGTTTATAGCTTTTAGAGTTTCAAAAAGGTCCAGGATTCAAAAAGAGTTATAAATGGCTGATTTAATAAAGTTATATTCCGGAACTGAGTAGCTGTACTGTCTGGCCCCGTGGTCTAGACACTGCTTGGACAGGATGTCTCACCTGCTGATGAAACTCCTACGCAAGAAGATCAAGAAGTGGAACCTCAAACTGCGGCAGTGGAACCTAAAGTTGCAGGGGGCCTCAAATCTGACCCTGTCCGAAACTCAAAATACAGATGTGTCTGAAGAAACAACGGGAGGTGGAAAGGTTAAAAAATCAAAACATTCTATGAATGTGGGCTTATCAGATGCTCAAAATGGAGATGTGTCTCAAGAAGCAGTGGAAAATATAAAAGTTAAAAAATCTCCCCAGAAATCCACCGTATTAACCAATGGAGAAGCAGCAATGCAGTCTCCTAATTCAGAATCAAAAAAGAAGAGAAAAATGGTGAATGATGCTGAGTCTGATACAAAAAAAGCAAAAACTGAAAACAAAGGGGAATCTGAAGAAGAAAGTGCCAAGTCTCCTAAAGAAACAGAAAATAATGTTGAGAAGCCAGATGATGAAGATGACAGTGAGATGCCCAGCCTGCCCCTGGGACTGACAGGAGCTTTTGAGGATACTTCATTTGCTTCTTATGTAATCTTGTCAATGAAAACACTCTGAAGGCAATAAAAGAAATGGGTTTTACAAACGTGACTGAAATTCAGCATAAAAGTATCAGACCACCTCTGGAAGGCAGGGATCTTCTTGCAGCTACAAAAACCGTCAGTGGTAAAACCCCAGCTTTTCTCATCCTGCAGCTGAACTCATTGTTAAGTTAAATTTCATGCCCAGGAATGGAACAGGGGTCCTTATTCTCTCACCTACTAGAGAACTAGCCATGCAAACTTTTGGTGTTCTTAAGGAGCTAATGAGTCACCACGTGCATACCTATGGGTTGATAATGGGTGGCAGTAATAGATCTGCTGAAGCACAGAAACTTGCTAATGGGATCAACATCACTGTGGTCACACCAGGCTGTCTGCTGGACCATATGCAGAATATCCCAGGGTTTATGTATAAAAATCTGCAGTGTCTGGTTATCGATGAAGCTGATCGTATCTTGGATGTTGAGTTTGAAGAGGAATTAAAACAAATTATTAAACTTTTGCCAACACGTAGACAGACGATGCTCTTTTCTGCCACCCAAACTTGAAAAGTTGAAGGCCCGGCAAGGATTTCTCTGAAAAAGGAGCCATTGTATGTTGGTGTTGATGACGATAAAGCTAATGCAACAGTGGATGGTCTTGAGCAGGGATATGTTGTTTGTCCTTCTGAAAAGAGATTCCTTCTACTCTTTACATTCCTTAAGAAGAACCAAAAAAAGAAGCTTATGGCCTTCTTTTCATCTTGTATGTCCGTGAAATACCACTATGAGTTGCTGAACTACATTGATTTGCCCATCTTGGCCATTCATGGAAAGCAAAAGCAAAATAAGCATACGACCACATTCTTCCAGTTCTGCAATGCAGATTCAGGAACACTATTGTGTACAGATGTGGCAGCAAGAGAACTGGACATTACTGAAGTCAACTGGATTGTTCAGTATGACCCTCCGGATGACCCTAAGGAATAATATTCATCGTGTGGGTAGAACAGCCAGAGACCTAAATGGGAGAAGGCATGCCTTGCTCATTTTGCACCCAGAAGAATTGGGTTTTCTTCACTACCTGAAATGATCCAAGGTTCCAT
Organism: Homo sapiens; assembly: GCF_000001405.40. Taxonomy (NCBI): domain Eukaryota; kingdom Metazoa; phylum Chordata; class Mammalia; order Primates; family Hominidae; genus Homo; species Homo sapiens. The sequence goes on from NC_000014.9 coordinate 69,085,021, forward strand.
TAAGTGAATTTGACTTTTCCTGGTCTAAAATTTCTGACATTCAGTCTCAGCTTGAGAAATTGATTCAAAAGAACTACTTTTTTCATAAGTCAGCTCAGGAAGCATATAAATCATACATACAAACCTACGATTCCCATTCTCTGAAACAGATCTTTAATGTTTAATAACTTAAATTTGCCTCAAGTTGCTGTCATTGGTTTCAAGGTGCCTCCCTTTGTTGATCTGAACGTCAACAGCAATGAAGGCAAGCAGAAAAAGCGAGTAGGCAGTGGTGGATTTGGCTACCAGAAAACCAAGAAAGTTGAGAAGTCCAAAATCTTTAAACATATTAGCAAGCAAACATCCAACCGCAGGCAGTTCTCTCACTGAAGACATGCCTTTCTTTCATCTTGAATAACTTTGTCCTAAAATGATTCTTTTCCTCCCTTGATTTAACAGGATTTTTGTAGCCTTTAGAATTTGGACTTATCTAACAAGAGTATAAATTGAATTCGGTTGCAAGCACTGAACACTGTTACTTCTATCAAGTCTCTCTTATTTTTGGGATATAAAACAGGCTTTAATTTTCTTGGTTGCCCAAGGGCAAAGTAAGGAATATCTCATCTTTCTTGTGATGATATAATATTTTAATTTTAAATATCCCTCCCTCATACATACAAATGTATGTTACTGTTTTAATTATTTTTGTACCTTTAAAAAAAAGTTATATTCCCTCTACCTTCTCTTTACAAAACAGAAAGTCTGCCCCCTTCCTCAAAAAAAGTTTCCTAAAACATTCACGCTCTAAAAAAGACATACAAGGAATTCCTCTGCCACGACATTCTGTTTTCAGTTCTTCCTCACCAGACCATATCATTGCTTGATCTCTATAACACAGTGGGCAGCATGCCTATGAGCAAGAGGGTACAGTCATAAACAAGAAACTGAGTCTAGTCCTGGTTTTGCTAACAATTCGATTTGCCGTTTCACACTACTGTCGGCCTCAGTTTCACGTGAGGATAAAACCTGTCCAATTGCACCCAAAGGTTGCTGGGAGCATTAAAATATAATAGTGGGCTGGGCATTGTGGTTCATGCCTGTAATCCCAGCACTTTGGGAGGCTGAGGTGGGTGGATCACTTGAGGTCAGGAGTTCGAGACCAGCCTGGCCAACATGACAAAACCCCGCCTCTACTAAAAACACAAAAAATTAACCGGGCGTGGTGGCGCGTGCCTATAATTCCAGCTACTCCGGAGGCTGTGGCACGAGAATTGCTTGAACCTGCGAGGCAGAGGTTGCAGTGAGCCTAGATGGAGCCACTGCACTCCGGCCTGGGTGATAGAGCAAGACTCCGTCTAAAAACAAACAAACAAACAACGACAACAAAAAAACATAATAGTGGATATGAAAATGCTTTACAAGTTAAAGGGCTAAAAATATGTAAGATATAAATGGCAAGGAGATGAAAAAAAAAAGAGTAGCCTAAAATCACAACAAATCAAAGGCTGGAAACCAACGGTTGAATTTCCCCCATTAAAAGTATATCTTTATTTCAGATAAAGGAGAACATATGGCATGCCAGGCCCCAAAGTGGGCTTAATCAGGCGTGCATGGAGTTATTAAAAAAAAAAAAAAAAAAGCAAAGTTATAACTTTAGAGGGCCTCTCTGGCCTAGAGAGTACTTACTACTGCATTCCATACCTTGGCTATACCCATATAGTGTCAACCCAGAGAGGTTGAGTGGTGATGTAATGTCTGAGGGAGGCCATTTATCCAAGGCCATTTTGTTGGATTCATAGGGTGCAAGTCAGCTCTTTCCTCCAGGGGATGGGACAGGATGATTTTATGATCACGATTTTTGGGGCCTTGCCATCTATCAAGTTCAAAAGACCAGTATAAGAGATCTCAGTGCTCAGGTACGCCAGTGCTCAGCCTTTTCAAGAAAATCTTATACTTTCTCCTTTTGTGTACATCCTACTTTCAGCAAGATGTAGGGACTATTAGACCAGGCATCATATGAGACTAAAGCAAGAAATACTTTAAATGATCAGACTATCCAGTTCGAGGCAAACATGCTTGCTAGACTGAAAGACTTGCTTACCAGAAGCCTGAGCCATTCTATTGGACTCACAATCTAGGACAAGAGCCATTTAAGGAATTGTGAAAGAGAAGGAACAAGAGCCAAGTGCTGTCTTATATGTGCATGCCAGAAAAGCCAGCAGGTAGAATACTGGCATTCTTTTTTAACCCTATTAAGAGACTCGCTCACTGAGTATGTAGAGAAGTGTATGAAGCTTAGAAGACAGAATGTACCCAGTCAGGCTTCAGGGAGAAAACAAAACAAAAATCCAAGTAGGAAGTGAAAGCAAGAAGAACCTTTGGGCTCAGGTAGCCTCCAAGGAAAGGAATGCTGTTTTACTGCCAGAGTCCGCACTATATTGCAAGACTAGAAGGTAGGCTTGCTTTAAACAAAAAAAGTAAAAAAGTGTAAGCCTTTAGTTAAGGCTAATTGCTTCTGTTGATACCCAGCCAACCTGATGTCACTTTTGTCACCTGATCTGATGCTAGAAGTTATCAAACTTGAATAATTATAATATACTAGAAAGAAACAAACTATGTATTTGTAGCCAAAAGGGGGGAAGACAGATTGTATAAAGGGCTTTGAGTGCAAATCTCAAAGAGGGTACCATCTGGCAATGTTATGTGAATGTATCTATCACAGCATCAGGCATACAGTAAATGCTCAGTAAATATATGCTCTCTTATTTTAAAAGATGGAGGAAGGAAAAAGACATGAAGTTAGGAAGCCTTCAGCAGGAAGCAGGAAAAAGGAACTTGTCTCCATGAGTTAGTGACAGACCATGGCACTAAACATGAGAAAAAACATCTTGCTGAATGAAGCACAGAGGTTTCAAACTGGTGGATCCAGAGCAGAATAGGTATGGTGCACAGATTTGTTTCATCTATACAATAAAGTATGAATTTGTTGTAATATTTTAAAACCAAGAGACCTTACATAAAAATCTTTATTTCTGTCCTCTCTTGAAAAAAATCGGAGGCCCTGACAACAACGGGCTAAAGCTGTACAGAAGCTGGCCCATTTAGATGGGATGTGGGCTCTCCACAATCCCCACCACTCCTTAATGTTTACTCCTAGCCCAATCCACTTATTTTTGCTGCCTGTCTTGCTCCTGTCCGCAACAAGTTGTGATCATTTGTACAGTGAAAAGGGGTCTCTATTGAGAGCCCAAAAATCTGGGTTCTAGCCCTGGTTTGCCTACAAACTTGTATGTGTTGTGACTTGTGACCTCTCTGAGACTCAGTTTACTCATCTGTGAAAGAAAAGGTTTGTATAAAATGATCTCTAATAGCTCTATAATTAGAATTCATCTACAGTGGTGGCAATGAGCATGAGGGAGACACAAAGGAGGTTCAGATATTTCACACTTTATTCCCCAAGTCTAATTTCTTGAAATGTTAATTTTATTTTGAGGCTAATGAATTACCTAGTGAACCTAGGATAGTTTAAAAAGAAGTACACGTACTCTGAAGAATATCTGGGTCCATCTGTATGGACTGAATAATCTCATAATTAAAAGCCAGATGACTGTCTCAGATAAATAGGATCTCTTACTGCTTTTCTCATCCATGTTCATTCCTATTACGGAAATTCTCAGATTCCTGTCTGGGATGGTTACCCAGCCTATGACTAAATGAAAAGTTCCAGAACACAGAGCCTCAGGCTGTGGGTGTTCTCAGAGCACACAGGAATGAGGTCAAATATAAAGCCCAATATAAGGAAAAGGCAGGCTATGGAAACTGAAAGCAGAAAAAAAGATTCTGTCTAGACTCATCAAAGAATATACATGTCAGTCCTGCAGGTCACACTGTAACTGTGACAACTGCTGCCTTGAGTGTGGAAAGTCAGAGCCTATAAATCACCTTTGAGACATGTTCTAGGACTGGGACAGTAAGTCTGACTTCTTGTGCACACTTAAAAAAAACTATAAGTTCAGTAGATTAGTTCCACTATAAATCCATTATTTAATTCATCCTCCTAATTGGATGAATTATTTAATTCATCCATCCTTCCAGGCCTCTGGAAGTTGAACAGGAAAAATCATACTTATCAATCCTGATTTACAGTTAGAGAAGACTTAGGCCCACAAAGCTAAATACCACACATTGACCAACGTACTCAAGATTTACTTCAACAAATTTTTATTGTGTTCTCACTGTGTGCCAGGATTTGGAGACAAGACAATGATGAATTAGCTACATTTCTTAGTCCCTAAGGAGTCAACAAAAAAGCCAAATATAAATCTCTGTATTTTATATACCTCTAACTATTTCAGGAATATGAACAGACTTTTAAGACTTTAACTCTGTTAACTGACCCAAAGTTAGATTCAATGACTTTGCATCTTCTTTCAAGGAAAACCACTTACCCCAGCCAAAAAGAAGTCTTGTCTGTCAGAGAGAATAAAATACCCATAAAACTCTTCCCATAGGACAAGTCACAAATAATAAATTAGTCAAATCTAAATAGAGAAAAATCAAAAGCCATTCAATACTTTTATAATTATATATAAACTGAAAGACAGAAACAATGATATCTTTGATGTATATACCTAGGACTATCACAAAATACCTTCTGTGGCTCTGCCTATGACAATACCTGCCCCAATGCATCTGAGCAAAATGGGTAATTATAATCCGGATCACAGGTTCTCAACCAGGGGCAATTTTCCCCCCAGGGGACAATGTCTGGAGACATTTTTGGTTGCCTGGAGGATAACTTAGGATGATATTACCGGCTTCTAGTAGGAAGAGGCTAGGGATACTGCTAACCATCTTATAATGCATAGGACAGCTCCACACAACAAAGAACTATCTAGCCAAAATGTTAACAATGATAAGGATGGGAAACCATGGTCTAGGTGCTTACATGTTGGCTAGAGGTCTTTGTTCTGGGTCTTCTAAGGTCCATGAAGATAGGCTTTGTTGCTAAACACAACCTGAAGAAAATCACCTTTCCCTCAGCCTCTGGTTTCTGGAAATAAAGCCTAGTAAACTATTAATATCACCTTCACTGCATGCTCTATTATTCAACAAAACAAGAATTACATGCATAAGAAGTTGACAAAGGATAGGAAATCAACAAAAGCAAAGAAAGAAGGAAAAAAGGAAGAGAGGGAGAGACTTGATTGTCATTTCCACAGCCAGACAAAGCTAAATCAACCATTCTGTATATCTGTTCTATTGAGAGTCTGATCGCCTATAGAAACTGTTTCTTCCCACCCAAGAAACAAATTCCCTGCAGTGCCATACAGGTATATACAAATTAAGTCATTCAGGTACTGTGGGCACCCCAAGGAGACATCACTGAGGCCACCTAGTGGTCTCCAGTATGGATCTCAGCTAAGTAGGCCCTAAGACTCCAACATGAGTATAAATTCTGAATTTGGATATATAGTCTCTATTTATAAGAGAGGAAATCTCTAGTTCAGAAAACTTAAAAGAACATTCTCATCTATCTACACGCAAGACAATTCAACAGGCATTTATTCGGCTCCTATTACATCTACTAATCCTTAAACTATGACATTAGGAAGCCTCTAGCAACCCCCATCTAAGGAGAAAAATCCTAGCTTTTACTTCAAAAAGCGAGGTCTTGCCAGTTTCTCAAAGAAATTTTTCTTTTATGCCTCTTTTATATTTCTTTTATGCCAAAAATAACTCTAAAGAGGTGGGGTACAGCATATAAGAATTTTAAGTCAAAATTTGACATAGTTGACCCAAAGATAAGAACACTAAACATTAGCGAGAGACTAAGGTTTTTCTTTTTCCCAATCTATATGTGAAATAGCAATAAGATTTGTTGTGCTTGAGAATAAAAAATTCTATTTGTTTATTTGATCAGTCTTTCCTTAGATTTGTCTTTCTTCCCATTTGTCTTTCCTCGGCTTGGTGACCCAGATTAGCCCAACTGGTCACTGACACTTCAGAACTTCTATGGTTAAGACAGAAAGGTGCAAGAAGGCCAAGTATATTCTTAAACTGCCAGCTTTAAGTCAACATCAGCATCTCCATTCCTGGTGAGACTCAGAAAAGGCTGGAAACTCACAGCTTGGGCTCTCCATTTCCAGTTGTGATGCTGGCAGTAAAAAGAAAAAGAGTCAGCATCTGGCTCCCTCTCAAACAAAGCTGCTTACCCCATTTCATCCAAGAAAAAGATGGCATCCCAAGAGGCCATTCAAGATACATGTCTCTTGGATGGTACTTAGGGTGTTTCATTCATCATTGTGTTTTATTGGTTTCTTTTTTTTAATGTCTCTCTCACCAGCAGGCTAATTTTCCATGGATTCCCTCTCCTTTCTTCTGAAATGGCACATTCTTAGAATCTTAAAATCTGTTCACAAACTTGGCAGAGCTAGGTGGCTCAGAACCATATCGTGGCCAGCCTTGGTTTATGGTGTGTGCCTTGTATTTACCCATTGACAGCCTTGATAAAGAAACTCACTATTATTAAGTCAGAACATCTCCAGGCACTCACTGTTTCCCCTTAATTGTTTCTACCTGACATAATGGTAATGAGAAATAAAGACCAGTATAGAAAGAACAATCAGAAAGAAAAGCATAAGTGTGAGATGCAGGAGGCAGACAGCATTTACCTGGTCACGATCTCCTGCAAAACAGCAGCTTTTCATGGTGCATGAGTTGAAGTAACCCTGATTGTCAAACTGAAACACAGGCAGGCGGGAATGGATGTCATAGAGCACAGGGGGCAGGCGTCGCCTCAGGGCCAGGAGCTGGGTCCCGTTGCTGTTGAATCGTACACTCATGGCACTTTGGAGGGACAGGTTTCCACCATAGCGCAGGAGAGAACTGGAAGGCACAAGGCACAGGAATCAGGCATGAGATAGGCTAAACAAGAGTCTGAAAAACACATGTTTGCCTATGACCTCCTGTCAAGCTTGCATAGCTGAATTTCAGCAAAAGGATATTTCTGTGCAGTGGCTAGAATAATGAGGGTAGCAACGCTTCCTTCGTTACTTTAAAACAAGTTACTTCAATTGTCAGTTCTCTTGCTCAGTCTCCAAAAGATGAATTACCAGTAAAGTTACAAGAAAAGGATAACAAAAACATCTTGAAAGAAGAGACATATTAAAATAATGATTTTCTTTACCCAAGCTAACTGCACAACCAAAAGCATACTCGTCAAGACCCTGAGAAGTGGGTTGTATCCACTCTAACTGGGTAGTCATGGACAGTGTTTAAGCAATATAGTCATCCTTCATATTAGAGATACAAGAACCATCAGTAAAAACAATAGGCCGGGTGCAGTGGTTCAGGCCTTTAATCCCAGCACTTTGGGAGTCTGAGGCAGGAGGATCACTTGAGCCCAAGAGTTTGAGACCAGCCCTGGCAACATAATGAGACTTTGTCTCTACAAAAAAATTAAAAAATTAGCCAGGCATGGTGGCATGTGCCTGTAGTCCCAGCTGCTCAGGAGGCTGAGGAGGGAGCGCCACTTGAGCCTAGGGGGTTGAAGCTGCAGTGAGCCATGGTCACGCCACTGCACTCCAGCCTGGGTGAGAGAACAAGACTCCATCTCAAAAAATTGAACAATAGAAACTTGTTTATAATCGATAATTTGTCAATCATAATCATTTCATTACTTAATTTTGAATTTTTAATCTGTTCACAAAGAATTTTTATATTCTATATAGCATGATAATAAGTATTAAAGACAATTCTTAAATTTAAATGCAGAGCAAGCAGTGCAACAATTAGAAAAGGAAAATGACTTGTTTTCCTTTACAATTCCCCACAAGTTTATATGTAGCTTTAAAATATACTTTGGTTAATATATAGAACTTCATTTATCTAGTTTCACTAAAGAGTACTATGTTCTGGTTCACCTAATATTCTTCTGCAGTTTCATAAGATTCACATTTTTTAAAAAGTTTCACACAGTATGGTTCTAAATAATTTCTTTTGATGACTCAGAAGGTACTTTCAACATTATAGTGAACCAGGATGGCCATGAACATTAACAAGTATATACAGTACTAATTTTTAAAGGTTGTTGGGGGTGGTAAGTGTGATCTTTCAGGCAGTAAAGATCACTATTTTATTACAGAGGGATGACTGCTCATAGTCCATGTCAAAACCAAGTTTTATTTTGTATGTTGGGTTAATTTTTGGAGCACTGAATTACTGGCAGGAAAGTGAAGTATATATGTTGGGGACACTGTAGACACAAGTGCCACATCAGAACTCACTCTGTCTCATGCAGACATTATTGTCATGGATAGGTAGTGATCCCAGTAGTTTTAGAGAAAAAAGTTTATAAATTCTGGAGAATCACAGACCTGAAAAGGGCCTCAAGATGCCTAAATTAGAGCCTAACAGATTTATCTGAAACATTTTAAAGAAGTTTTAATCGCATTGTACCAAGTGAAAAAAGAGCTATATATTACCAGAAGAGAGTTAATATTGAAGGAAGATAACACATTTTCTTTTTTTGCCAAGAGAATGGTGGGGAAAATTAAGTGGACAAGAAAAGAGCTATCCTATCCTATGGGAAGGGAAGCCCTGAAACCACAGTACAAAGGCAGCTGCCAACCTAGCTTGGTCACAAAAACAGCCTGTACCAACACCAGCCCCAGTCAGTCCTGTGTCCCCCAAAGCAGTCTTCTCACCAAAGGAAGGAATGCTCTGGTAGTGCAGCTATGTGTGGAAACAAGCCTTGGGCAAAACAACCTGTAATCCTTTTAGGATTGGAATGAAAGTAAAGAGGGAAGACTTAGAAAACCCTCCCTAGAATTCCAGACATCAAGGAGGGGCCTGGTATCCCTGCAGGCCCCAAGTAGTAATCCCTGCAGAGAAATGCCCTTATAATGGTCCTAAACACAGGCCACACTCTCTTGCATACAGAAAATGAATGACAGGATTGTTAGAGACCAGGCATTTCCTTTACAGGGTGCTGTGGCTGCGACAGGCATGTGGTGTTATCTAAACACTGAACTCAAAAACAATGAGAGGCTTTCAATCCAACATCAGTATGGAGTGTGCAAATAAACCAGCATTTGTAGGACTGACTAGGAGTTGGGGGTTGGAAACAAGAGTCAACAGAAAGAGACTTGGCCAGCCTCACCACCCATAGCAGCAGGGGTTTGCAGCAGCTCAGGCATCCTTGAGAGGAAAGCTAGGGCCTCTGGCAAACACCCTTTCCATCTGTTAACAGGAACTTCCTCTGCCCATTCTAGTCAGGCCTGTAGAGGAGTCTGCCCAGGACAGGCATGTGGGCCATCCCAACCCCACCCAAGCTCCCTGACCCACCATCTGCAGTCTGATCACACTATAGGAATTTGGTTGTGGGCTCCAGGATAGTAACTAACTTTTCTCTTGCCTATGCTTCTGGGCAGGGAACTCTGACCTCTCACACAAAGAAAGTACAAAGGAATCTCACTCCTAGAATGCTTAGGGGTGCTATTTAAAGAGCAGCAGCCACCAACACTGAAAACTTCATGTTTTGTCACAAAATTCTATTCCTTCCAGAGGGATGAAATGACACCTGAAATCCAGAAAGTAAGTTACATTAACTGTAATTTATCAGCAGGGGTCTACAGCTGGCCACTCCTGCTGAGAATGATAAGGATGATCTGGTTTGCCGGGAAGGCAAAGCTTGGAAGCAGTCTGCCCTCATAGTCAAGATACAAAGATGATGTCAAAGATTCTGGCTTCAAGTGTAAGATGCATGAAAAATCATCTAGGACTTTAAAAAATGTAGATTCTCAGGATTCCCACCCCCTGTCCCCCACAATATTCTAATTCAATCTGGGAAGTGGGCCCAGGTATCTGAATTTAACCAGCAACACCAGTTAATTGTGATACAGGTAGCTTTCAAACCACACTGTGAGAAACATGATTCCATTTTGGAATTTGTGGGGTTGGGGGTGGAGAGAAAACAAGGCAGAGAAAAAAGAAATTATCAAAGTCAATGAAAAGCTAACCATACAACATGGCACTTTTTATGGTCTCATGTCTGTTCGCAGAAGGATCTCCAATTCCTCTTCAGATCAGAGTTATACTCCTGTCCTCAACACATTCCCTGAAGAAGAAATTTCTCATTTCCTCTTGAAGAAATGGGGGTGCCTCTATACAAACAAGAATGCCTCAATCCTGACTTGCTTTCTAGACACTTATCTTGATAATGAAAATGCCACTGTCTCTACTCCTTCAGAGAAGTGGCCACCAATACATTCAAATGAGATGAGCAATATATTGAAAGAACTAGTAAAACATGTTAACAGTGAATTCAAATAAAAATATCTTTATAAGAAAAATTAATGAAATACATCTACCCCAACCTATCTTCATCCAAGGATTTGCTATAAAACACAAGAACAGGGTAGGAGGTGATCCAAGGTGATCCAAAAGACCTAGGGCGAAAAGCAAGAACACCTCAGAACATCAGGAAAACATTCCTCACAAATGTGGTCTCCTGTGGGGTTTATTTTGTTTTGTTTTGTTTTTTTAAGTACACACACACACACAAAAACCACTCAATTGGACTTCTTTATTGCTCTGGTGGGGTAAAAAGAACATTTAAAAAAGTACTTAGCCAAGGCTAAAGCCTGGGAACACAAGAGAAACAGGCCAAGGCTGTTTCCAGGGAAAGTGATTGAGCGTATCACTTCTAGCACAACATAGGGAATTGAAAAAGCTTCCAAGATCAGGCTCTGTGGACCTAGATTACTATAAATCCATGATTAACTAATCCATCTGATACACCTGGTGGTACCAACAAGATTTTCCAAAGACCACTGGCATGAATTTCCTCATTGTTTCCACGTGAAAGCTCTATAAGACCGGTGGAATGCTTGGGGTCGAGGCACTACTATCCTAACTCACAGACATCAGAGCTGGTGTCGTATCCCAAGTAGAGAGAGAAAAGCAAGGTCCTTTCTATGGGAGAAAGTCTCTCCCCATCACAGTTTCTGATTTAAGGCAGGATGATCTATAAGGAATATGGGATGTTTTGTATTTCCTATAATACAACCCACAGAATATGACAAATCCTAGAAGATACTAGAACTAGGTAAAAAGTCAGCAAGTTCAGGGAGTCACAGTCCACACTGGTCGCATTCAAGTATGTTTAGAGTCCCGATAATCCATTAACCATTTATTTTATGTGAGTTGGAAGGGAGATGAAGAACCTGGGCTTTCTCTTTTGTTTTCCTAATGCACTCCTCAGTCCCAAGACTGAAACCTCCAGAGGGAACCAGAACTGTCGGACAACCAACCCAAGGAAGACACATTGCGATCTGTGAATGAACACATTTATTTTCCCCAGAACATGATTCACTGCCACATTTCTCTGGCTTGATATACAGATGAATTCAGTATACTTTTTGAATCTCCATAAATTTAAGTTTGACTGAAGTTGGCAGAAAGGCTTGACTAAATTTCTGTAAAGAAATCTTTATATAATCAAATGGCATATCCAGCCCTTTCATGAAGCACATATGGATGGCGGGCACTGCAGTGTTTCTAATCATTATCTTCCAGAACAGGAACATGCCCAGAGTGGATGTGTTCTAGAGCCCAGAACGCTTCAACTTTTTTGGCCCACAGGTTCCAAAAGCCCCACAGAACCAATCAAGATCTCAAAGCAAATTAAGAGGCAGTATAATAACAGATTTATTATCATGACTTTCCACAAAATAAGGGACTCAACATTTAGTCATTTGAGTTTATCAGATGGCCTGGCTTATTCAAAAACGCCCTCTACCCAAAAGCTGGTGAAATAACAATTTTCATAAATAGCCATTTAATCTTCACCTTACATAGTATCAGCCCTGACCTCACAGTGCATAAAACTGGGAAGAGTTCAATGAATAGTCGTTGGCAAGAAGGAAAAAAGCAAGGGGAAGGAGGGAGACTGAGATGGCAGTTGCTACAGCAACAGTAACAGTGCAGAAGGAGGGGGTGGGAGGATATGCAGGTAAACAGGCAGTCTCTGATGGCAAGACAAGAAGTTGGGGTGGATGCACTGAGTATTAGGTGACAAGGCCACAAAGCTAGAGGAATGCTGAAGAGGAAAGAAGAAAAGTCTGGAAAAAAATCCTAAGCAGAAGAGGGTTTGAAAAGAAAAATCATGATTTAGTACTTTCTAAAAAGAACTCTTATGCAAACAATTGAAAACAAGAGAAGAGAGAAAGGTCAAGGAAAGAATCCTTTCCTCCAACTGCTGACTGATGAGACACGATTACAGGAAAACAGCTTGTTTCATACAGGAGCCACTCATTGAGAACATGTCCAAAAACCAAAATCACCTCTAGTTGGCAATAATATGAATGCCTCAGAACAATAGCTTTAAAATTTTTTTATAGTAACCCTTCATAATTTTATACTGCATCCTCGTACACCCACATTAATTTAGCATAAATTCATTAAACAATAATTAGCACCTACTATATGCAATGTACTTTCTATTCTATATTTTTTATTTAAGAAATACTTGTGACCATCTAAATTGATTTCATCACCCACTGGATTATTATTATTATTATTTTTTTTTTTTTTTTTTTTTTGAGACAGGGTCTCACTTTGTCACCCAGGCTGGAGTGCAGTGGTGCAATCTTGGCCCACTGCAAGTTCCGCCTCCCAGGTTCAAGCAACTCTCCTGCCTCAGCCTCCCCAGCAGCTGGGATTACAGGCGGGCACCACTATGCCTGGCTAATTTTTGTATTTTTAGTAAAGACAGGGTTTTGCCATGTTGACCAGGCTGGTCTTGAACTCTACTGACCTCAAGTGATCTCCCCGCCTCAGCCTCCCAAAGTGCTGGGATTTCAGGCATGAGCCACCATGCCCGGCCACCCACTGGATTATTGAAAGAGCTTCCTAGCTTGTCTCTGCTTTCATTTTTGGCCCATGCTTCAGTTTATCCTTAACAAAGCAGCCAGAGGAGATGCTGAACCATGAATCTAATCCTATCATTCCTTTGCTGAAAACCCTCCAGCGGCTCCCCATTTCAACTAGAGTAAAAACCAAATTCCTTATAATGCCAGCAAGGCCCTAGACAATACCCCCTACCCTCATCCTTTATGTCTGTGACCCCACCTCCTAGGACTCTCTTACCTTATTCAACTTCAACCACATGGTGCCTCTTCACTGCTCCTAGAACATGCCAGGCATGCTTCTGCTGCAGAGCCGTAGTACTTACAGATCCTGCAGCCTAGAATGTTCCTCCCTAGGTCTGAGCATAGTTCATTCATTCAGTCTTTATTCAAATATCCTCCTCAATTAGGCCTTTCCTGACACCTTATGCAGAAATACAACTTCTCCAATGCTTCCTCCCTGGCCCACTTCATTTTCCTCTACTGCATCAATCACCATCTTACATACCATATATTTTTACATATTTATTTTGTTTCCTATTTGTCTTTTCCCACTAGATGATTATCTTTTACATCTTTTCTTGGTGTATCCCATGCTTAAACGGTGCCAGACAATAATAGGCATTTGATAATCAGCTGTTGAATGAACAATCTAATAGATCATAAGCAGCAGTTTTAAAAACACTGACTTGGCCAGGCACGGCGGCTCACGCCTGTAATCCCAGCACTTTGGGAGGCCGAGACAGGCGGATCACGAGGTCAGGAGATCAAGACCATCCTTGCTAACACGGTGAAACTCTGTCTCTACTAAAAATACAAAAAAAAAAAAAAAAAAAAATTAGCCGGGCGTAGTGGCAGGCACCTGTAGTCCCAGCTACTCAGGAGGCTGAGGCAGGAGAATGGCATGAGGAGGCGGAGCTTGTAGTGAGCCGAGATCACACCACTGCACTCCAGCCTGGCCGACTGAGCGAGACTCTGTCTCCAAAAAAAAAAAAAAAAAAAAAAGAAAAGAAAAAAAAGAAAAACACTGACTTAAAACGTTTTTAAAACAAAACTAACAGGCCTGGCGCAGTGGCTCACACCTGTAATCCCAGCACTTTGGGAGGCCAAGGTGGGCAGATCACGAGGTCAAGAGATCGAGACCATCCTGGCCAACATGGTGAAACCCAGTCTCTACTAAAAATTTAAAAAATTAGCTGGGCATGGTGGTCCACACCTGTAGTATCAGCTACTTGGGAGGCTGAGGCAAAAGAATCGCTTGAACCTGGGAGGCGGAGGTTGCAGTGAGCTGAGATTGCACCACGGCACTCCAGCCTGGCAACAGAGTGGGACTCTGTCTCAACACACACACACACACACACACACACACACACACACACACACACACACAACTAACAAAGCAAAAACAGGCTCCATCGAGATTCACATGGCTCTTAACATTTGTCTACCCATGAAACCTGATCTCGAGGGGCAAGCAGCAGAACAGCATAAAATCAGATAAACAATAGTAAGCTTGGAGAGCATCTGAGTCAAAGTCCTCCTACATAGGTGCATAGGTGGAGATCTGTGGTCCACAGTGATTTATCAATGACCATCCAGGTCTCTACATCTCACATGAAGCCATGACGCCACCATACATCCTTTAAGTGAGTTAAATTCATCCATGTGCTAATCATGTAAGGATCCAACAAGATAATTTAACAGGTAAGCAAGTATCTTAATTATATCTTAGACTTTAAAGCAAGTTCCTGGCTGGGCATGGTGGTTCATGCCTGTAATCCCAACACTTTGGGAGGCCCAAGCAAGAGAATTGCTTGAGCTTAGGGGTTTGAGGCCAGCCTGGGCAACAAAGTGAAACCCTGTCTCTACAAAAAAAAAATACAAAAATTAGCCGAGCATAGTGGCACATGCCTGTAGTCCCAGCTACTCAGAAGGCTGAGGTGGGAGGATCAACTGAGCCACTGCACTGCAGCCTGGGTGACAGAATAAGACACTGTCTCAAAGAATAAAATAACATTAAAAAAAAAAGTTTCTGATATTTGCAGAAAAGAAGTTCAAAAGGAAAATTATTTAAGCTTTAAAAGGAAGCCAATTACAAGTTAAAAGAAAGTAGATTCATCTACCATGTTTCAGAAAGTGACCAGTGAATTCAGCAGGTATTAAATACATGTCCTACCCAATTATGCTCAAAAATAGATAGTGATATACTATACATATTGATGGATATATGGATATCAATAGGAAGATACATTAACTAGACTATAGAACTTGGGTCATTTTTATTTTCCTTATAGCTTTCATTTTATTTTCCAAGTTTTTCTACAATGAATATAAACTTCTATAATCAGAAGGAAATGTCTTCTCACATATACTCCCTCTTTTAAAAAGGGTCCATGGAAGAAAGCTTTGAGAAAAGTATGAGAATAGGGAATTTAGAGAGCCTCTTAATGGAAACTTCACATAATAAACTGACCCATAGGATTCTGGTACAAATGCTAAATTTGAAATCCAGTCATTATTTTAAATCCATATAATAACAGTCAAACAAAAATTTTCAAAGGTCTCTGAAATTCAATCTTAGTGTCCCTTACCATCCTTCTCAATGAGGGCAAATAATATCCCTCCTTTGGTAGATTTCTAGATACAAAACAAGTTTCCCTTGGTTAGCATTGGACATAGTCACCAAGTTAGGTCTGAAACTACACTCAGTTTTATTTCTTTCTACAGATCCACCATCCCACTTCCAAAGTATCCATAAACAAATGGGAAAGTTAAGTGATCAGAATAGAAAACAGATTCAAAACACACAAGTATTTTATGCATAATCCAGAAATATTAGCAGTGTTCTTGGAAAGTCTTCTACATATGGGCAAATTCATGGGTAAAAGAAGCCAAGATTATTATTGAGAGTATACTAAGAAGTCCCTATCTAAAATATGTGACTCCCAACACATAAAACATAAGGTCAAACCTGGAATTACAAAATAGAAAGTTCAAACTACAAAGAATTCACTGAAGGGATTATATCAACATAGATACCCCTGAAGAAGCAACAAGTTCTTCAGTAAATTTAATTTCCAAAATGTTTTCATGTATATCATATCATCTAATCCTTAAAATAATCCTATAAAATAGACAGTGTGGTTAACATCAACCTATGTTACACTGGAGGAGACCAAGGTCCTGAGTAATTATATGACTTGACCCTGACCACACAATCAAGCAGCCGAAATAGAAGCAAGTTTTTTCTGCTTCTTGGTTCAACAAGATTTCACAGAATATGCTGTGGAGATGGATTATTCCACCTATTAAAAAGAACAGCATCAGACTGCAATGCATCAGGGCCAGAAGGATTCATCTAAGTCATTCACTTCACACCCTTCCCTACAATTCAGTAATTCATTTATTCATGCATACTTTCATTTAAATATTTATTGAATACCTGCTGACTATCTTAGGCACTGTGTCACACACATGGATTCAAAGATGTTACCGTTTCCATGAACAGTGCTGTAATAAGGGGAAGATCTGCCAAGAGAGGACAGAGGAAGAATAACTGCCCTCTACTGGGGAGACAGGAGTGGGAGTAGTCACAAAAGACTTCCTGGAAGAAAAACCTAAGCTGACGCAACAGAGAGTCAAAGGTTGACTCAAATTCTTAACTGGCAAAAGAAGATAAATCTGGATATGTTAATACAGTCATGCATCGCTTAATGACAGGAATATGTTCTACGAAATGTGTTGTTAGGCAATTTTGTTGTGTAAACATTATAGAGAGTATTCACACAAACCTAGAAGGTATAGCCTACTACACACCCCAGCTATGTGGTATAACCTAGGCTACAAACCTGTACAGCATGTTACTATATGTTATTATATGGAACACCAAATGCCATAGGCAACTGTAACACAATGGGTAAGTATTTGTGTATCTAAACATTTAAAAGCCACAGTAAAAATACAGTATAAAAGATTTAAAAAAATGGTACACCTGTATAGGGTATCCACCATGAATAGCGCTTGCAGGACTGGAAGTTGCTCTGGGTGAGTCTGTGAGTGAGTGATGAATGAATGTGAAGGCCTAGGACATTACTGTACACTACCACCATAGACTATATAAATATTACACACAGGCTACGCTACATTTATTTAAAAATATTTTTCTTTCTGCAATAATTAACCTTAGTTTACTATAACTTTTTTTTTTTTTTTTTTTGAGACAAAGTCTCACTCTGTCACCCAGGCTGGAGTGCAGTGGTGTGATCTCGGTTCACTGCAACCTCCGCCTCCTGAGTTCAAGTGATTCTCCTGCTTCAGCCTCCTGAGCAGCTGGGATTACAGGCACACGTCACCATGCCCGGCTAATTTTTGTATTTTTAGTAGAGATAGGGTTTCACCATGTTGGCCAGGCTGGTCTCGAACTCCCGACCTCAAGTGATCCCTGCCTCAGCCTCCCAAAGTGCTGGGATTACGGGCATGAGCCACCGCGCCCGACCATTAGTTTACTATAACTTTTTTACTTTATAAACTTTTTTACTGTTTTAACTTTTTGACTCTTGTTATAATACTTAGCTTAAAACAGGCACATTGTGCAGCTGTACAAAAGCACTTTCCTTCTTTATATCCTTATTCTTTTTTTTTTTTTTTACTTTTTAAACTTTTTATTTTGTTAAAAACAAAGACACACACACACACACACACACACACACATATTAGCCTAGACCTACACAGGGTCAGGCTCATCAATATCACTATCTTCTACCTTCACATCTGTTCTACTAACATCTTCAGGGTCGATAATACACGTGGAACTATCATCTCTTATGATAATGCCTTCTTCTGGAATACCTCCTGAAGGACCTGCCTGAAGCTGCTTTACAGTAAACTTTTTTTAATAAGTAGGAATATACACTAAAATAACTATAAGAAATACAATACAGTAAACAGGTAAACCAGTAACACAGCTGTTTATTATCAAGTGTTACGTACTGTACATCATCTTATGTACTACACTTTTATACGACTGGCAGCACAGTATGTTTGTTTACACCAACGTCACCACAAACACATGAAGAATGTGTTGTGCTACATTATGACAGCTACATTACCAGGTGACAGGAATTTTTCAGCTCCATTATAATCTTATGGGACTTTTGTCATACATGTGGGTCCATTATTGACTGAAACATCATTATGCAGAACACACGTGTATATGGACAAATTCTCAACACATACCAATGAGTGAAAAGTCCAGTTGTAGAATGATTATATAGTAGCATACTATTTGTGTGAAAAACATAGAAGCATATGGAAATAATGCCATATATTTTTCTACGGGTACATGTATAAGCATATAAAAACCAAGAAGAAGTTCTGGAAGCATATATTATAAACTCATAATACTCACTACCCCCAGGAGAAAACATGAAGGACCAGGACTAGAAGAGGTAGTCAGAGGGGGCGTTAGCCTGTGGACAGTTTTAAAAGGAGAACATTATTACCTGTTACTTGTATTTCTTTTTCTTTTGAAATAATTATAGATTCAGAGCAAGACACAAGAAATGTACAAGAACGTCCTGTGCATCCTTTATCCAGCCTCTTCCAATGTTACCACCATCTTGCATAGCCATAGTACAATATCACAACCAGGAAAATTACATTGGCACAATCCACAGAATTTATTCAGATTTTATCAGCTATACATGCATTCATTTGTGTTAGGTGAATGTGATAACCACTATGCTATGGAAACTCGCTTGTATAGCTTGTATATGTACATCATGCATAGCTTCATGTAACAATCACTGCAATTAAGATATTTATCTGTACAATCACAAGACTCCCTCATGCAACTTGTCCTCTACTCTCATCTCTAACTCCTGGCAATCAATAATCTGTACTTATCTTGAGAATTATATCATTAATGAGGATTACATAAGTGGAATTATGCAGCATGTATTCTTTTGAGATTGGCTTTTTTTCAGTCAACAAAATTTCCTTAAAGTTCATCCAAGTTGTATCAACACAGTTAGTTCCTTTTCATCACTGAGTAGCAGTCTGTGGTATGAATGTACCACATTCACCTAATGAAGGACATGTGAGTAGTTTCCAGCTTTTGGTTATAAGGAATAAAGCTGCTATGAACATTCATGTACAAGTTTCTGTATAGAAATACATTTCATCTCTCCTAGATATAGATCCAAGAATGAAATTGCTGGGTCATATGGTAAGCTCATCTTTAATATATAAAGGAACTACAAACTGTTTCCCAGAGTGGCTATACCATTACATATTCCCACCAGCAATATGTGAGTGACTGAGTTTCTCCACATCTTTACCAGCATGGCTTGTATTTTAAAAAGCTAAACTAAGAAGTCTGTCAAAGTATTTCAAAACAAACAGAGAGATAACTAGGCATTTTTAATTTCTTTATGGATACACACATCATCAATGAAATATTTTTGTACCCATTTAAAAAAATCAAACCTGAATTTGTTCAAGCTTCTAGATCTAATACCAATTCATGGGAAAAACCTGAGTCAGAGGAATATGCTAAATTACAGTAGAAGAATGCAATCAGCATAAGCTAGAATATAAGAAATTCGTAAGACAAATAATCCAGTTTCTTCAACACATAATTTGCAAGCAAAAGAAGTGAGAGATGGCCGGGTGGGGTGGCTCACGTCTGTAATCCCAGCACTTTGGGAGGCCGAGGTGGGTGGATCACTTGAGGCCAGGAATTCAAGACCAGCCTGGCCAACATGGTGAAACCCCATCTCTACTAAAAATACCAAAAATTAGCCGAGTGTAGCAGCGGGCGCCTGTAATCCCAGCTACTCAGGAGGCTGAGGCAGGAGAATCGCTTGAACCCAGGAGGTGGAGGTTGCAGTGAGCCAAGATAGCGCCATTGCACTCCAGCCTGGGCAACGAGAGCAAAACTCTGTCTTTAAAAAAAAAAAAAGTGAGAGACAGGGGTACCTACAAACTAAAAAGACTTAGAAGTCAAATCATCCAATTGCTTTGTAAGGATTTTGAGTCCTGCTTCACAAAAACCATTGTAACAACTAGATATGAGATGGTATTAAGGAATTATTGTTACTTTTTAGGTGGAATAATATTGTGGTTATGTTTTTTTTTTAATTATCTTTTTATGGAAAGCAGTTTGGTAGTTCCTCAAAAAGTTTAATATAGGATCACCATATGATCCAGTAATTCCACTCCTAGGTGTAATATACCCAAAATAATTGAAAACAGGTTCTCAAAAAAAATTTGTTCACGAATGTTAATGATAGTATCATTCACAATAGCCAGAAGATGGGACAATCCAAACGGCTATCATTAGATGAATGGATAAACAAAATGTGTATATCCATATATGTATAATGTATATATAATAGAATATTATTTAGCCATAAAAAAGAATGAGACACTAATACATGTGGATGAATCTCAAAAACATGATGCTAAGTGAAAGAAGCCAGACAGAAGGTCACATATCGTGATGGCCAATATTAGGTGTCAACTTGACTGGACTCAGGCATGCCTACATGGCTGCTGAAGCATTGTTGCTGTGTGTGTCTGTGAGCCTGTTTCCAGAGGAGACTGAGATGTGAGTCAGTGGGCAGGGAGAACATGACCCGCCTTTAATGTGGGCAGGCATTGTTCCAGTGTAACTAGAACAAAGCTAGCAGAAAAAGGGGGATATTCAGCTTGTTGATGTTCCTTGTTCTCTTTCCAAGCCTGATGCTTTGCTTCCTCTCCTCCTGCCCTTGGACATCAGACTGCAAGTTCTTCTGCCTTTGGACTCTGGGACTTGCACCAGTGGCCTCCTGGGGGCTCTTGGGCCTTTGGCATCAGACTGAAGCCTCTACTGTCGGCCTACCTGGTTTTGAGGCTTTCAGACTTGAACTGACCACTCTACTGGCTTTTCCCATTCTTCAGCTTGCACATAGCCTATCATTCACCTTTGTAATGGTATGAGCCAATTTTCCCTAATAAACTGTCATATATATATATATATATATATATATATATATCTCCTATTGGTTCTGTTCCTCTGGAGAACCCTGAATAATTATACATAGTGTGAAATACCCAGAATAGGTAAATATTATTTTTACTATTCTGCTTTTATCTGTTTTTTGTTTTGTGTTGCTTTTTTTGAGACGGAGTTTCGCTTTTTTTGCCCAGGATGGAGTGCAATGGTTGCAATCTCAGCTCACTGCAACCTCTGCCTCCCAGGTTCAAGCAATTCTCCTGCCTCAGCCCCCCGAGTAGCTGGAATTACAGGGGCCCACCACTACGCCCGGCTAATTTTGTATTTTTAATAGAGACAGGGTTTCACTATGTTGGCCAGGCTGGTCTCAAACTCCTGACCTCAGGTGATCCACCCTCCTTGGCCTCCCAAAGTGCTGGGATTACAGGCATGAGCCACCGTGCCCACCTTAACTGTTTTTTAAATTTTTATTTATTTTTAGTGATAGGGTCTCATTCTGTCACACAGGATGGAGTGCAGTGGTGCAATCATGGCTCACTGCAGCCTCAACCTCCTGGGCTCAAGCGATCCTCCTGCCTCAGCCTCTCCAGTATCTAGGACTGCAGACTCTGCCACTACCCCACCTGGCTAATTTTTAAAAGAATACTTTTGTAGAGATAGGGTGTATGTTGCCCAGGCATGTCTTGAACTCCTAGCCTCAAGCAATCCCCTTGCCTGGGGCTCCCAAAGTGCTAGGATTACAGGCGTGAGCCACTGCACCCAGCCTACTTTTACACATATTTGAAAAAAAGTCTTACCATAAAAATTTTTAAGAAGAAAACGTCAACATTTGATTTTAAAATAAGAAAGCTGGCTGGGCGCGGTGGCTCATGCCTGTAATTCCAGCACATTGGGAGGCTGAGATGAGTGGATCACTTGAAGTCAGGAGTTCAAGACCAACCTGGCCAACATGGTGAAACCCCATCTCTACTAAAAATACAAAAAAATTAACCGGGCATGGTGGCACATGCCTGCAGTCCCAGCTACTTGGGAGGCTGAGGCAGGAGAATCGCCTGAACCCAAGAGGTGGAAGCTGCAGTGAGCCGAGATTGCACCACTGCATTCCAGCCTGGGTAACAGAGCAAGACTTTGTCTCAAAAAATAAATAAATAATTAAATAATTAAATAAGAAAGTCCATTTGATTTAGGTTTTGATATTATCTACTTCTGAATAACTGGACTTGGGGAATACGAAAGGAAGAATATGAAATGATACTTGTTTGCAGAGCTCCCCTCCATTTACCAGGCATTCCCCAGATGCTCTGGTCTGAAGCGACGTCTCTTGTCATAAAAGACATTTGTGTCTGGTGAGAAGGAATGGACGCAAGCAATCTCTGGCCTAAACCCCAAAGACCCTGGGTCTGAGTGAACTTGAGCAAATTCAACATGGACCTCTCTGATTAACCACTGCTTCCATCTTGTAAGACCAACAAAATTGCTAAATCACCTTGGGTATTTGCTAAATAATGGCAGAATCAAAGGTCCCACCCCAAACCAACAACTCAATCTCTAGGTATGGGGTCCAGGAAGGAGTGCTTCGACAAGCTCCTCAGGTGATTCTGATGCCCCTTAAAGTTTGAGAATCACTGGGTTAGGAAACCAGTGACCTGGTGTCCTCCAGTGGGCAAAACTGATTCTACACCTCCACCTTGTGGCTTAAAAGCTACAAAGCAACTTCACCAGAATACCTGGCTCTCTGCCACATAACTAATTGACGGTGGCATTCAAAGCCCAGCAAGAAACCTTACACCTCCTCTAAGGATTTATTCCTGAGATACAACATTTGGATTCATGTCATTATACTCAGGGATTAGCAGGTCCATAAACATTATAGAAAGTTAGCTTTGAAAGTATTTTCTAAAAGTTAGCTTTGACTATTTTGGGATGAGTATAACACTATATATTCATTCAATATTTACTAAGTTTCCATAATATTCCAAGCACTGTGCTAGGCACTAGAGATTAAAGATGAATAAAACACGCACCTGCCCTTAAAAATTCATAGAAAAACACAAGTAATAATACATATTAGGACAAATGCCTCCTTTCTGTGAAGCAGCTCCTGGGCACTGGGAAGGAAATCAAAGACAAATACTGGCCTACCGGGAGACAAGACATAGCATATGAATAACTAATGATGGCAAAAGCAGCAACTGAAATGTGCAACATGAATGCCACAGATCATAAGTACTTTACAGAGATTCTGAATGGAGAGATCCTTTCCTCTAGAAGTTAGGGACAGCTGCATTCATTCAACATACACTCTGTGCCAAAATAGTGCCAGGTGCCGGGGGACATGGTGAGTAAAAGCATCTTTAAGAGTATGTAACAGAGAGATCTAGCAAGGAAGTTTTCCCTGATGGATTACCATTTGATCTTGGTAACTATGACATGAACACGTAAAGAAAAATCAAGAAAACAGGAGAAAGCATCCTCTATGTGTATGTGTTTTGGGGGGTGGTGCAAAGGGAGAAGAGACGCAAGCTAAGGAGCCAGTGCAGTCAGAACCTTATGGAGAGACGGAAATGGGTATGAAATGGGGTAGGGATTTAAGCAATGAAAAGAGTGGCCAAGCACTAACACAGAGCAAAGATGTTTATGGCAGAGGGAGGGAGAGGCAGAAGAGGCAAATGGACTTTGAGATTTCAGCCAGGATGATTATAAGACAGACGATGACAATAATAAAAAAACAAAGAAGTTTAAGAAAGGAATACAGTGCTTGGGAGAAAGCAAGCTTTTTATTAAGGAGTTCAGAGGACAGAACACTTGCATGAGTACTGTAAACCTATGTATGGTAAAGATGGGTGAGTAGAAGACAGAAAGAAGGGAGTAGCTTAATAACCAGAAGGCATGCCCCCGACTAAAGCTAATCATTGTGACGAGCAAAATCCCAGTTATCTTCAGCTTTTCTGTTGCAGTTTTCTATAATACCACCAAAATTTCTAGGTCCACCTGACTCTTCTCGTTCTCTCTTTTGTCCCTTTAAGGCAGCTCTGTAAAGAGCCAGTGTTATTGCCACAGCCACTGGAATCGTAGGGAAGAAGATAAATACCCACTTGAAGACAACAGTGGCCTTGGATTCTTTTTTTAAATTTTAAGATACAACATAATACAGGCCAGGCGCGGTGGCTCACACCTGTAATCCCAGCACTTTGGGAGGCTGAGGCGGGTGGATCATGAGGTCAGGAGATTGAGACCATCCTGGCTAACAAGGTGAAACCCCATATCTACTAAACATACAAAAAGAAATTAGCCGGGCGTGGTGGCGGGCGCCTGTAGTCCCAACTACTCAGAAGGCTGAGTCAGGAGAATGGTGTGAACCCGGGAGGCAGAGCTTGCAGTGAGTTGAGATCGCGCCACTCTAGCCTGGGAGACAGAGCAAAACTCTGCCTCAAAAAAAAAAAAAAAGATACAACATAATATGATAACATGCACTAATTCTAAGGGCATTGCTCAATAAAAATTTATATAGGTATACAACCATGAAATTGCCACCCAGATCAAGATATAGAACCCCAGAAGTTTCCCTCATGCCTTCCTTAGTCAATACCTTACCCAGAGGTAACCACTATTCTGACTTCCATAACTTGCCTGTTCTTGAGCATCATGCAAATGGAATCACAGAGATTCTTTTGTATTTGAATTCTTTTATTCAATATTATGACCGTGAGATTCATCCATGTCAATGTGTATATTTATAGTTTGTTGTTTATTTATGTTTGTGTAATATTCTATTGTATGGCTATTCCACAGTTTATTTATCCATTTTCCATTTTCTTTTGATGGATATTTAGGTTGTTCCTAGCTTGTGGCTATTATAAATAAAGCAGCTGTAAATGTTCCTGTACATGTCTTTGGTGGAAATAGGTACTCATTTCTCTTAGATATACTTAAGAGTGAGATTGCTGGGTCATGGAGTTATGGTGTTTAGCTTTAGTAGATACTGACAAATAGATTTCCCTAATGGTTGTACCAATTTGTACTCACCTAAAATGTATGAGTGTTTCAGTTGGTCCATACCCTTGTTAACACCTAATACTATAAGTCTTTTTAATTTTAAACACTCTAGGTGTATACTGACACTCATTGTGGTTTTAATTTGCACTGCTCTCATGAGTGATAAAGTTCAGTACTTTTCAAATGCTTATTGGGTATTTGGATATTTTCTTTGGTAAAGTACCTGTTCAACATTTCTGCTCATTTTTTAAATTGATTTTTTGTTTTTTACTTACTGATTTGTACTTCTTTATAAATTCTGGATATTCTTAATGTATGTATTATGCTTTTTTTTTTCTGATCTGTTCTTGGCTCATCTTTTCACTTACTTTTTTTTTTTTTTTTTTGAGACAGAGTCTCACTCCGTCACCAGGCTAGAGTGCAGTGGTGCAATCTCGGCTCACTGCAACCTCCACCTCCTGGGTTCAAGCCTCCTGCCTCAGCCTCCCAAGTAGCTGGGATTACAGGCACACAACACCACGCCCCACTAATTTTCCTATTTTTTTTTAGTAGAGACAGGGTTTCACCATGTTGGCCAGGCTGGTCTCAAACTCCTGACCTTGTGATCCAACTGCCTCGGCCTCCCACAGTGCTGGGATTACAGGCGTGAGCCACTGCGTCCAGTCCTTTTCACTTACTTAATAGTGTCTTTGGCCAGGCATGGTGGCTCACATCTGTAATCCTAGCACTTCGGTAGGATGAGACAGGAGGACTGTTTGCACCCAGGAGATCGAGACCAGCCTGGGTAACACAAAGAGACGCTTTCTCTAACAGAAACATTTAAAAATTAGCCAGGCATGATAGCATGAGCCTGTGGTCTCAGCTACTTGGGAAGCTGAAGTGGGAGGACTGCTTGAGCCTTGGAGGTCAAGGCTGCAGTAGCCATGATCATGCCACTGCACTCCAGCCTGGGCAACAGACCAAGACCCTGTCTCAAAAAAAAAAAAAAAAAAAAAAAAAAAAAGTGGTGTCTGCTGTGTAAAAGTTCTTAATTTTAATGAAATCCAATGTGTCAATTTTTTCTTTGATGTATAGTGTTTCTGAGGTTTTAAGAAATTTAAGAAATCTTTGTCTACCCTGATGGCCTTGCATTCTGAAAGGAAAGAGGCTAATTCAGGGCAGCCTCATTCATTAAAGTTTCAACAAACATCAGAGCATGAGTGCCTTTTCCAGCCTTTGACATTAAGCCCCTGGGCTTTATTTTCCTATAATGGTATGAGCAACCCTCAAATGCAATGTGGCAGAGATTGTCTGGCTTGTTCAGAAGGCAGAGTTTCATTTAATCTGGTCTCTATAGAAGTAGGATTGGCCCAGGCCCCAAAAAACAGACAGTTAACTGAGAGGTCCCCAAACCCAGAGAGAACCTAAGAGCAATTTCCCGATAGTAGGAACTTGCTCTCATTGCCCATTTTCAGATGTGTCATTTACACAAGTGAAAGCACCGTCTTATAAGATAAGTCTTTATAGGGATTCTCGGCTTGCCCCAGTTTTATTATTGAGTGGGGAAAAAACCACTCTCTTTATTATCCTTGTCAAAGCAAGACACTGTTATCTGTCATAGAACTAACAGTTCCTGACAGAAAATAAAGAGATTGGAAGGGAGAGAGGTAGTGAGTAAGCAGACAGCTAAAACCGGCAATGAAAAGGATGAGACAAGTAGAGTGAGAGCAGGGGAAACTTTTGCTTTTCCTGAATTCTCTAGACATTAGAGGATCTCAGTTCTGAAAAGTGTTCAGAGGGCACTGCAACAGCCCAAGATAGATATAACTGGGACACTGGCAGTGAGAAAGGAGGTTACCTGTGAAAACAGCAGAAATCATCTAAATGAAATAAATGAAACCTTGTCAGAACATGCAATGTACACTTGTAAGTGTGAAATGTTTTTTTATCCAGTCACCTACACTCAAGCCTCTCCTCCCCAGTGACCACTCATCACCACTAAAATCCCTAAAGCAGAACTTTCCAACTCCAGTGTCTACAGGGTCAGGCAAGTAATGTAAATGAGGGATACACCTGTATTAAGACATCAAGAAGTGGTGGGACCCTTAACTAACATCATAAAGGTTTTGGCTGACTATTGCCATATGAGAATAAAGGTCCGACAATATCAGATCTTTTGTCTTTTTCAAGAGATGTAAGAAACTACAATTTTACTTTGTAATTTTTCAAACTCTAGTATATCAGGTAGACCAAAATATCTCTGTGGGTTGAATTTGGTCTATAGGCAGCTAGTTTACAACCTCTGTTCTAAAGTGTTGCAGCAAAATAAATAGTATATGCAGATTTCCAGGGTTATAAAAGGTAAGAAGTTTGAACAGGTTCTAGGCCATGAGACAGTGAAAAAGGGTTTAACTTTCAGGGACAGGAAGTCTAAAGGACTCAGACTTCAGAGTATGACAGGTCCATATTGGAAAAATTTGAAAGGAATTCTGAAAAAGTTCTATTGTAAGGAGGCACAGATGAAAGAAAACTAGAATGTACAGGGACCCTATGTGATTTAGTAAGAGAGGGAACTGGGTGTGGTGGCTCATGCCTATAATTCCATCTACTCGGGAGGCTGAGGCCTAGGCAACATAGTGAGATCCTGTCTCTAAAAATAAAAACTAAAAAAAAGAAAAAAACAGGGGAAAGGGGAAGGATGATATATATGTATACACACACACACACACACACACACACACACACACAAATAACACACAAGTTATTTCACCTCTCTGTGCCTTGATTTTCTTAAAATAAGAATAATAGAAGCTACCTCATAGGGTTATCATAAGGATTAAATGAGGTAATTATTCATATGATGGTCAATACTCCGATGGCACGTAATGCTTAATAAATGTTAGTTATTATTTATTATTATGAGACACTGAGAGGTGAAGTAACTTATTCAAGATCACATGCCTATTAAGGTGTACTACCTGGATCTGTAACCAAGAAGTATGGCTTCAGAGCCTATACTTCCTACACTAAACCATCAAGCTCTTCTTCCTCCCCTTACCTCACTGGGCTAGTTTCTTATTCTTAATCTGTACAATGAGGAAGTCTGATCATATTATAATTCAAGTCTTCTTTAGAGCTGACATTTTTTTTTTCTGCCAGCCAGCCCTCTAATCAGCTTATTTCAGGGCAGCAGTGGGACAAAAATGACTCTCCTCCTATACCTTCAGGCTACCAAGTGGAGAGGTATAGTGTAGGCTTGGGGTAAGACAGGGAAATCATTCAAGCATTGACTAATACATAGGTTAAGCCAGGAAGGAGAAGGTGTTCAGGGTGAGACCTTCATCACTGCTCCAAGGAGATTATCTGTTTCTAGGACAGCAGGCCCTGAATTCACCCACATGCCTGTGCAATTACAAGCTAGAAGTCATTTAAAAACCTGATAAGGAACCACAACAGGTTTAAAACCTAGGGTAATCAGAACACCAAGCAACTCTTATCCTTTTGGAGTCAAGGGTCTCTATGAGAACTTGGTAAAAACTTTCTACCATCCCTAGAAAAAATATGACATGTGTTCACTCAGATACACAAGCCATACAATTTTACCTGCAGTTATAGGGGATTCACAAATTCCTTAAAATCTCTCCCTACACTTGAAGTATCCCTGAAAAAGTTCTATCGTGTTCCAGGCTTGTCCTCCCAACAGATTTAGAGTTGCCCCAAAATCTAGGTTGGGGTTTCTAGGCAGCTGTGCTCAAGAGACAAATTATCTATTGCAACTCAGCATAACTAATCCTACATGGAAAAGAAAAAGGGTGGTCTCTTCCCCCAAACCAACTTGTACTGAGGGAATTCTAACAGAAAAGATCTGTAATTTCATCCCCAAACTCCAGTGGATGCTAAGTTAAGAAGAGTTCCAAGGATATTTCATCCCCCTTTTCTGCCTGACACCCATAAAACCTTGTAGAACCTTAGAAGAGTTGAAATAAATGCAAAAACATCCTAGTCCCCATGGCACTATGCTCCTTCTTTTATTCCAAAAAGAAATTAGTCATGATTGTCAATTAGCCCTACTGGGCAACTTTTCTCCTATATGGGCTCTGAAAACCGTAGGTTATCAAAGAAACTATAAAACCTTACCCATAATTGAAGAAGAACTCAAAACAAGATATCATTTTTCCCCCATAATACTAGCAATAGTTCAAGTGTTGGTGAAGGTCTGGAGACACATGCAATCTTATACACAGTTGGCAGATTTGTAAGTTAGTACAGCCTTTGGTGGTGGGGCTACAATTTGACAGTTTCTATCAAAAGTTTAAAAACATGCATCCTTTGATGTAGCAAAGTCCGTACAGATATTT
The DNA here is from genome assembly GCF_000001405.40 of Homo sapiens. Lineage (NCBI taxonomy): Eukaryota > Metazoa > Chordata > Mammalia > Primates > Hominidae > Homo > Homo sapiens. Next base: position 69,114,240 of record NC_000014.9, read on the forward strand.
TTGCAAAAGTAGGCCTGGTTATAAAGATAGATTTATAACCAGGTTAAATGTAACATTGTTTATAATGACCAAAAACTGGAAACAAGAAGCCCTGGTTGTTGGGTACATCATATAAATTGAATGCCATATAGTCATTAAAAGAAGGGGCTAGATCTGTTAGTGTTGGTATGAAAAAAGGCTCCAAAACATATTGTTAATTTAAAAAAGAAATCGAGAACAGTGAGTATTACTACGTGCTTCCTTCTGTCTCAATTTTTTTAAAGGATGCATATGCATAGTCGTATATACATTACATTAAGTTCTGGAAAGATAAGAAACTGTTCACTGTAGTTACCTCTGGAGTGACTACAGACACTAGAAAGAAGCAGAACTGTACTGATAGACAAACATTTTAAAAACATACAAGTAACAGAGATAATCTGGAGATGGAACTTGTTTTTTTGTTTTTATTTTTTTCTGCATAAAACCCCCAAACCAATAAATGTCACTGTAAAAATACAATAATCATCATCACTTTCAATTCTTTTAACAAGAAAGAAACTATATTTATTAGTGAGGAGACAAGTGGAAAGTGGGGGAGGGCCCATATAATGCACGGTAAGAAACTGGTGGAAGAGAATGGGAGAGAATTGGGAGAATTAAAATATCCACACTCCCCTCCTCTCTCAAGACACTGCAGACACCATGAATTGCTCAAGCTTTCCACTGGAGATAAACAGCTCAGTGCCCCACTCCAGTTGCCAGCTATTCATTGCAATTATAAGTAGGAGAGATAGTAGGTTGAGAGAAGGCTGGTGCAGTTTGTCCAAATCCTGCCTTTTGTAATACGGATGAGGCAGAACAGTTGTTCCTAAAGAGCCTGAAGTAGCAGAGAACACTGCAGATGAACACAGTTGTCTTCTTGGCAGACAGCAAGCCTCCTAAAGTTCATAGTGCAAAGGCACATCAGGGGTCCTGCCACTACACACATTTCAATAGACTGTAAAAGCAAGAGCCAGGTGCCTACGCAACAGAAGGGGCAGGAGAAATCTCTGCTGCCCTGAGGAAGCTTAGGGAGCCTTGCTCAATGACAGGGACACACCTCTGGGCTACACCGATCTGCTACAATAGTTCCAACCATCTCTTACTGCCCCATGGAGAGAATCACCTAGGAGTAAAAATCATCAAGGAAGATAATCTTCTGTACTTAACTACTCCTTTCATCTGAGGCCCGTGAAATAAATTATAACATCACTTAGTTTCCATGATATTCTTCTGCAACACTGCTTTATGAAGTGGGAAATTACATCTATGCAGAATTTCCAGAGGAGCTAGCTAGCAATACACGGAAGTTTTTTAATACAGCATGGCCAACTTTATGTACAGGTGCCATAAAAAGTAGTCCCTCCCCCATGGGACTTAAGGAACATAAAAGAGCCTGCTACTCACCCCCATTCCCACATCCTTTAATGATGCCTGAGATTCCCCCATTAGTGATTCATGCCATCATTCAGGTTTGTCTTAAGTATGCTCTTTTCATAGTGCCATGTGGAGAAACACATGAGGTCCTGAACACCACAGTGCAATGGCTCTTAACCTTTTGTTGTTGTCACTATAAAGGTCATTAGTCCTTTTGATAAACAGAAAATGCACTTATTTGAATATACAATATATAATTTTCATATAATTTTGGCAGTTCAGTATTTTTTAAGCCCTCTTAGGGATCCCCTCCAACCTAGGCTTAAGAATCCCTGACTCAGCAGCAACAAGTTTGGCAAATCTCCACCTCCACCTCCTCCCCTCCACCCACCCCACACCAAGAGCTCCTATGCATCTGGGGAACCCTGGGTCTGAAGAGAGAAGGCAATACTAAAGGGATGCTCTGACTACTTCAGATAATTGCCTAAAACTCACCCTGTCTACAGTCCAGATTACTGTTTATGATTCCTCCTCAGCAAGGAGTACGGATTTGTCGCTGTCTATTCCTTGGAAACAAGCTCTCCTGGCTTGAGAGACACTATATATCTTAAGAAATGCCCAGCAGAGATAACTGCCAAAGAGGTCCTTACAACACTTACTGGCTGGTCACATTACCTGAGAAATGAGGCAGAGGAAAGTTTTAACACCTATGAATAAAGGGGGCTCACCTCTGAGGTTTTCGAATGTCCCAGAGTCCCACTCCTTCCTTTGAATTGGCTGTGGCCAACAACCTGGGCTCCACAGGGTTAAACATGACACTATGAAAGGCTGATGGATAGTTTGCCAGGCAGAAGGGCTCTGTGGAAAGAAAAATTATAATCAGTTCACTCCAGGTACCTGTGGGCCACTGGCAGGCAGATAATCAGGAATGTGAATACAGGTCGGAGCACTCTTTAATAACCACTCCAACGGCCTGGAGCCCCAAAACAGCACATAATCCCACCAGTCACCTCTACTTACAAGGTCCCCATGAGTCCTATACATAGCAAGGTAAACACATTTAACCACATTTTAAGCTATAACACCCAGAAATATATATAGCAGCTATCAGATCTTGACACAAAACAGAAACGGCCACTAAAAATGGGAAAATAAGCCATTTTACAGTAAGTAAAACTGAATTCCACATGAGCTGAAAAAATTCACAACCAAGTATGGTAGGGTTATTATGCTTTTAATCCAATTGTATTAGTTTTAGAAAAGTTTTTAAACCATGCACAGATTTGATGAAGATTAAAAAAAACAATGACAAAATTAAGACGTGGTGAAACACAATGGTGTGGTTTTTCTCTTCTGGTTCACAATGCTCCCTAACATCTAGCCAGTCTGTAATCAACTTCACCTAGAAACCCTGCAACATTTTACAAAAATTAGCAGGTTCCAAGTGAGGAAGAAATCACTTAGTTACCTAGCAGGATATACTCCTATGGGACCTGTTAGAGTAATACAAAGAAAGCACTTCTCAGTCTATGACCTCCATATGCAGTATTTCACAGGTCTCTGAGCAGGTAAAGCACTCAGTCATCTCTGCCATCAGGCAGTTCAGACGAAGGAGAATTTCACTTACCAAGCCCACAGTGACTCGACCACAGCTGCTACTTCGTGCTACCTTACCTGCCTAACCCTAAAAACAAGCTTCTCTTATAGCCTGAACCTAAATAATGAGCACAGCCCAGAATGTAAAATGTTTAGAACATAGAAAAGTTAAAAGACCCAGATCCTGCCAGACAGAGCAGGCAGGATAGTAAATTTAGGTACACAGCTGTGATCATTACAATCTGCACTAAAGGCCACGGTGGGTATGGCAGTGGCACTAAGGCTGGTACTAGAGGAAGGGGCCTTTTGAAGACAGGTAGAATTACAGAAATCTCTCTGTAGGAAATGAGCTGAGAAGATGCATTTCCTGAAGAACTTCAGAGAAAGTCAACAAAGCAACTTCTTCATTTCACACATCAGAGAGTCAAAGGGCACATTCAGAGGAGGCACTCACACGACAATCCCCTTTAAACAGAGTTTATTTGCCATCATTTTAAGATCCTATACACAGGTAATTTGAGATTCGGTGGTTCTTTCAACAAAATAACAAGCCTGAAACTAGGATGCAGGAAAGTGCATAACGCCCCCATTCTCTGTAAATAATCAAGAATAGTTACATGTCAGCACCACAACTTCTGCTCCTTGGGGCACTAAACACCAAAGTACAAGGGTTTGTGGAGAGTCACAGGAGGGTGGAGAAGGACTGGCAAAGGTGCCTCACTCCTGAGTATTTAGGTGGAGGATAAGGCCTCCAAAGACCTCTTATGCCCCCATGTGAGTGTTTCACATTTCCTTTCCCTTGACATCACTTGCACATAGATACTGAGGTAATAAATTGGATCTTCAATGAATCTGACATCAAACTGTTCAACACAGTCCAACAGTCATTTGCACAGTGAGCCTACCTCCATGGGGGGATTCCCGAATGTCCCAAATGAGAACCCGGCCATCATCTGAGGAACTGGCAAAAATGTTGTCATTCACTGGGCTCACAGACAAGCCATATACTGCATCTTCATGAGCAAACACGTCCAATGTCTCACTGCTGGGAGATAAGAGAGCAAGACAGAGGCACACACATACACACAAGCATAGTGCAGAGTCCCAGCACTTTGGTACCGAGGGTGCCATCTTTTCCATTTCTAGAAGAAAGTCAACCTAGCTAAACCCAAAAAATATTATATTTCCTGAAAGGTAGGTAGTCAACTTTCAGGTTAAAAAAAAGGTACTATTAAGGAGTCTTTTTAGAGATTTTATAATTTTTGTGCTAAATAAGCATATTTAAAAGTGACTCAATAGCTGAGTTTTGTATTTTCATTTATTACAGAATGCATCTGCTTGTGTACAGATTTGGGGGTCATACTTGATTTTCAAAAAGCAAGGGAAAGCTTTAAAGCAGCCAAGTCTGATGCCTACAGGATGGGAGAGGGGTCTCCTAGCAATCTGGCATGGTGATGAAGAGCATGGCTCTGAGGCCAGATAGCCTAAGTTCAGGTTTTAGTACCACCTGACCTTCTGTTATCTAACATGTCTGTGACTCCGTTTCCTGATCTAGAACGGAGATGACAATAGTATCTCCTCAGAAAATGAGTGTGAGGATTAAATGAATGAATATGTACAAAGCATTTACAATGGTGTCTGGCACATAGTAAGAACTCAATCAATATTAGCTATTACTGTTCTTAAATATTATGGTTCCTTCTCTTCTAAACTCTTGTTTTAAATTTTCACCTAAAAAGTACACTCTCATACCAACTTTCAAAACTTTCAAATCCCTTTTTCCTTTTTAAATCAAAACTTTATTTATTTCAAACTATTGTAGGAATTTTTTTAGAAAAGAACAGCTGGTTTCATGTTGTTTTTTTCAAAAAACAAAAACTATTTTAGTCTAAAGAGATATTTGCCTCTTCATATATGAAAAACAAAGTCAATCACCTTCACACACCACCAATCTATTTACCTTTCAACATCATGGAGGATAACTTGCTCATCATTGCCTGCAAAAGAAAAAAGCAGACATCTGATCATTCGTGCAAGGTGGTCCCTGTCCACATTACAATTTAGTATTTTTAAGTTTTCAGGGAAAAAATATGAACAAAGCCAATGCTAATACAAATTAGAAGTGTTAACTGGAAAAAAGATTTATAGAAATAATTTAAGAAGGATAGGACATTCTTACAGAGAATTTTTAAAAAATAATGGCATCCAAGTATAACACAGTAACAGTTCCCAATGTGTATTATCCAGTGGATGATGTAAAAAAAAAAAACAACTGTGGCTACAACCTGGGCAACATAGTTAGACTCCATCTCTATGAAAATAAAAATAAAAAAATTAGCCAACTGGTGGCACACCCTTGAAGTCCCAGCTACTAAGGAGGCTGAGGTGGAAGAATCGCTTGAGGTCAGGAGTTCAAGGCTGCAGTGAGCTACGATCGCACTCCAGCCTGGGCAACAGAGAGAGACTGTCTCAAAAAAAAAAAAAAAGTAGGGGGGAAACAACACAAAACAAAACTGTGGCCATCAAGAAAAACACTAAATGATCATTGACAAATCAATTCACTAGCTTTATTTTTTTTCTTTTTCAGCAGAACACTCACTAATCATGAGACCTGCAATAAAATCTTTAGCATTTCTATGACCTAACTTTTTAACCTACAGAATAGGGATAATAACATCATAGAGTAACTGTAAGCATAAGAGTACATCTGTAAAAGCATTCAGAATAGGGCTGATCACTTAATAAGCCCCCAATAAATGTTTGTTAATATTTCTATCCTCATGGTCTTTTAAAAATGTTTCTTTCTTTCTTTCTTTTGAGACAGGATCTTGCTCTGTTTGTCTTTTAAAAATTTTTCTTCTTTCTTTCGAGACAGGATCCTGCTCTGTTGTCCAGGCTGGAGTGCAGTGGTGCAATCATGGTTCACTACAGTCTTGACCTCCTGTGCTCAAGCAATCTTCCCACCTCTGCCTCTCTAGTAGCTGGAACTACAGGCATGTGTCACTATGCCTGGCTAATTAAAAAAAAAATTTTTTTTGTAGAGATCTAACATGTTGGGGTCTAACTATGTTGCCCAGGCTGGTCTCAAACTCCTGGGCTCAAGCAATCCTCCTGCCTTGGCCTCTCAAAGTGTTGGGATTATTACAAGTGTGAGCCACCATGCCCAGCCTCATCATCTTTTATAGCATGAAAATTTGATGACTGTGATTCCAAATGATGTGAAAGTTTTAATCTTGTATTTCTCCTTATTCTATCAAAGGATATAAATTATATTCATGATATGTGTAGTCCTGCCTTCAAATGGTTTGTATAGCAAAAAAATTAAAACCTGAATATAAGAAGACAAAACATGAAAAAAGTCCCACTCTATGCTAAAATGCACAACCAACAGTCACTTAAATAGAAAGCAAAAGTAGCAGTAAAGATATGGCCCAGGGCATCTTAAACAAAGGCCTGGCTGTAAATTCTACTGTAGGTACAAACCAATGAAATCAGTAAACCCATACTAATGCCTTCTAGGTATCAGGTACAGTGCTAGGTCTTGGGTATATAAAAAGAATAAGATTCTACTCTGTCCTTGAGAACTCCAATTGGACTTGAGAACAGTCCAACTGGACAAACAACTAACAGCAACAAGAGGGTTTGCCTTGCAGCAATATGATCTAGCTATGGGGTCAATTATTTCCTTCATAAGCAGGGTGAAAGTACATGGAGAAGGAGACCTTTGAAGAGAAACTCAAATAACTCAAAACTCTTACCAATGAAAGGCTTAGGGGAATTGGTGGGGACTGGACAATTAAGGTGGAAGAACACCATGAACAAAAGGCACAAGGGCAAAATAGTACCATGCAGTGCATTCTTAAAATGACAAATAGTTTGGTGGGCTACAGTGTATAACTCAGGGAAGGGAGGTCAGGCCAGACAGATAGATTGGGATTTAGACTTCATTCTTCAGGCACTGTAGGCTCAATGGTTCACATGGTCCAGTCTTTATTTTTAAAAGTAAACTTGTGTATGCAATGAATTCAAAGGAGAATTAGAGAGTGGTAACAGAAATCACAGAAGGCCATTGCAAAAATCCAGGCCAAACTAACGGATGAGTATGAGAGGCTTTCAAGATAGACCTGACAGGACTTGGTGACAGACTAGATGTGTAAATGTAAGAAAGGCAGGTTTGAGGATGACTCCAAGATCATAGGTAGAATGAACCATGTGAAACTGCTACTTTTTAAAGTTGAAAATGGTTAATTGTCAGCAATTTCTTAAAGTTAAACCTAATAGCTTATATAATTGGGTGAATGGTTGTAACTGAGAAAGAAAATCCAGCAGACAAGAAGAAATTTTCACTCAGGGGAGGACTAATGATCTTGGTTTTAGATCTATTGTATTTAAGTTGCTTTTGGAACACAGGTAGATATCCAGTGGGAAAATCTGCAGCTCAGAAAAGAGGTCAGAACTAGAAATGTGGGGTCAGAAGGAGTATGGTTGATGGAAGCCATCACCAAGAGGTTGGTGTGAGCACCAGCCATTCCAATTGTACCCTAACACAACACTTTTCAAACAGGAGCCATCTGTGGGTCAGGACATTCATCTGCGTTATGGCCAGCATAATCTTTAAAAATGAAATCGAATAGAATAAAAAAAAACCAGAGTGTGCCACAAATAGGAAGGTTAAGTATTGTTTCAAATATGTGTGTGTGTCTGTGTGTGTTTCTGTGTACCAGACTGCAATGTGAAAAGTTTTCTGCCAAAGAGAAATAAAGAAAAAGACAGGTGAAGAAAAGCAAAAAAAAGAGAAGAGAGAAAAGACACACACTATCCTAATATATAATACTGCTGTAATGCAGAAAAGACAAGCTATGAGAAACCAGTAATTCCACAGCTCAATGAAATACAGGAAGAAAAATAAGGAGTTATTTTCGCACTCTTTTCTCTAAAATCCCAACCACAGTGACGTTCCCAAGGTAGAATCTCCCTTTTTACCTCCAGAGAACACTTTAGTGTTCCCACTGTTGAAAGCCAGGCAAAAAATGTTGGAATGGTGCTCTCCTTTCAGCTGTATGGGCTTGACCCTGGAGTGGATGGCTTGTTCCATGTGCCATAGCAGAACCCGGCGGTCATCTCCTCCTTAAGAAGGAAATAAGAATCTGTGCTTAAAACAGCTGACATCGCAAGGCTGACAGATGGTTTTGCCAGCCTTGAATCCCATCCTTTCCAAAACTGCACCTCCCCAACTCCATAAGATTCGCATGGAGCACAAAAACCCAGGACTCTCCCTGCTTCACCATCAATAGGCACGTGTTCTCTAGGCCATTCATCTCTCCCAGGAATTGAATCTTAAGCAGACATAGAAAATGAAAGGGATAAGCACTGATATTGAGACTCCTAAAGCCACCCTGTTCCTGTCTTTCCAGAGTTGTTTAAATATTTCTTCATTTGCTACCTAGAACCCCTTCATGGAAGTCCTTTTTTGTTTGTTTGTTTAATAGAACCTGAGATGACTTCCAGGGCTTGCAATCAAAGAACTTTAAAGTAATATTTCTAGCATAATGGTTTTCAAAGCAATCTTCTTGATATGATCTCATTGATTGTGGAACACCATACAAATGATAACTAAGAAATCACCTGACTCTTACAGTAATAGGATCTAGACAGAATATGGCTCAGCCCAGCTCTTAACTCTGCGTAACTTTGGGTCTAAGTTGGTTGTTATTGTTTTTTCCCATTTTTACTTTTTACTTTTACTTTTTTTGCATTGACTTTTTATAAGAAGGCTATACTATTTTCCTAATAAAAATTTAATTTACAACAGCAGCAAACCATAGCAAGCTCTACACCTCCACCTCCCTTACTCCATTCAATGAAAAATGCAGCCACAAATGATAGCACATCCATACAAGGGCATACTATGAAGCCATTAAGTTGTTAGATCTATACAAAAGCTAATGCAGAAAGATGTCCAAAGATACCCGTTAAGGGGGAAAATGAGGTATAAAACAGTATGTAATCCATTTGCATAAAACAAAATTTTTAAAAGCTCCATGACAGCAGAAACCTTGTCAGTTTTGTTCACTGGGAAATACCTGGCACCTACATGAGTGCTCCAAGGAATGAGCATTGACAGTATGCTTATACTCGCATATCTATGCATTGACAGTATGCTTATACTCGCATATCTATGCTTGTATTTGCATAGCCCTATCTAGATGGCTATAAAAGAAGCTGTTTATAGTGCCAACTATAACTGGTAGGCTGGTGTTGGGAGACTTTTTATGGTGGTAAAATATATATATATACATGTAACTTACCATTTTACCCATTTTCAAGTGTACAATTCAGTGGCATTAAGTACATTTGTGCTGTTGTACAGCCACTGCCATTATTCACCTTCAGAAATTTTTCATCATCCCAAACTGAAATACTGTACCCAATAAACAATAACTCCTCCCAGTGCCTAGTCACTGTTCTTTTTTTTTGAGACGGAGTCTCGCACTGTTGCCCAGGCTGGAGTATGCAGTGCAGTGGCGCAATCTCGGCTCACTGCAACCTCCACCTCCCAGGTTCAAGCGATTCTCCTGCCTCAGTCTCCTGAGTAGCTGGGATTACAGGCTCCCACCACCACGCCCAGCTAATTTTTCGTATTTTTAGTAGAGAAGGGGTTTCACTATGTTGGCCAGGCTGGTCTCAAACTCCTGACCTCATGATCCACCCACCTCGGCCTCCCAAAGTGCTGGGATTACAGGCGTGAATCACTGTGCCCGGCCAAGTAGTCACTATTCTACTTTCTGCCTCTATGGATTTGTCTACTCTAGGAACCTCGTATAAGTCAAATCACACAGTATTTCTCCTTCTAGGTCTGGCTCACTCCCTTAGCATAATGTCTTCAAGGTGCATCCAGGTCGTGGCATGTATCAGAATTTCCTTGCTTTCTAAGGCTGAATAGTATTCCATCGTATATATATTTGTATGCATATTTTGTTTATCCACTAATCCATCAATGACCATTTGGGTTATTTCCACCTTTTGGCTATTGTGAATAATGTTGCTATGAACACAAGTGTACAAATAACTTTTTGAGTCCCTCCTTTCAATTTGGGTATATACTGTTGGAAAACTTTTACTTTCTACCTTCCTATACTGCTTGACTTTTTGCCACAGCAGATTTCTTCTTATAATAAAAAATAGAAGATACAGAAGCCAAATCATACTTATTCTCCTGCTCCTAGAAAGAAATTGTCTTTGCTACTTGAATTCCTTTGTTTCTTGAATTTCTTCTTCCTTCCATTGTCAGTCCAAATCAAGTCGTCCACCAAACTGATGTCTTAAGTGTGGCCCACAGTGTTCTCTTTATGATTGGCCTATTTCAACTATGAGTTCTCTGGCCTAGGATAGTATCTAAATTATGTATTTCTTACAAATTTACCATTCTGTAAAACATCAAGCTAAGGTCATGAAAATCATGGTTTGGGTTTTTGTCACTTTATTTTAATGAAAAATGCACAAATGGTTTTCCACACTGCAAACAGACTTAGGTATGGGCACTTTAGTTCTCTATAGTCTCCACTCCTATGGTTTTCTCCCAACACTGAGGCTGTGAGTCAGTGACTTATCACTGCTTCTGCTACTATATTTTTTTTTAATTAGATAAGTATTTCTCTATACTTATGTCTCTAGCAAAAGCAAAAAGTTAAAAGAGAGGCACACGTTTCTTCTACTTGCTCATGTTTCTGACCTAATCTCCCTCTGCCTCAGTTTCATCAAACATAAAATGGTAATCATAATACTTCTTCTACCTCATTGGTTTTATAGATGATAAAGCCAAGTACAAAAGAGTAATATGCCAACATCACACAATAAAGTCATTGAGCTAAGATTCAAAAGCAAGCAGTAAATATTCTATAGCCCCGACTCTTAACCACTATTCTATACTGCCTTATTGAACAAAAAATGAACCATAACTGACAAAGCAAATTCATTCTGATGGACAGTTGAAGGGATTGTCCGCCTTAGTAGCATAACTCATAAATGTTAAGTAAGAATAAAGGGAGCCCAGAAGTAAAAACAGAAGCTGACTTAACTCCAGCAAACTGGCCCCTGGAGTAAACTGAAGGACCAGAACAGGACTGCCTGAATTTATAAGAATTCTTGCAGTGCACAAAACTGGTAATGGCTTAATGTCTAGAAGATGCAAAGAATTTCTACAAATAATTCTTAAAACTCCAATAGGAAAAGAGGCAAAGAATACAACCATTCAGAAAAGGAAACCCAAATACCAAACATATTATAGAAGATCTCAAATTCTATATGGTATCAGGGAAATGTACGTTATAATTTAGACAGATTCTCACAAAGTGGCACAAGGGAATGTACAAGAAAGTTCACTGAAGCATTGGTCATAATATCAAGAAAACCTATATACAACATAAATATCTAACAATTCAGGAATGGAAAAATTCCACTGGAATATAAAATAGGTGGAGTCTAAACACAATGGAACATCATACAGCAGTTAAAGTGAACAAGAAACATGTAAACAAACATGAATAAATATTGAAAACCTAATGGTAATAAAAGCAAGTTTCGAAAGGATATGAAAGGGATAATATCTAAGCATGTATTTTTAAATATACAAAACAATACTTTATATTGTTTATGGATAAACACACATAGTAAAAGAGGCTTTTAAGTGTATCTGTAGTGTTTCTTTAAAAAAAAATACAGAAGTGATTTTAGCAAGATTGTGAGATATAAGGTTAATATACAAAAGTCCATCACTTTCCTATATACCGGCAATGAATAAGTGGAATTTGAAATATAAAATATTTAGGTATAAATTTAACAAGATTTTACAAGATCTACATAAGAAAAATTATAAAACTCTAATGAACAAAATCAAAGAACTAAATAAATAGACAGAGATTCTTTTTTTTTTTTTTTAGACGGAGTTTCACTTTTTTTTTTTTGCCCAGGCTGGAGTGCAATGGCGCAATCTCAGCTCACTGCAACCTCTGCCTCCCGGGTTCAAGCAATTCTCCTGCCTCAGCCTCCTGAGTAGCTGGGATTACAGACACCCACCACCACGCCCAGCTCATTTTGTATTTTTAGTAGGGACGGGGTTTCACCATGTTGGCCAGGCTGGTCTTGAACTCCTGACCTCAGTTGATCTGCCCACCTAGGCCTCCCAAAGTGCTGGCATTACAAGCTTGAGCCACCATGCCTGGTCAAGACTCAGTATTTTTAAGATATCAGTTCTTCCCAACTTCATCTATGGATTCAATGCAATCCCACTCAAATTCTCAGCAAATTCATTTTATGCATATCAGCAAAATGATTCTAATATTTATAGGAGAGGCAAAAGGCCCATAATAGTCAACATGATTTTGAAGAACAAAGTTGGAGGACTGACATTACCTGACTTCAGGTTACCACTAATATACAGTAATCAAGACAGTATAATACTGGCAAACAAATACACAAATAGATCAATGGAACAAAACAGAGGGGCCAAAAACAGACCCACGTAAGTATAATCAACTGATCTTTGACCACGGAGCAAAGACAAAACAATGGAGCAAAAATGGTCTTTTCAACAAATGGTGCTGAAACATCTAAATATCCACATGCATAAAAATGAATTTAGATACAGACTTTATACCCTTCATAAAAATTAACTCAAGATTGATTATAAATCTAAATGTAAAACCAAAACTATAAAACTCCTAGAAGATAGTAGGAGAAAACCTAGATGACACCAAATGCTGGTCATGATGTGGAACAACACGCAATCTCATTCATTGCTGGTAGGATTGCAAAATGGTACAGCCACCTTTGAAGATAGTTTGGCAGTTTCATACAAAACTAAACGTACTCTTATCACGCAATCCAGCAATCATGCTCCTTGGTATTTAACCAAAGGAGTTGAAACTTGTATCTACACAAAGACCTGTACATGGATTTATTTTACAACAGCTTTATTTACAATTGCCAAAACTTAGAAGCAACCAAGATGTCCTTCAGTATGTAAATGGATAAATCAACTGTAGTACAACCAGACAACAGAAACTTTTTCAGTGATAAAAAGAAACGAAATATCAAGCAGTGAAAAGACGTGGAGAAACCTTAAGTACACATTACCAAATGAAAAAAGCCAATCTGAAAAGGCTACATACTGTATGACTTCAACTCTATGATACTCTGGAAAAGACAAAATCATGGAGACAACAAAAAGATCACTAATTGCCAGGGTTTGGAGGCAGGGGTTGAATATATGGAGCAGAGAAGATTTTTAGGGCAGTAAAAATCCTCTGTATGATACTGTAATGATGGATACATGTCATTACATTTGTCCAAACCCATAGAATATACAATACCAAAAGTGAACTCTAAGGTTCATTTTTTGAACATTGGGACTCTGAGTGTTTATGATGTGTCAGTATATGTTTACCAATTTTAACAAATTTACCACTCTGGTGGAAGATGTTGACAATGAAGGAGGCTATGCAGGTGTGGGAATAAGGGGTACATGGAAAACCTCTGTACCTTTCTCTTAATTTTGCTGTGAACCTGAAACTTCTCTAAAACAAAGTCTTAAAAACAAAACATCATAAGTAAATCCTTCTACCAGTAATAATAATAATATTGGAAGTAAATTTAACAAATCATCAACATTTTGTCAAATCCGATTGGTATCTCTCTACTTCATTTAAATACCCCATATTAAGGAAGTATTGTTACATCTTTTAGGTATTATAATGGCATTATGGTTATGTTAAAAAAGAAAAAAATCCTTATCAATTAGAGGTGCATACTGAAGTGGGTGAAATGGAGTATGTCTGGAATTTCCTTTAAAACTTTCCAGAAAAAAAAGTAGAGGGATAGATGATTAATATGGACAATTGCTATAGATGCATACACTATACTATTCTACTTTTGTGTATGCTTGAACAATTTTTTCTTCTTCTTTTTTTTTTTTTTTGAGAGTCTCACTCTGTCACCCAGGCCGGAGTGCAGTGGCATGATCTCAGCTCACTGCAGCCTCCACCTCCCAGGTTCAACTGATTATCCTGCCTCGGCTCCATGGGTAGCTGGGACTACAGGCAAGCACCACCACACCCAGCTAATTTTTGTATTTTTTTAGAGACAGGATTTCACCATGTTGCCCAGGCTGGTCTCCAACTCCTGACTTCAAGTGATCTGCCCGCCTTGGCCTCCCAAAGTGCTGGGATTACAGGCGTGAGCCTGGCTGAATATTTCCATAATAAAGAGTTTTGGATTATGTTTAATGTTCATGATAGAAAAAGAAAAAAAACAAGACTGCAGGATGGGCTGGGATACTCATGGCTCACTAAGACCTACAGCACAGTCTCTCCTGAATTGAAGCAGCTTAAGTAAAAACAGAATATTGTGCGCCTGTAGTCCCAGCTACTGGGGAGGATGAGGCAGGAGAATCACTTGAACCCTGGAGGCGGAGGTTGCAGTGAGCAGAGATCGTGCCACAGCACTCCAGCCTGGGTAACAGAGCAAGACTCCATCTCAAAACAAACAACAACAAAAAAACCAAAAACAGAATATCTGCCAGGCCCAGTGGCTCATGCCAGCACTTAGGGAGGTCGAGGTGGGAGGATCCGTAATCCCAGTACTTTGAAAGGTCGAGGTGGGAGGATCACTTGAACTCAGGAGTTGGAGACCAGCCTGGGCAACATAGTGAGACTTTGTCTCTACTAAAAGAAAAAAAAAGAAACCAGAATATCTATACCTTTGTGCCCAACTCATAACCATTCTCAGCCTAAGGTCTCCCTCCATTACCCAGACAGAAATAATCTTTAATGTTCATTCTAGGCATTTATAGGATGATTTCATTTTGCCTAGTACTCAGTAATTCAAAATTCATGGCTATTTGTTAAATGCCTTGGGATCGTTTTAAATGATGTGTCCTTAGTAACTAACATGATGATGACAGCCCAATCCATGGGAGATTGGAATCACTGAGGCAAAAATCATCGCTGTGATGGGGCCTGCCTCTTGACTTTGCCCTCAAGGTTAGCATCAGAAGATGTAAGCTAAACACACCCCCTTACTCCACTCAACCCCTCATTCCTTTAGGCAAGGTATTAAGAGCCCTATGCAAAGGCAATCTTCAAGTATGCGTTGGCAGAAAAACAACCAGTACAAATTGAGGCATAATGTAAAACCGTTAGGCTGCTTTTCACCCAGCAGAGGGCGCTAAACAGCTGTGCCCAAGCCTCTGATTCAACAAAGCAAACGAGGGCTGGTGAAGCAAGGGAAAGTCAGTTCAGACGCAAAAGCAGCTCTACAATTGTCTCCCTTAATCTCCTAGTCAGTTCAGAAAGGCAGAGATTTATTGTTTAGTTCCACAGAGAGAGACTGACCTGCAAATAATCCAAGTGAAGAATATTTAGGATCATTTCAGACCATTTAAGCCAGCCCCATGGGCCTGGCAGTTGGATGAGAATGGGGTCAGCCTCAGGAGAGGGACCCTAGCCCCAGCCTCTCTGGGGCACCGGAGGTGGAGCACAGGGACTTCTCGGGAAGGCTAGGCCTTTCTTCTCAGTGCCAGTGCCAGGCAAAGACAAGCAGAGGCCAGGCCTTCTAAGCCTGGTTTCCTCACAAACAATTGCTTACCTTCAACTCATCTGAGAACCCCAAGAAAATACAACTACATACTCTGGTTTTGGTTTTTTGGGTTGGTTTCATTCTGCACTAAAATCACTAATTCATCAAAAAATGTACTATAATCACATTGTGGCAGCAGCTTTGTAGTTACAGAAAACCTTTATACTTAAAGAGTACCCTTTCCCAAAGGGTCCCGAGCTATAAGCAGAAACTAAGCAAGCCCTTACAACACACTATAACAAAGTAATTATTTAACATTCTTCTTATTTTATTGCTCAGAAAAGCTGAGGTAAGGATTTGCTTTGGGTTTCCTCAAAAGCCAGCCAAGCACAGGACTGAGAAAGCAGTCTGAAATTCTGGGTCGAATATTCCTGGAACTTATCATTGTTTGAAGAGCCAAAGAAGAATAATTTAAATGTCCATCAACAGAAGTCTGGTTAAAATTATTGTTTAATAAAATAAGCCAGACATAAAAGGACAAATATTGTATGATTCCACTTACATGAGGAATAGTCAAATCAGAGACAAAGTAGAATGGCAGTGGCCAGGGGCTGGGGGAAAAGAGGAATGGCGAGTCATAGTTTAATGGGTAGTTTCTGTTTTGCAAGATGAAAAATTCTAAAGATGGATGTGGTGATGTATTAATTACATGAATGTAATTAATACCACTGAACAGTAAGTACACTTAAAAATGGTTAAAATGGTAAATCTTATGTTGTATACATTTCACAATAAAAAATATAAGAAAGTTTACTACTTATATATGTACAATGCAGCCTAAATAAATAAAAGCATGAGGCAGCTCTGTCTATACTCACATGGAACAATTTCTAAAATATAACGTATTAGTGACTGTATTAATTGTTCAAAACATTCTTTTAACAAGTAACAATGGGATTAGATACAGAGCTTGGGGTTTCATCTTTGAGAGGCAGCAAAGATGGTGCTATAGAAGGGTACAGGAAGTGCAAGCTCTGGAATAAAAGGACTTGATTCAAATCTTGGTTTCGCCATTCATGTGTCCTGGTTACTCTACTCCTCTACCCTAATTTTTTTATTGTAAAATGGAGAAAATACCAACTATTTCCCAGGTTTGTTGTGTGTGGTGAGATAATGTTTGTAAAAGCACTTAGCCCAGTGTGATATATATTAGGTGCACACAGCTCTCAAATTGTCCTTGTGTCCGTAAAGTATCATCCATGAACTTGTCCTAATCTTTCAAACCTTGTTTTAGGTAGCATTAAGAATATGAATAGTATGATACAATTACACAAAAACATACACAAATTTATACATACAAAGACAGATGCAAAATGGTTAGCAGAGGTCATCTCTTGCAGATAGCAATTTTACTTAATACCCTTTCATATTGCTAAAGTGTTTTCTTTTCTTTTCTTTTTTTTTAACTGTGAAGCCTAAAGGAAAATCATTCAGCCTGGCTTTCTTCTCAGCCCATTTATTCCTCTTCAGTGAGTGTACTGTGTAAGACCAAACCTCCTTTTGTGTTAACCATACCTCTCCTAAGCTCCAAGAAACTGCAGCGCATTACAGAGGCACAGTCTGTGTGACACACAGCCCAGCTACGTCAGTGGATGGAAAATAAGTCTGTTTTGTTATTTTTCCAAAGTTGAAAATAATTGATATTTGTATAGGAATTCAATCACTTACATATCTCATTTTATTGTCACTTGTGAGGTAAGGATTATGTAGGCCCTTTTTCTAGACACGTATCAGAGAGGTAAAATGACTTGCTAATAATCCAAAGAGCTTGGCCTGGAGCCTAAAACTAAGTTGTATCCATTCTACCAACATGCAGAGGACAGAACAGCACCTAGCATTCCAAATGAGGAATGTTCTGGAGCTTTACACAAGGAAGAAAAGCACTTTCCAGGCTTTTTTTTTTTTTTTAATGATTTTATCTATTTTCAAGTATAGAGTTTTGTGGCATTAACTACATTCACATTTTCATATCGTTGTGCAACCATCACCACATTTTATCTCCAGAACTACCCCTTCCCACTGACAACTGCCATTCTCCCCCTAGACACCATTCACTTGGCACAGTGTCTTCAAGGTTCATCCATGTTGTAGTGTGTGTCAATTTCATTTCTTTTTAAGGCTGAATAATACTATTTCATTGTATGTATAGACTACATTTTGTTTATCTATTCATCCACTGATGGACCCTTGGGTTGCTTCTACCTTTCAGCTTTGTGAATAATGCCACTATGAACATTAGTGTACAAATATCTGTTTGAGCCTCTACTTTCAATTCTTTTGGGTATATAACCAGAAGTGAAATTGCTGGATCCATATGGTAATTCTACTTTTAACTTTTTGAGGAATGCCATACTGTTTTCCACAGTGGCTGCCCCATTTTATATTCTCACCAACAACGTACAAGAGTTCCAATTTCTCCATATCCTTGCCAACTCTTTTTATTCTTTGCTTGTTTGGATAATAGTCATCCTAATGGGTGTGAAATGTTTGCTGGCCTTTTTAACCTTCAAATAATAGCCTAAAATAACTCTCAAGTCCTTTTAAATATCTCAGAGCGCATCATTCTACAAACAGTTTGAGTTATCTTTCTTCATGAGTACCTACCCTGAAATTCAGTTACCACTTTTCTATTCACTCACCCCATCCAGCCCAAAAGAGTTTTCTGTAGTTCATTTATCCCCTATTGTTTTGCATTTCACTGCCTCAAGGAACATCATATATAAATTTGGGAAATTTCATATTCATTCTCTCCTCAAATCACCTACAAAAACATTAAGAGCACTAAGCTCTATTTACTCAAGCCAGCCACTTCTGTGATTAGACCTATTTTAGAGGTGATATAATGTGGGGCAGCATAGCACAGCACAGCATTCAAAACCACAGGCTTAGTCTCCACGTAGTAAGACATAGGAAAAAATAATAAGAAAAAACCCACAGGATTAGGATACACAAACACAGGTTCAACTCTCAATGTCGCCGGCACTTATTAGCTGTGTGCCTTTAGACAGGTTACTTAACTTCTCTAAATTATAGTCCTCCCATCTGTAAAACTGAGAAAACAACACTACTTATTTCACAGTGTTACTGTTAGGATTAATGAGATAGATCTGTGTAAAAGACTTGGCCCAGTGCCTGATACATATTAAGAGCTAGATAAATGTCAGCTAATTATTATGCTATTTGAACTCAAACAACAGCTAACATCAGTTAAGTTTACTCTGGGTCAGGGACTATCCTAAGGGTCTTATATGTAGTGGCTCTTCCAATCCTTTTAACAACCCCACGAAGTAGGAATTCACATGAAACTACAGAAAAGCTACATAATATGAAGGGGTACACAGCTACCAAGAGTCATTGTTGGCATCTGAATCTAGGTAATGTGGCTCCAGAAACCATGCTCCTTACCATGATGCAATCCAGCCTCGCAAATATAAGAGGCCAGGCAGCAAAGTAAATGAGTCAGACTTGCCAGATTAAGTGACAGACTGAAGAATATATCTGTATTTTTAAAAGATAAGCCACCATTCAGCTCTTGCCAGTTGTTGCCATAGAGAAATACAGACTCAAGATTGCCAGATCTCCCAATTTTTGGCCCAGGGATAAGTTAAGGTTGAGTGATTTGCCCAAGGTCATAAAACTGCTGTTCAGTGGCACTTCCCAAATCGAAACCAGTAGGCAGGGAAGAGGCGGGGGTACAGGCAGGTCTGGAGAGATAGGAGAGGTGGTGTCACACAAATTTTGCTCTTCACTACAGAAGTAGCTATAGGGATAACATCTACAGGCATTACTTCTGCTGACACCCTGTTTTTACCTAGTACCCTTCTGCTAAAAGCTGAGTCCACTTATCTACCTATTATCTCATTTTTCCATGTCTCTAATGAGGTAAGTAGAACAGAAACATCCCCATTTTAAACATGTTAAAAGTGAGGTCCTGGCTTGCCTTAGCTCCTAGCTAGAAACACTTTACATTAAATAGGAAGTATTAAGCAGCAGCAACACCCTAACTAGACAGCTAGAGCCCCATAAAATGAAATGGTTTCTCCAAAATCAGATGACTAATAGCAGTGGAGTTTAATAAAGCTAGGGTTTTGAAATACTAACCCTAGACAATGTCTCTAATTCCTGATCAGAAACAGAGAAAGAAATCCACAAACATTCAAATATCCCTTTCTCCTTACACCAGAGTCACAGAGTAGAGATGTAAGGCACCTAAGAGTTCATCTTCTAACATCCCCATTTTGCCAGTGAGGAAACTGAGGCACAAAACTGAGGCACCTGTCCAAGAGCACACTGCCAGTTACAGGCAGAGTGGGATTCAAATCCAAGATGTCTGAGTCCAAAGCCCCTGCTCTTCCTAAAGTGTGGAACATAGGCCACTGGATGATTTTAGACAGTAGAGAAATGATTTTAATAATTACGTATTTTAAGGTGTACTAGAAAAAAACAACTAGCACATAAAACCCGTGACTTAGACTTTATAGTAATGTCAAGTTTCTTTCAAATGCTGTTTATAAGGAAAGTCAACTTAGAAAAAATGTTAATAGCACAGGTGACACTCCTTATATATAACAAAAATCAAAAACGTGGGGCTCAAACTTCTGAAATTTGGAGAACAGGCACATTTACGACCTCCTTAAGAGAGGGACTCTAAATCAGAGGCTGCAATTTGATATACATCCAGATGCAAACAGGGTTAACTAGGGAATAATCTCAAGAGAAATTAGGAGAATGTGACTGTTTTAACAAAGAAAGTTACAACCTAATGAGTTGCACTGTAATCAGTCTAAAGGAAGACTACAAAATGGCCAAAACATTAAAATATTCAGACTCACTAGTAATCAAGGCCAGTTGTATGAGAAGTCATAATACACTTTTTAGATGATGCCAATATTCTGACTGAATTGGTTAAGACAAAATAATGACCAGCAGAAGCCACGATGCAGTCTCATAATACATTGGTCCAAGTGTAAATAAGCTGGTTTAACCATCTTGGAGGACAATTGGGTGACATATATCGAATGTATCTTAAAAATATAAAAAATATTCACACCCATTGACTCAGAATTCCACTTCTAAAGATTTTATTCTAAGGGAAAATATTTTTTCTCTTGGACTTAGCTACAAGGATTGTGATAAAAGCAAAAAATAAACAGAAGAAACAAGACAGAATTGGTTAAATTCTGATGTAGACACTTGAAAGGATACGATGTCATAATATCATGCTTCAGAACAGTTGTTCTCGAAGTGTGTCCCATGGACCCCAGAAGGTCTGCAAAGTCAAAATTTTTTTCGCAATAACACTACAATGTTATTTGCCTTTTTCACTGTTTGAAACTGTACTGACAATGCAAAAGCAATGGTGGGTAAAACCACTGGTGCCTTGGCGCTAGGGCAGTGACGGCAAATTGTACTATTCATCAGTGTATTCTTTAACTGCCACTCATTCACAATAAAACACAAATGCCACGTTCACTCAGGAGTGCCTTGATGAAGCAGTAAAAATAATTGTATCAAATTTCAACCAGAGTACACATCTAAATACTCTGTATGACAAAATAGAAAGTACACATAAAACACTTCTGCTGCACACTGAAAAACAATACCTATTTTGTGAAAAAGTATCTATGAGATAGTTTGCATTGTGAGCTGAACTGGCTGCTTTTTTCATGAATAACATTTTTACTTGAAATTACTGAAAAAGTATGGTTATTCAGATTTGGGTATTTGCTAATATTTTCTCAAAAATGAATAAGATGAGCCTGTCACCTCAAGGAAAATAATTGGCAGTATTTGTAGCCAATGATAAAATTCAAGCTTTCAAGTAAAAATAAAAATTTTGGAAAAATTGTATTCACCATGGTGAACATAACCACTTCCCAATACACAGAGGCTTTTCTGATGAGACTGGTGGCAATGTCAACAAATGTGACTTTTTAAAATATACAATGAAATGTGTCAAGATTTGGAAAACCTGAAAAACTCAGTGAACCAGTATTTTCCAAATGATCGATGTATGATGTTATAAAATGATGCATGGGAGGAAAGACCCAAAGTTTAAGACAGATCAATGGATTTTAATGTAACAATGTAACAGGCTACGAGAAATTATTCGATATGGTTTTATATTCTACATTGCAACTAATCTTTAAGAAACTTCTACTTGTTTTGGTACAGTATTAAGGAAGAATATACAGTTATCTAAGACATTAACATGCTCTTCCCTTTTATAAAAACTGATGTGTAAAACTTTTTTTTTTTTTTTTTTTGGATACAGGGTCCTACTCTGTCACCCAGGCTGGAGTGCAGTGGGGCAGTCATAGCTCACTGCAGCCTCAACCTCCCATGCTTAAGTGATCCTCCTACCTCAGCCTCCAGAGTAGTTGAGACTACAGGTGCACATCACCATGCCTGGCTAATTGTTTTCTTTTTTGTAGAGACAGGGTCTTGCTATGTTGCCCAAGCTGGTCTTGAACTCCTGGACTAGAGCAATCCTCCTGCCTCAGCCTCCCAAAGTGCTAGGATTACAGGCATGAGCCACAGCACCCAGCCTATAATTTTCTTTATATACTTCAGCTAAACCAATATTTTGCAAGATTAAATGTGAATGCCTTTTATTATGACAGATACACACAGATTTGAGAAAATGTAACAATGACACTCTTCTCGCTATTTTTTTTTAATTTTGGAAAATATACTGTTTTTACTATTTAATGTTTTTTCACTTATGAAAACTAATATTTTTTCAGTTTGAGAACTGTTACTTTAGGACAGTGGTTTTCAACCCAGATGATGTTTCCCCTCAGGGAAAATCACCCTTGACAATATGTGACATTTTTGGTTGTCACAACTGGAAAGATGCTAATGGCATACACTGGGTAGAGGCCAGGGATGTTCCTAAATATCCTATAGTGCACAGGACAGCTCCTCATAACAAAGACTTATCCAGCCCAAAATGTCGGTAATGTTCAGGTGGAGAAACCCTGCTTTAAAAGAATATGCAACGAAATATGAAAAAATATTAAGTTTTAAAATATTAATCTTAATATTACAAAATACCAGAGGTGGCCTACTTTCAATTATATGTTTAATGTATGTATACTAAATGTGTATCAAAAAGGCTACATGTTCCAAATATTAACAATGGTCATCCTGAATAAGTGGAATTACTTCTTTTTTCCTTTAAATATCTATTTTCCAAATTTCCTATAATTAATACATAATAGTTGTTTAAATTATGAATGGGTGGGAGGCCTATCTTGTAAGTACCATATGCTGATGACTTGTATGATTTCAACAGGCAATTTTCCATAGTAAAGTATGGAATTAGTGACACGTCAAAGAATAAAAGTTCCTCAAATAGAGCTGGGGGACACTAAAAACGGGTTCTTAGGCCCTCAAAACCAGTAAGGAAAGTTATTAAGTTAGTGGATGATGCATTGCCAGGTACTTCCAGATCACAAATTTTCTTCATCTCCAGCCTTACCTCTTCTGCCATAGAGAACTAACCTGGACAATATGCTCTCCTGATTATATCACAAATACGCTCCATCCATTCTATGAGCAATTTCTGATTATTCTTTTTTTTAGTTTTGTACATAAGAACACTGCCTGCCTGGACTTTTGCAAAATTCCTTGTATACACAAAATTAACAACATAATAAAGCTTTCTTGTCTCTTCTTTGGCAATTCTAAAAAGACTGAATCAGTGAAGGCCCTAACACTTCTAGGAATGCACACTACACCCAGCCACCCACCAGCAGATGTAAACAGAGATGTCAACCCTGAGACTAAATCAGGGGCTAGCTGCCAAACACTCAAACTTCACTTGTTTCTTGCCAGTACAGTAAGCCCCTTTGCCCATGATTTCACTTTCTAGTTTCAGTTACCATTAGTCAACCAGGGTCCGAAAATATTACAGTCAAGATATTTTGAGAGACAGAGACCACATTCACATAACTTTTATTACAGTATAATATTATAATTGTTCTACTTTATTACTATTGTTGTTAATGTATTACTGTGCCTAACTTATAAATTAAATTTTACCATAGGTATGTATACATAAGACAAAACATAGTATACATAGGGTTCAGTACCATCTGCAGTTGCAGGCATCCACTGCGGGGCTTGAAACTCATCCCCCACAGATGAGGGGGGACTACTGTATGTCTAAGGCAAAGCACACACTTGAGTCATCTGTGGCAGCAAGTGATATAAATGAGGTATCTGTGCTAAGCCATCAACATAGTCAAGACACCTATTTAAAAAAAAAAAAGGAACATAGCAATCCTCAAAGGTTCCAATTAGTCACTTAGCTTTAACTTGTAACACCAAGATACAACTGGAATTTAGATACAAGACTTGAATGGAAATTCAGCATGGGGGAAGTTGTGTAACAAGATTTTGACAGGCATCTGGATTTGCAAAGAATTCCTCCTCCTGAGTAATGTTCTTGGAAGGAAACAAAGACTTTCCAAAGTACGGAAGTATAGCTCAGCAGGCTAAGAATTAAAACTGGAGACTCAACCAGAGTGACAGTTGGCCTCCACCCTGGAAAATCTCTACCTACTCATCTGTAAAATAATAGGGCATCACCAATTTAATCAAAACCATGTTCAGGGGCAATGAAACTGCAGATACAATGTACTGGCAGAGTAAGCCACTTAGGAGTTTAACACTTTACTTGAGCAAGTCCTTTTTAAATGCAGAACCTCATGACTTTCCCTATTGAGGGAAAAGGTCAGAAGACCCAGAGTTTAATCCTGATTGTACTACTCACTAGTTGTAACCTACTGAGCAAATCATTTTACCTCTTTGCTCCTTTGTTTACTTAGATGTAAAATTAAAGACTTCTATTAGACGATCATTAGTCCTTTCCAGCAACAAAATTCTGTAATTCTACAGAGACATCAGAAGCCTAAGATCACAAATGAGAGTGGTGAAAACAGGACTCCAACCAGATCACTTAAACATTTCACAACATGAAAGACATTCTAGGGCCAGGCACAGTGGCTCATACCTGTAATCCCAGCACTCTGGGAAGTTGAGGTGGGTGGATTGTTTGAGCCCAAGAGTTCAAAGTCAGCCTGGGCAACATGGTAAGACCCCGTCTTTAGAAAAAATAAATTTAAAAAATTAGTCAGGTGTGATGGCACGTGCTTGTAGTCCCAGCTACTCCAGAGGTTGAGGTGGGAGGATCACTTGAGCCAAGGAGGCAGAGGCTGCAGTAAGCTGTGATCACACCACTGTACCCCAGCCTGGGCAACAGAGTATAATCCTGTCTCAAAAAAGGAAAGAAACAGAGAGAGAGAGAAAGAAGAAAAAAAGAAAGACAGTCTGGCCAGGTGCAGTGGTTCACACTTGTAATCCCAACACTTTGGGAGGCAGGGTGGGAAGATCGCTTGAGGCCAGGAGTTCAAGACCAGCCTGGGCAACATAGAGACCTTGTCTCTACGAAAAAATTAAAAATTAGCTGGACGTGGTGATGCACACATAGGTGTACATCACCTATGTGTCCTAGCTACTTGGGAGGCTGAGGCAGGAGGATCAATTAAGCTTAGGAGGTCGAAGCTTCAGTTAGCTATGATCATGCCACTGCACTTTAGCCTGACCCACAGAGCAAGATTCTGTCTCACAAGAAAGAAAAGAAAAAAAGAGAAAAGGAGGCTTGGGCATGGTGCCTCATATCTGTAATCCCAGTACTTTGGGAGGCTGAGGCAGGTGAATCACTTGAGGCCAGGAGTTCAAGACCAGCTTGACCAACATGGTGAGACCCCGTCTCTACTAAAAACACGAAAAAATTAGCTGGGTGTAGTGACACATGCCTACAATCCCAGCTACTCAGGAGGCTGAGGCAGGGGAATGGCTTGAACCCAGGAGGTGGCGACTGCAGTGAGTGAGATCACACCACTGCACTCCAGCCTGTTAGCACCACTGACAGAGTGAATAAGACCCTGTCTCAAAAAAAAAAAAAAGAAAGAAAAGGAGAAGGAAGGAAGGGAAGGAGGGAGGAAGGGAGGGAAAGGGAAAGAAAGGAGAAAGAAAGAGAAGGAAGGAAAGAAGGAAGGGAGGGAGAGAAAGGGAAGGAAAGGAGAAAGAAAGAAGAAAAGAGAAGACAGAGAGGCCAGGCGCAGTGGCTCACACTTATAATCCTAGCACATTGGGAGGACGAGGGGGATTGCCTGAGCTCAGGAGATCGAGACTAGCCTGGGCGACGTAGAGAAATCTCGTCTCTACTAAAACTACAAAAAATTAGCTGGGCATGGTGGTGCACACCTATAATCTCAGCTACTTGGGAAGCTGAGGCACGAGAATCTCTTGAACCCGGGAGGCGGAGGTTGCAGTGAGTCAAGATAGCGCCATTGCACTCCAGCCTGGGCGACAGAATGAGACTCTGTCTAAAAAAAAAAGAGAGAGAGAGAGAGAAGACAGAGAAAGACATTCTACAGCCATATACCTGAAAAACTACAATCCCTGAAAATTCTTCTCCGGGCCACTTGAGGGGGCCAACTTTTACTCCAAATACACTCTGGTGCTGGATAGCTATCCCAAAAAATTAAGCCTATAACATTTTTTTCTTGCTTATTTAATTCTTATTTATCATTCATATTTTACAGATGACTGTAACATGGTTTTAATATCAATATCACATCCACTTTTAGTTAAACACTCCTCAGGAAAAATTTCAACTCAGTGGAGAATCATTCCTCAAAATACCTTTTCTCAAAATCAACTCTACAAAGAACAACAACCCATAGGAAGACTGTAAAAACAAAAAAAAGTACAAGTAAACAGTATAATAAGAACTATAAGATGATGTATATAGAAAGGATGGAGTAACATTAGCCTCTGGACCTGGCATGTTCATAACGGTTTCAGCCTTTTTTTTCCCTTTCTAATAAAAGGCAAGTGACTAACTAACCACTCTGCTTCTCAGCCTCTATCTGGTACCTTAAAAGTGGCAGCGGAGGCCAGGAGCGGTAGCTCACACCTGTAATCCCAGAACTTTGGGAGGCTGAGGCGGGCAGATCACCCCCGCCTAGGGACTGAACTCTGTCAGGAGTTCGAGACCAGCCTGGCCAACACGGTGAAACCCCGTCTTTACTAAAAGTACAAAAATTAGCCAGGTGTGGTGGCGGGCACCTCTAATCCCAACGGGATTACAGGCTGAGGCAGGAGAATTGCTTGAACTCGGGAGGTGAAGGTTGCAGTGAGCTGAGATCACGCCACTGCACTCCAGCCTGGGCCACAGAGCGAGACTCCATCTCAAATTTAAAAAAAAAAAAAAAAAAAAAAAAAAAAAGTGGCAGCTGAAAGACCTGAAGTAAGGAGAATGGATGCTTAAAGGCTTTTCTACTAGAGGCATCCCATAGTGAATGTGAGGAGCTAAGAGACTGGGGTTTTGGTTTTACTTGCATACCAGACAGTGCAATAATTATAAGCAGGTGACCATATAACTTATCCTTTAAACTGGGACCTTTTTTTTTCTTTTTCTTTTATTATTATACTTTAAGTTCTAGGGTACATGTGCACAACGTGCAGGTTTGTTACATATGTATACATGTGCCATGTTGGTGTGCTACACCCATTAACTCGTCATTTACATTAGGTATATCTCCTAATGCTATCCCTCCCCTGTCCTGCCACCCCACAACAGGCCCCAGTGTGTGATGTTCCCCTTCCCTAAACTAGGACCTTTTTAAGAATGAAAGGAACACTAATAATTACACTGGGACAATGGGAGAGCTTCAGATGGTCCCAAGTAAATCAGGATAAATGATTGGCTTGGTTACAAAGGATCCCAACAATCAACAAGGCAGGCAGGTGACGTAGAGTTACCTAATGAACCTTATTAAGTAATCTTGCCTCATCTTATCAACTGGCAGAAGCCCCAGCAGAGGCAGAAGGGAATACAGGAATCAGTCCTCCTGCCAACATTATCTCTGCTATGTGGATCCATTATAAACCTGTCAATTTCCTCAGATGCCATTTTCTCAATGACTCCTACATAATCCCAGCCCTTTGGAATATAACTTTCATTTTTTAAATTGGCCCTAATAGGAAAACAGTACTAGAGCACATGGACTTGATCTATGAATTATCAACTCTGTATCCCGAGAGGTATATGATAGAATTTCTGGTATTCTGGCCAGGTATGGTGGCTCACATCTGTAATCCCAGCACCTTGGAAGGCCAAGGTGAGAGGATCACTTGGGCCCAGTAGTTCAAGACCAGCCTGGGCAAAATAGTGAGATCCTGTCTCTACAAAAAAAAATTTTTTTTAATTAGCTGGGCACGATGGTGCATGCCAGTAGTCCCAGCTACTCGGGAGGCTGAGGTGGGAAGATCACTTGAGCATGGAGGGTCAAAGCTACAGTGAGCCGTAACTGCCCCTGCACTCTGGTCTGAGCAACAGAGCATGAATAAAGTGGCAGGGCATGGGAAGATCAGGTAACTAAAGTGACAAACTACTACTGTCAAGTCTTTCCCTAAATCTCTGATTTAAGAAAACTGACAGGAAGAGCAAACTGAGTCCAAGACCGGAACCAATGGAGCAACCTTTCTTTTTACCCATTCAGTGAATGGCCATGAAAGTGAAATGCCTTCTTTTCCACAGAAGCAGAGTGACGTTGTGGTGACAGAAGCAAATTTTACTTACAAGAACACTATGCTTCAAGCTCATTAAGGATTAAACAGGCTTATCATCTGGTCTAGCAGTTACACCTCCCTTTATGATACTGTGTGTGTGAAAAAGTGCTTCCAAATGACTTACTAGCACTCTCTGAGCAAATCAGCCCATATTAGGTTTACACTTTCTTCCAAAAAGCACTTTATTCTGAAGCACAGTATTCATCTGTGGCCCAGACAGGTATTTTCTCCCCATGTATAACTATATGAGGAAAGACACCTATTTGTTGACTGAAATTCAGTCAAATGTAATCATTCAGCATGACTTGGGCAGATATTAAACTCAAATTACAGGTTCAGTAAATACACATATATTGTTTTTACTTTTAACTGGGCTAACAGACAAGAGAAACCAACTTGATAACTAGAGTATACCTACTCCTAATCAGACTAAAGTAGGGAGTTAAACCCAGTGGGAGTTAGTCACATGGTTACGTATGGAATACACAGAGTGTGAGGAAGAAGGAGACTTTAGATAACTGCAAACATCAGAATCTAGGTGAGGTGAGTGCTAGCACCAAGAGACATCTGCTTGAGAAGTAAGTACTGTGGCTGTGATGAGAACCCTGCTTACTGGCTCCAAGTCCACTCCCATCTTCACAATTCCACCCGTCATCCTCCACTTACATATAAAAGTGAAAAACTGCAGATAGCAAAATATGAGTGATAGCATCAAGAGAGGAGAATGAAGGAGAAAAAAAATCAGATCCTTTAAAAATGCATATAACATTGTAAAAATTTCAAAGCAGTTAGCATGTCTCAGAAAACATTCAGACCCAACCTGGAAATCTAGCTCCACCATAAACCATGGGAGCTTTCATAAGTTACCTAACTTCTGTAAGCCTCAGTTCCCTCATATGTAATATAAGGATAATAATACTACCCTAACTTACAAAACATTCTTTTAAGTGTTACATATGCCTGGCACATGAAATGCCCCCAAATAATATTTGATAAATAAATGACATCAAATATTAGCTATTTAAAAAATCTGTTAAACTTTTTTTTTTTTTTTTTTTTTTTTTACAAACAGCAATGTCTCAGCTGAACATTGGGCGAGGCATTCCTTAATTTGGTAGGCGCCGGGGAGTGCTGCAGATCAGCAGGGGATGTGAAACAATGACAGTTACATTTTGGGAAGCTTATATTATAATGGCAGTGGCGACTAATAAGTACTAAAACTGAAAAGAACAAAAACTTGAAAAGCAGTTATTGGAACCAAATTTTCTATAAAGTAACGGATCATGGTTATAAAAAAATCTTTTTTCACCCCTAGAATTACGTTTCACATCATTTTTTTATGACTAGTCAAGTGAAGCAATAGGAGTGGAAAAGGAACAAAGAAATCTGTAACTGGTTGTGATCAATTAGTTGTAAGCACCACTGCATTCAGACCCGCCATATTTCACTTCATTTTAACCACAAATAATGAATTCTATTTTTCCACTAATGCATTGCCTGTTCTCTGGATTACAGAACTCTCAGCAGTAATTTATCAATGTCCTTCCTTGATTCTTTAGCACTCACTTATGACAATTAATGCAAAACCTTCAAATCTCCTTGCCTTTCTATACTACAAATCTCATTGCCTTTCTACACTACAGGTAACGCTGGCTATTTTCCAAGTGGCAAATAAGACATGTAAAGTGCTTAGCAGAAGGCCTGGCATACGTTACAAGATAAAAAAAAAAAAGTTAAATAATAATTTTCATTGTTATTAAGATTAAAGGGGCACAAGGCCAGGCGCGGTGGCTCACGCCTGTAATCACAGCACTTTGGGAGGCCGAGGTGGGCGGATCACAAGGTCGGGACATCGAGACCATCCTGGCTAACACGGTGAAACCCCGTCTCTACTAAAAATACAAAAAATTAGCTGGGCGTGGTGGCGGGTGCCTGTAGTCCCAACTACTCGGGAGGCTGAGGCAGGAGAATGGCATGAACCTGGGAGGTGGAGCTTGCAGTGAGCCGAGATCGCACCACGCCACTGCACTCCAGCCGGGGCGACAGAGCGAGACTCCGTTTAAAAAAAAAAGATTAAAGGGGCACAAAATGGGTACTCAATAAATATTTTAATGAGTAAATAAACATACTTAAGTAAAACAAGTTAACCTTATTTACAGCAAAACACAGAGATATAATTTATCATTTAAGAGAAGCAACCAGAGTTGTACATGTGCTCCAGAAACTGCTAACATTCAGCTTTCAATTCCTTAGGACAGATCCAGAAAATGTGACCTGCCTACAAAGGGAAAAGAGAGAAACAGCACCTGCCTGGGAGCAATGAGTCCTACTTAGAGTCCCGACAGCCAGAGACAATGCAGACAGCTCTGGGCAAGTCACTTGTCTAGATCTCAGCTCCCTTTCCTGTAAAATGAAAATCCTTCCATTTCTCCGATCCCATGCAGAAAAGAGAAGATATAAAAGGGTTACTTAATGCAGCATTTCACAAGCTTCAATCTTGATCATCTTTTCATTTTTGCCATATCAACATAACACTTTTATTGTTTTTCTTTAAATTGATTTGCATGATGATGGCTCACTGCAGCCTTGACCTTCCAGGCTCAAGCAATCCTCCCACCTCGGCCTCCTGTGTAGCTGGGACTAAAGGTGCACGCCACCATACCCAGCTAGTTTTTAAATTTTTGGTAGAGGTAGGGTCATGCTATGTTAACCAGGCTGATCTCAAACTCCGGGGCTCAAGTGATCCTCCTGCCTCTGCCTCCCAAAGTGCTGGGATTACAGGTGTGAGCTACTGCACCTGGCCTTAATTTACTTAAAAATTTAACCTCACCTTAAGTAATAAAATCATTAAAAATATTTTATTCACGTTAGCTAATTTTTCTAATGTGTCTAAAGATAAATTAACTACTCAACTTTAAATATTCACTCAAAGATTATCTAAATTCATCTAACATATCCAAACTTTGGCAAATGGTAACCTAATTTTTATAACTGAAAATAAAAAAAAAAATTTTAATTTCCCATACTATAGCAACATAAGAAAATCAAAAAATTTAAAGGACAGGGAATTGAGTAGAAAAGAAATAGAATTTCATATTCCCACAATAATGTAAGGGTTAATTCAAATTAATATTCAGTTATTTTATAAGAATATTTTTTTAAACAATGTGAGGCAACAAAAATTGAAAACAGAACTGATTCCTTCTTAACTTAGGTAATCTTCATCTGAATTAGGATTTTATTTCCTTTAACTTTAAAAGACTTTCATTCCACCCTTGAGTATCTAAATTCAGACTAAAATAAGAAAAGCAATTAGTTTCTTCTTTCTTAAGACCATAAAAAGAAGACAGAGATTAAAATTAAGTGCCATGTTTATTAGCAATGGAAGTGCTCTTATAAACTTATGCTCTCTTTGCCTTGATCAATGCATGAGAAAATAAATGCACCTACTTCTTAACTTGGAATTAAGAGAGTAGTATGCATTTGTGTGACAAGTTTTACTAGTCAATAAAGTTTCCCTCATCTAAATGACTCCAACTGTACTTTACAAACAAATCCATCAATAATCAGTGAAAGCACGTGCTTGTACCTGGGCTGACACTTCCTTTCAATGTGGTGGCCAAAATACATAACTGAGGACTCTTGCTCTCTTTAGGAAATCTTAGCTATCAAAAACACATTGGCATAAATCAAATTAAAAATGATCCTTTGAACAATACTGAGCACAAGGACAACTTTTTGATGTATTAATAACAATGTCTAATGTGACTAATGATCAGCAGCTAAACCTCACTAGGTTATTTTAAAGTAGAAGTGACAAACCCAGGCATAAATCTAAATTTGCCAACCTTTGATAGGTATCAATTAGCTGACTAAAGAACCAAGTAGGACAAATAATGTGTATCTATAAATATTCACATTACTTTATCCTTATGACATGATCTTTATAATTTATCATAGCAAAGTTCCTCAGGGCCATCTCTACAGGCCTTCTTTCTTTCCCACCAAATCTCACAGGCAAGAGCATTTTTGCTGTATTAAGTATAGCAAACCAGAGGAAAAAAAAATCTATTAAAGTATCATAAGGTAGAGGGGATATCTTTTAAAAGGT
This sequence comes from Homo sapiens, assembly GCF_000001405.40. Taxonomy (NCBI): domain Eukaryota; kingdom Metazoa; phylum Chordata; class Mammalia; order Primates; family Hominidae; genus Homo; species Homo sapiens. Next base: position 69,146,626 of record NC_000014.9, read on the forward strand.
CATGAAATGTTACAAATGAGAACTGAACACTCCTAAAACACCAGCTTTTTGAAAACATAATTTATACCTGATTCATTGTCCCTGTTCTCATAGCTCCTGTTTTACAAACAGTATGCACTCAAAAACTATTTGTTGCACTAATAAATAGATCAAATAATAAAATACCTTCACAGCAATGAATTATCAGTAAATAGAAAAGGCCAGAAGAAAATTTGAAAACTGATTCCTCAATTACCTTGTTAAAATGTCTATACTATGAAAGCTTTTCAAAGACAAAAACCTGCTCTACCACTGGCCATATTTCTCCTGATAAGTAACTACCGAACCAACAAATTCATTCTAATTAAATGAACAGCTTTAATAAAGTCAGGCTTTATTTAACTGGCTAAAGCCAAACGACTTACCTGCAGATAATGTGCTTTTAGACTAATTTATCTACAAAAAACTGATTTCATAAAACGTGATATAAACTAGTGACTGGGAAACAGGAAATGACCATTAATTAATAGGTTCAAATTAAGCATATAGGTGTAATAATAGCTATTATTCAATGCTTAAAAATACTCTTTGATGACAGTACTGGTTAAGCTTATTCACAAAGTATTTTGAACAGTTCACCTCATGGAGATCTTTCTCAATATTTCATGGTGTACTGTGCCATGTGCAGTATATGTTAGATGTTGAAGGTATCAATCTCCTGAAAGCCTTTTGTGACATTCAAGGGAAACAACAACAACAGTTGCAGCAGCAGTAGCAACAGCATGGGTTAGGCCCTTGTGCTAAGAATTTTACAAATGTTATTTCATTCAATCCTTACCACAACCCTGTAGGGTATTATTATCCTTATTACATGGGTGAGGAAACAGACAAGAGAGGATAAGTGACCTGTCAAAAGCAACCCAGGTACCAAGCAGCTGGGTTGGTGTTCACCCCAGGCAGTCTGACTTCAGAGTTCATACTCTACAATCTCTCTATATAGATTATGGCTCCTTATAATGATCAATATGGTCAGAGACCCATTTGAACTAGAAATAGGCTAAATAGTTATCCCCATTTATAAGTATTATGACCAAGCAACTAAATGACTCTCCCCATTCACAACTCCTACATAATTAATACTTTGAAACATCATAGTTGCTCATGCTATTTGAAAAACTTCTAAAGGTACTTTTCCTATATTTAGTCATAAGCACACAAAAAAGATAATAATCTCTCACTATAACTCAAAACTTCATACTTATGGGTTATTCTGCTAGCTCTATAAGTTCCAATGCCTTAAACTTCGATTCAGGGGAAATAATATAGCCACTCTCATTCCAAAGAGCCAAATCTTTGTTTTTGTTTACTGCTAAGATGACTTGCACAAGCCCTTTACAACATATAAAAAGGCGGAGTAACAATCCAAGTCAAATGCACATAGAGATACATTCTGATTGGTCATCCAATCAGAGCCCTAAAAGATGTTCATTTTCTTCGCAAAAAAAAAAAAAAAAAAACTTTAAACAAACATATAAAGGACCCCATTCTAAGAAAAAGGAAAAGCATAAGAGGAGGCAATGAGAGCAATTTAGAGTACTAGATGCAACCAAAGACCTAAAGGGTAAACCCAAGATATCCCCTAAATATGCGTACTACTGTAACCTCATTGATGTTGTTAGGATCTCTTGTAAGTGGCACTTCAAATACAATGTTGTTCCCCATCCCTCAAAGGACTAACACACATAAATATTCTAAGAAGAGACTACAATCATCAAGTATAAGCTAGTCTTTATAAAAAGTAATGTTAACGGGCTGGGTGGGGTGGCTCACACCTGTAATCCCAGGACTTTGGGAGGCTGAGGTGGGCAAATCATGAGGTCAGGAGTTTGAGACCAGCCTGGCCAACATGGTGAAACCCCGTTTCTACTAAAAATACAAAAATTAGCCAGGTGTGGAGGCACGCACATGTAATCCCAGCTACTCAGGAGGCTGAGGCAGGAGACTTGCTTGAACCCAGGAGGCGGAGGTTGCAGTGAGCCGAGATCCCGCCACTGCACTCCAGCCTGGGCGACAGAGCAAGACTCCATTGCCCCCACCGCCCAAAAAAAAAGTAATGTTCACTCAAAATCAAGTTCATAAAGCACCTTCACATATAACATTTCATTGACCATTCACTACCCCCATTCATCTACCAGTGAGGGCAATCTGTTATCCTCATTTTACAGATGAGTAGTGAAGGTACTTACCTAAAATCAAACACTTTGTGACTGGTAGAGCCTCCAACTCAAATCACATGACATCAAATCCCAAGCACTTTCCACACCACATTGTGCCTCCACATTCCACATCAAAAAGTCACAAAACTATCCTGTCTGGCTAATCTGCACTGGTCTATTAACAATACTGTAATAACAAATGTCTGTTATTAATGACACCATGTGTTATGAATACAAAAGAGAAAGAAAACAAACTCAGTATTTTCTCTGAGAGGCCTGGCGCTCTGTTCAGCACCCAACCTATACTTTAACTAACATAGTTCTCACAACAAGCCCCTCAGGTAGGTGCCAATATTCCAACTGTATACCTCAGAAAACACATTCAGAGAGGCTTAGTAACTTGACTAAAGTCACAGATTAAACAAATGACACAGCAATGATGTTAACCACATATCTGCTATACCACACTGCCTAACCCAGTATCACAGCGATGCCCCTTTCTGGTCATAAACAAGAAAAATCAAGTACTTTTTCGGTTAAAGTATCTTAACGTGTCAAATAACCATTTCTCCACTTGTTGCTGTCATAATTTCACTTCCAAGCACAGCACCTTTTCTCCTTCCTGATTTTCTCCGGTTTACTCAATATCTGCTGGCCTCACTGTGCCCTGGAAAAGGGGATAGCTGTTGGAACAGAAAAGTGATGTATTATTAACTAATAGTACTTTACCCAGCCACAGGAATCATGCAAATATTATTTCTGCCCTGGGTATAAGTTAATTCTATCAAGTAGTATGTGTCAGTTACCAGAAATGTGAGCCTGCCCAAACAATTATGAAATGAAAACAATGAACAAACTATGAACAATCTATCATTTTAATCACAGCTCTCTAAGGGCTTTCCAAACCAGACAAGACACAAGAACAACAAAATGCATAAAAGTAATCTCATTACCATCCCAGAGTCTGGCATCCCACTACATTACAACATTGGGGATACATAGCATTAGCCTCAGAATACTGTGCTCCCCCACTCAGGTGTTGACTGCTAATGAGAGACAAAGATAGATAAGAAAAAAATATAAACATGACACTAGTTTTAAACGTGGGAAAATTATTGAAGGACTTCCCAGAAAAAAATTCAATTAGCTTTAACAAGTTAAGGTTAATTAGGACTCCCAAAGGGGGCTTCCTTATCTGAAGCAAACAGGAGGAACTTTCTGTTAACACAGCTGTGTACTCATAATGGAAGGTAAATAGCTAAAAAGGCTTTAAACCAAAACTCTATGTTCAAGGAACAAATAGGAAAAGCTAGGTGTATCTTAGCCAAAATGGAGGAGCGATGGAATAGCCTGCTGATAGGACTAAGAACAGGAACAGGAGTAGATAAAAAGGAAACAGGAAGAACTGAGCTAGAGGGAGTATGGGGGGAAGGAAAAGGAGCAAGGGGCAAAGAAGGCTGGAACCCAGGAAGTACTGATGGAGATGGGCAACACAAGCCTAGAAGAGTAAGGAAATAAATACCCAGAATCGAAAGGTCTGCCAGAGCCTCCTCTGTGGAAATGACCCTCCTCTTTCACAGGCTAAAATTAAGATAAAGGAAATGACCTGGCCAAGACTAGAGAAAATAGAGTTCATTTAAGATACAGGGGAGCGTCCTGCCCAAGGATAAAAGTAGTAATAACTGGTAAAGAACATTTCGTGCTTTTAAAAATGTAACTTCAAATAGATAAATTATGTGGCATGGAAATTATCTCAATAAATTTGTTATTTTTTTTAAAGTGTGAGCTAGGCATGGTGGCTTATGCTTGCAATCTCAGCACTTTACGGGGTGAGGCAGGAGGATTACTTAAGGCCAAGAGTTCAAGACTAGCCTGGGCAACATAGGGAGACTCCACCTCTACAAAAAAAAAAAAAGTTTAAATTACCTGGGCATGATAGCACCTGCCTGTAGTCCCAGCTACTTGGGAGGCTGAGGTGGGAGGTTAGCTTGAGCCTGGGAGATCAAGGCTGCAGTGAGCAGTGAGTGATAGCCCACTGCACTCCAGCCTGGGCAACAGAGTGATACCCTGTCTCAAATAAATACGTAAATAAAGGTGTGTCAAGCTGGGCAACGTGTGACTACTTACAATTCCGTTAACATGATTAGTTCAGTTGTCTCTAAAAGAGTACCCCCAAACTCCCTCACTCGGTAGGTAAAGTTTACTTGTGTCTGGGAACTTCTCTGTTGTAATACATCGGGAGTTTTATGAATACATAAAAAACAACAGCAGGGAAACTGGGAGCTAGGTCTATAAAGAAGAGGTCTTCCCCCATTTTTGCTCTTCAAATTTATTTGATAAAATTTTATACGGTGCTGTGGGGGAAGGAGGCTTTTGTCTGAAAGATCAGGTTTCTTCAGAGGATGATCTAGGGCCAAAATCTACCTAGTCAAAGAGAAAACGATCTGGGGTACAAAAGTCAAGTCAGTTCTGGACAGACCCCAGAAGGTTTATCATAAAATGATCACAGAAGACCTTTCTCTTTGCTACCCCCAAATTGGACTGTACGCCCCATGTCACTTCCGAAGGTTACTCGCGAAGACGGATGCTTTGCCAAGATCCCAGAAGTTTCTGGCGAGCTGCTCACGGACACAAATTAGAAAGACATTCAGGGACCGACCTGGGTGAAGCTAAGCGCCACGTCCAGCGCTGGGTTCCCCCTTCATCCCTCCCAATATAGGAAAAGGGACAGAAGAGGGCAGCAGCCAAGCAGGAACGCCCAATCAGCCGTCTTCACCCCCCCTCCCCTGAGCCAGGTTTCGGGGAGCCGCCCCCTAGCCCTCACGTAGGCCCATTCCCACCCGCCCCTGCCCTGGGCCCGCGACCCCAGGGAGGAGGGGACGACGGCGGCGAGCGCCCCCACCGGCAGCAGGCGCACCTCCCCAGGGGCAGCTGTCGCCGCGGCCCGCGGGGCCCGGGCCTCCCCGGGAGCAATAGGCTATCGATTCAGCTGCCTGTCGCTAGGAGCCCCGGGAGAGCGAGGCCTACACCGCCCGGCCGGAGCCCCGGCCTCGATTTCGCCACTTTCCCCAAACCAGAGGGAGAGCCCGGGGGCAACCAGGCCCGTCTGGGCGAGAGGGAGGAGAAGCAGAGACCACTTGCAACAGCGGCCGCGGGAAACGGGGTGCGGGGCGCCGGGCTCCCGCCAACAAGTCTCCCGGGGGTCCCCCACCCTACCGCCTGCCTCGCAAGTTGCGCATTCAAGTTCAGGCTGGTGCCCTTTAGCCTCCACAGCCCTCGCCACTCTCGAAACTGTATTAAAAACAAGACGCAGAAGAGGCCACAACCGAACGAAAGGCGATGGTGCTGGGCCTCTAAGAGCGCCGAGGGGGGCGGCCCACAGCGACCCTACCGCCCCAGTCACTTCCCCTCTGCAGACCCCGCCAGCCCCCGGGTCGCAGCCCCCGGCCCCTCGGCGTCCGGGTCTGTCACCGCCCGCTTCCCAGCCCCAAGACCCCTTTTCCTTAACGCCGGCGACGGGGGCTTCAGCTCCCCCTTGCCTCCGGCGCTCCTCGGCCTCCTCACCCTCCACATCCCCAAAATGCCCCCAGCACCTTTTAAAGTACGCGGAGGAAGAGTTTGCCGTCAAACTTTGTAGAGCGGTAACCTCGCCCCCCTCCCCGACCTACACTTTCAGGGCAGGCATCAGGAGAGATCACTTTGCACTTGGGATAAAGCGAATTAAGGAGCTGTCAACCATTTTAGGTCTTTTTTATAGAAGACATCCTCTCCTTCCCCTCCCCCTGCAATGGTTTTAATTTGACACCAAACCTTCCCACCGCAGAAGGGGGTAGAGAAAGGGAGGGGGTGGGGACAGAGGGCAGGAGGAGGGTGACGGGGGAGAGCGAGAGGGGGAGGCTGGGAGGGTGCGGGGAGGCGCGGGGAGGGGAAGGGGGTTGATTTACCTGAGACCAGCCACTGGCCTCCATTGTTGGAGAATTCAATGGCATTGACACAGCCGAAGTGGCCGAGGAGGTCCTTCTTGTAGAGGTTTCTGCAGCCCCGCAGGCGTCTCCTCTGAAAGTCCTGAGTGAGCAGGGGGTCCCCATGCAAGCCCCGCTGGGACAAGAAGCCCACCACTGACCTCATGCTGCCCCCCAGGCCAGCTCTCCTCTTCATGCTGGAACCGCCGCCGCCGCCGCTCGCGCCGCCGCCCCTCCCTCGGCCTCACGCGCGGCCGCTGCTCCCCCCACCCGGCCCTCCCCCCGCGCTGCGATCCGGATGGTTCTTTAACCAGCCATGGCAGGCAGAGCGAGGTGTGCAGACACTCGGCGGCGTTCGCGGCTTCCTGACGGTCCCCTCCCTCTCCTTCCCCCCGAGGCTCCTCCCTCTGCCTCTCCGCCTCCTCCAGCAGCTGATCCTCAGCTGCCGCCGCGCTTCCGCGATGCGCGGCCCTTCCGCCGGCTGCGGGGCCCCGAGAACGCGGCGTCGGCGCCCCTCCCCTCCGCGGGGGGCTGGCCGGAAGAACGCGGGCGGCCGGCCCGGAGACCACGGGCGCCGGCTGCTTTCCCAGTTGAGCCGCTTCCCGCCTGGGGACCTGGGTGGCGCCGGGCGGAGACCCCTCTGCACCCCAGCGCCCCGCACTCCGCGGAGTTGAATGCGCGTAACAATCCGAGTGGCCGCCGGGCTTTGGCTCGCCTTCCTCCCGCGGGGACCCGCGGGCCGGCTGCTGCCCGGAGGCCAGCGCCCGTACGAGTTCGGGGAAAATGCGGCTGGAGTGGGGGAAGGTGCGGGCGGGGGCTCCGGCCCTCCTTCCTCTGCTGGCCTCTGCCTTGGGCAGTCCGGCCCTGCCCGAGGCGGGGGAACCGGGAGGTAGGGCCGCACACTTGGAGGAACGTTGCCTGGGGGTTTTGTTCGCGCACCCGCCCCTTCCCCTCTCCCGGTAAATGTTTAACACCACCGCTCATCCCCAAGTCCAGTTCTCTAACTCTTCCTTCCTCCGGTCCTTTAGTTGAAAAAGGCTAAATTGTTCCGTCTGGCAGATTAGAGTGGTACATGGGGGGAAAGAGAAAGGGATAAAGAAGTAGGAAGAAAATTGCCAAAACCGAGTTGATGAAGTCCCGAGAAGCACGAGGTACTTCTCTCCGTTCCAGATAAATTTGCACGACACAAGAAGCGTGATTTGAAACTAACGATATATGTTATTTAATTGGGTTCGGTGAGCTCCTCTTAAAGGTCTCGAGTGGGGAGCACTGAGGTTGGACAGCTGTTAACCAGCAGCTGCGCTCCAGGCCAGAAGTGGCTGCACTTCAGTAGGATGGGAGTCACCGCGTTGACCCTAGTGGGTGTTAAATGCTTTGGAATTCTACCAGATACAGTTAAAAGTCCCCTTTTCGATGTATTATAGTACTTTTCCTGGAAGCTATCCTCTGTCATTAAGTGGTAATAAGCTACTGAAATAGGCACTTGTCAGTTTTGCCCTTTCAAGTTAGCAGGAATTACATCCTCTGGACCAGAGATGGCACAGGAGCAGTTGAGTAGAATCATCATTGAAAGATGGGCTGTACATCTCTGATCTGGGGAAAATAATAATAATTTTTTTTAAAAAAAAAGATCGGCTGAACATGGAAGAGGTTTACCCGTCAAACAAAATTATTTACTTCTACTTTTTGTTCAGTGACAATACGATTAATCGTACTAATAACAAATATGCAAATGTTTCATATAAAAGTACATATTCTAGCAAACATTACTAAACAGAAACCAAATTCCATCAGAACTTGGGGAAAAGGGCAAAAAATAAATAAATTTTTAAAAGAAAGAAATCAAATTCCAAAAATGTGAATTTTAATGGAATATTGTTCCCCTAAATAGGAAACTATGTGGTACTTAAAAGGTTTTATCCTCAGGATGCCTTCTAATAATCCTTTGTGTTTATTCATTATAATCACCACCTAAAAATTAGTAGCAGTATACCAGCTTTATTAAAGATGTATAGCACCAAACATCCTTCTGTCATTGCAATGTCAAAATGTGTAATTAATCATTTATTTTTGTGATGATATGAGTCTCCCCACTCTGCTGTAAGTTCTCTGAGAGCAGGGACTACGTCTGTTCTGCTCAAGGGTGTATGCCTGGAGCCAGTACTTGCTGGCACTAGTGGCCGCTTTAATACTTGCTGAATTCATGAATGTACTTAGGGAGTGGGGAGGAGTTTGAAGGGAAAGGTCGTGCTTTCCGGTTTGGATATGTTGAGTTTGACCTGTTTCATTCCAGTGGAATCCACTTGTTCCAAGGCCAGTTTCCCTGCTCACTGTTCCTTTGCTTGGCATACTCAGTCCACACATTCAAAACCCCCTCTAACTTCTTCCAGTTAATAGGCCATCATTTATACCTATTTGCCTGGGGTGGGGGAGATTTGTTCGAAGTGGCCTTTACTGTGGCAGTGTATAATACGCATCCTCCTCTGCCCTCTTAAGCACATACCCCCTTTACAGTTTTTACTGAATTCCTGGGAAAATTGTCCCATTTACCTCAGCATAAAAATAGACCAGCATCTGGTCACATGCCAGCCCAAATCTAGGACTTTGCTGGAAACTTCCTTAACTGTTGGGTGACCAACAGTGACAGAAAGGTAGGACCACCTAGTCTGTTTATATCCTACTGCTAGTCTGGCCAGATTTTTATAAGCCTGAATGAAATATCTTCCTATTCCTATAATTAAGAGTTGTCGGATAAAATGGAGGATACCCAATTTGGTATGAATTTCAGATAAACAATGAATGTTTAAGTATACCCCATGAAATATTTGAGATATACTAATATTGTTTATTTGAAACTCGAATTGGGCATCCTGAATTTTTTATTTGCTCAATCTGGCCACCTACTTATAACCAACTTCAAAAGATGAAACTCCATAATATCAATTTGCTTTTACTAGGAATTTAACATAGTCCCTTGTGTCATTTATTGCAAACTAATAATATGGTACATAACTACCTACCACAAACTTTTTTTACCACACCTGTAACAAAATTGCAATACCACAAACATTTAATCAGCTTTGATGACCACATGAGCTTTGTGTTTTTCATATAGGCATTTATAGTGAAAAGGCCAGTGTACTTAGCTTTAAAATAGCAAATGAAATTACTTCTGAGTAAATTGAACCACTGCAGAGAATGTATGGAGGAAGAGGGAGAAGAGTGAAAAACTCATATTTTTCTTTCCTAAACCCAGAAACTTATGTGTATTAACATTCATACTTAGGAAGCCTTGAAACACTGATTTGGAAATTCATTCTGGAAAAACAAAGATATGGAAATTGCTTAACCCAAGAACTCTTAATTGCTTCACCATAGGTTGAATACTGGTCAAATGTAGAATTCCCAGAAATGTATTTACTCTTTGACTTCTATTTTGTTTGACTCCAATATTGCTGAAGATAGAGTAAGGAATCTTTAAAAACTGATTGAATGCTAAGGAAATGCTCAAACATTAGAAACTGTGTTTTTAAAATTTATTTATTTATTTTGAGACAGGGTCTGACTCTGTCACCCAGGCTGGAGTGCAATGGTGTGATCTTTGCTCAGTGCAGCCTTGACCTCCCAGGCTCCAGTGATTCTCCTACCTCAGCCTCCTGAGTAGCTGGAACTACAGGTTCACACTGCCACACTCAGCTAATTCTTGTATTTTTTGTAGATGGGGTTTCTCCATCTTGCCCAGGCTGCTCTCAAACTCTTGGCTCAAATGATCCTCCAGCCTTCACCTCCCAAAGTAAAGGGATTACAGGCATGAGCCACCTAGCCTGGCTGTTTTTTTGTTTGTTTGTTTTGTTTTTTTAACTGAGAAAATACTAAGCCCTTCTGAAACTTTTATTAAATCTTAGCATATTGAGTACTACATATGGATACTAATATGCTCAGAAATGTTTTATTCAAAATATTTTCAACTTTAAAATAAACCACTATTCATAAAAAGAGATGTTAATTCATGCAGAGATCAATGCCTCAAATATACATATGATTTAACTGTAACATTTATTTTTAACTTTTTAAAGACAGGGTCTCTCTGTTGCCCAGGCTGGAGTGCAGTGGTAAAATCATAGCTCACAGCAGCCTGGAACTCCTGGACTCAAGTGATCCTCTCACCTCAGCCTCCTGAGTAGTTGGGACTACAGGTGTATGCCACCATGCCTGGCTAATTTTTTAAAAAGTGTTTTACCATTTTGTTGCTCAGGCTGATCTTGAACTCCTGGCTTTAAGCTATCCTCCTTGTCCTCCCAAAGTGCTGTGACTACAGGCATGAGCCACCTCGGCCTGTCAACATTTAAATTTTAAAAGGTAAATTATTTATTGGTCATCTCAAATAGACAACAGTCACTTTTAATGTTGGGGAGAAAAGAAACTGATTTACTTAAATTTGTGTTCTTCCAGCAAGATCCATAGGACATATAGCTTTTCATTTTTTAATAACTTTATTGAGATATAATTGACATAAAATTCACCTTTTAAAGTGTACAATTCAGTGGTTGTTAATATATGCACAAAGTGGTATAACCATCACCATCTAATTCCAGAACATTTCACCACTCCAAAAAAGAAACCCCATATATATTAGCAGTCTCTCACCATTCCTCCCTCCCCTCAGCTGCTGACAACCACTTATCTAATTGCTATCTCGATGGATTTGCCTATTCTGCATTTTTTTTTTTTTTTTGAGACAGAGTCTGGCTCTGTAGTCCAGGCTGGAGTGCAGTGGCATGATCTCAGCTCACTGCAACCTCCGCCTCCCAGGTTCAAGTGATTCTCCTGCCTCAGCCTCCACAGTAGCTGGGATTACAGGTGTACACCAGGACACCCAGCTAATTTTTTATATTTTTGGTAGAGATGGGGTTTCACCATGTTGGCCAGGGTGGTCTCAAACTCCTGACCTCAAATGATCCACCTGCCTCAGCCTCCCAAAGTTCTGGGATTACAAGCATGAGCCACCATGCCTGATATATTCTGTATATTTCATAGGAGTGAAATCATACAATATGTGTAGTCTTTGTAATCTGGCTTCTTTCATTTAGCATAATGTTTTCAAGGTTCATCCATGTTGTAGCATGTATCAGTACTCCATTTTTTTTTAGACCAAATAATATTCCACTATATGGATATATCATATTTTGTTTATCTGTTCATTAGCTGATGGGCATTTGGGCTGCTTCCATTTTTTGGCTATTATGAATAATAATACCACTATTAACGTGTGTACAACTTTTCTGTGGGCAAATGTTTTTATTTCTCTTGGGCATTTTATGTAGTAGGACAATTTTGGGGCTATATGGTAACTTTATGTTTAACTTTGTGAGGAAGTGCCAAACTGTTTTGCATATCAGCTGACCATTTTACATTCCACAGGTTGTATGAGGGTTCCAATTTATTTATTTATTTATTTATTTATTTATTTATTTTTATTTATTTTTTTGAGACAGAGTCTCACCCTGTTGCCCAGGCTGGAGTGCAGTGGTGCAATCTCGGCTCACTGCAACCTCCGCCTCCTGGGTTCAAGCAATTCTCCTGCCTCAGCCTGTTGAGTGGCTGGGATTACAGGCACGCGCCACCACGCCCGGCTAATTTTTGTATTTTTAGTAGAGACAGGGTTTTGCCATGTTGGTCAGGCTGGTCTTGAACTCCTGACCTTGTGATCCCCCTGCTTCAGCCTCTCAAAGTGCTGGGAGTATAGGCGTGAGCCACCGCGCCTGGCCGAGGGTTCCAATTTTTTTACATCCTTGCCAATTATTGTTATTGTCCAACTTTTTAAATTATGACCATACTAGTAGGTGAAGTAGTTTCTTCTTATTGTTTTGATTTGCAATTCCCTGATGTCTGTTGATGTTGAGCATCTTTTCTTATGCTTATTGGCCATTTGTTTTTGTTTGTCTGTTTAAGTTGGAGTCTCACTCTGTTGCCCAGGCTGGAGTGCAGTGGTATGATCTCGGCTCACTGCAACCTCCATCTCCCGGGTTCAAGTGATTCTTGTGCCTCAGCCTCCCAAGTAGTTGGAATTATAGGTGTGTTCCACCACACCCGGCTATTTTTTATATTTTTAGTAGAGATGGGGTTTCACCATGTTGCCCAGGCTGGTTTGGAACTCTTAGGCTCAAGTGATCCACTTGCCTTGGCTTCCCAGAGTGCTGGATTACAGGCATGAGCTACCAAGCCCAGCCTTATTGCCATTTATGTATCTTCTTTGGAGAAATGTCTCTTTAGACCTTTTGGCCACGTTAAAAATTGAATTGTCTTTTTATTGCTGAGTTGTAAGAGTTTTTTTTACATATTCTAGATGTAAGTCTTTTATCAGATATTTGATTTGCAAATACTTTTTCCCATTCTTTGGGTTGTCTTTTCACTTTCTTGATTGTATTCATTGAAGCACAAAAGTTTTTAATTTTGATAAGCTCCAGTTATCTGTTGTTTTCTTATGTCACTTGTGCTTTTGGTATCATATGCCTACTCTATGGTCAATTTTTTTAAGAAGAAACCACTGCCTAATCCAAGGTTACTTCTTGTGAACCTAATCCAAGGTTCACTTCTATATTTATTCTAAGAGTTTTATACTTTTTAGCTCTTACGGTTATGTCTGTGATCCAGTTAATTTTGTGTATGGTGTGCGGTAGAGGTTCAACTTCATTATTTTGTATGTGGACATCCAGCCATCCCAGCACCACTTGTTTAGGAGATGATTCTTTCCTCCATTGAATTGCTAAATGTATAGAAATACAACAAATTTTTGTATATTGATCTTGTACCCTGCAAACTTGCCTAACTCATTTATTAATCTTAATTTTTTAATGAATTCCTTAAATGTCCTATATACCAGATCATGTCATCTGTTAATAGAAATAGTTTTACTCCTTCGTTTTCAATCTGGATGTCTTCTACTTCTTTTTCTTACTTAATTGGCTTGGCTGGAAACTCTAGCACAATGTTGAACAGAAGTATCAAGAGCAGACATCTTGCCTTGTTTCTGATATTGAGGAAAGTTTTAGTCTTCTAGTTACCATTAAATATTATATTAGCTTTTGATTTTACATAGATACCATTTATTAGGTTGCAGAAGTTTTCTTCAATTCCTATAGATTTTTTTTATCTTGCAAAGGTGTTGGATTTTGTCAAGTGTTTTTTGTGTATTGAAATGAGATGATCATATGGTTTTTATCCTTTATTCTATTAATATAGTATATTATGTGGATTGATTTTCATATGTTAAGCCAATTTTTCATTCCTGAAATAATTTTGATCATGGTGTATAATCCTTTTTGCATGTTGCTGGATTCACTTTGCTAGTATTTTGTTGAGGACTTTTTGTGACTATATTCATAAGGAATTTTGGTCTATAGTGTTTGTTTCTTGTGATGTCTTTGCATGGTTTTGGTGTTAGGGTAATACTGGCCTCGTAGAATGAGTTGGGAAGTCCATCCTCTATTTTTTGCATAGTTTGTGAAGGATTAATGTTAATTCTTTTTTAAACATTTGGTAAAATTCACAAAGGAAGCCATCTGCCCTGGGCTTTTGTTTGTGGGAAATTTTTTGATTATTGATTCAATCCCTTGTTATACTTCTGTTCAGATTTTTTATTTCTTTTTATTCTGTTTTGGTAGTTTGTGTGTTTCTAGGAATTTGTCCGTTTTATCCAGGTTATCTAATTTGTTTTCATGTTCACAGTGTTCCCTTATAATCCCTTTTATTTCTGTAAGGTTAGTGGTGGTGTCACCTCTTTTATTCCTAATTTTAGTAATTTGAGTCTTCTCTCTTTTCTTAGTCAGTCTAGCTAAAGGTTTGTCAATTTTGTAGATATTTTGAAAGAACCTACTTTTGGTTTTATTGATTCTATTGTTTTTCTCTTCTCTATTTCATTTGTTTCTGCTCTGGCCTTTACTGTTTCCTTCCTCCTGCTTGCTTTGGTCTTAGTCTTCTTTGTCTAATTACTTAAAATGGAATATTATGTTTACTCTAGAGTAGTATAACCATGGAAAATATCCTTCAAACATGAAGGAGAAATTCTTTCCCAGGCAAACAAAAGCTGAGGGATTTCATCAACACCAGACCTGTCCTACCAGAAATGCTAAAGGGGGCTGGGCACAGTGGCTCATGCCTGTAATCCCAGAACTTTGGGAGGCCGAGGTGGGCAGATTGCCTGAGGTCAGGAGTTGGAGACCAGCCTGGCCAACGTGGTGAAACCCCATCTCTACTAAAAATGCAAAACTTAGCTGGGCATGGTGGTGGGCGCCTGTAAGTCCAGGTACTCAGGAGGCTGAGGTAGAATTGCTTGAACCCAGGAGACGGAGGTTGCAGTGAGCCAAGATCATGCCACTGCACTCCAGCCTGGGCAACAGAGCAAGACTCTGTCTCAAAAAAACAAACAAACAAAAAACCAAAGAAATGCTAAAGGAGTTACTTCAAACAGAGAGAAAAGGATGATAATTAGCAACAAGTAATCACCTGAAGGTAGAAAACTCACTGGTAATGGTAAGTACACAGAAAAACACAGAGTATTTAACACTGTAACTGTGTTGTGTAAATTACCCTTATCCTAAGTACAAAGATTAAACAATGAACCAATAAAAGTAATAACTACAACAACTTTTTGAGACATTCATAGTATAATAAGATATAAATAGAAACAACAAAAAGTTAAAAAACGGGGATGAAGTTAAGGCATAGAGTTTTTAGTAGTTTTCTTTTTGCTTGTTTGCTTATGCAAACAGTGTTAAGTTGTTATCATGTTAAAATAATGGGTTATAAGATAGTATTTGTAAGTCTTATGGTAACCTCAAACCAAAAAACATGCAATGCATACACACAAAAAATAAAAACAACCAGAAAACAAATACCAAAATGGCAGGAGTATGTCCTTACTTATCAATGACAACTTCGAATGTAAATGGAGTAAACTTTCCAATCAAAAGACACAGAGTGGCTGAATGGATGGAAAAACAAGACCCATTGATCTGTTGCTTACAAGAAACACACTTCACCTATACAGATACACTAAGGGGATGGAAAAAGATATTCCATGCCAATAGAAACCAAAAAAGAGCAGGAGAAGCCAAACTTATATCAGGCAAAATAGATTTCAAGACAAAAACTATAAGAAGAGACAAAGAAGGTCACTATATAATGACAAAGGGATTGATTCAGCTTGAGGATATAACAAATTTAAATATAGATGAACCCAACACTGGAGCACCCAGATGTATACATAAATATTATTAGCGCTAAAGAGAGAAATAAGCTCCAATACAATAATAGTTGGAGACTTCAATACCCCACTTTTGGCATTGGACACATCTTCCAGACAGAACATCAACAGAGAAATATTGGACTTAATCTGCACTGTAAACCAAATCTAATAGCTATTTACAGAACATTTCATCCAATATCTTCAGAATACACATTCTTTTCCTCAGCACATGTATTATTCTTAAGGATAGACCATATGGTAGATCACAAAACAAGTCTTAAAACATTCAGAAAAACTGAAATAAGATCAAACATCTTCCCTGACCACATTGGAATAAAACTAGAAATTAGTAACGAGGAATTTTGGAAACTACACAATGCATATAAATTAAACAACATGCTCCCAAATTACTGTGGGTCAATGAAGAAATTAAGGAAATTTTAAAAATTCTTGAAACTGGGCCAGGCACAGTGGTTCATGCCTGTAACCCCAGCACTTTGAGAGGCCAAGGCAAGCAGATCACTTGAGGTCAGAAGTTCAAGATCAGCCTGGCCAACATAGTGAAAACCAATCTCCACTAAAAATACAAAAATCAGCTGGGCATGGTGGCAGGCACCTGTAATCCCAGCTACTCGGGAGGCTGAGGCAGGAGAATTGCTTGAACCTGGGAGGCAGAGGGTGCAGTGAGCCAAGATGAAGCCACTGCACTCCAGCCTGGGTAATGGAGTGAGACCCTGTCTCAAAAAAAAAAAAAAAAACAATAAAAAAATTCTTCAAACAAATGATAGTGGAAACACAACATACCAAAACCTATGGGATACAGTAAAAACAGTACTAAGAGGGAAGTTAATAGCTGTAAGTTCCTACATCAAAGAAGATAATAAACTTAAACAATCTAATGATGCATCTTAAAGAACTGGAAAGGCAAGAGCAAACCAAACCCAAAATTAGTAGAAGAAAAATAATAATAAAAATCAGAGCAGAAATAAATGAAATTGAATGGAAGAAAACAATTCAAAAGATAATGAAACAAAAAAATGTTTTTTTGAAAAGTTGAACAAAATTGACAAACCTTTACCCACACTAAGAAAAAAAGAGACAAGATACAAATAAATTCAGAAATGAAAAAGGAGACATTACAAATGATATTGCAGAAATTCAAAGGATCTTTAATGGCTACTATGAGCAACTATACGCCAATAAATTGGAAAATCTAGAAGAAATGGACAGATTCCTAAACACACACAACCTATCAAGTCTGAACCATGAAGAAATCCAAAACCTGAACAGACCAATAACAAGTAATTAGATTAAAGTCATAATAAAAAGTCTCCCAATAAAGAAAAGCCCAGGACCCAATGGCTTCACTGCTGAATTCTACCAAACATTTCAAGAAGAACTAATACCAATCCTACTTAAACTATTCCAAAAAATAGAGGAGGAGGGAATACTTCCAAATTCATTCTACAGGGCCAGTATTGCCCTGATACCAACACCAGAAAAAGACACATTAAAAAAGGAAAACTACAGGGCAATATCACTGATGAATATTGATGCAAAAATTCTCAACAACATACCAGCAAACTGAATTCAACAATACATTAGAAAGATCATTCATCATGACCAAGTGGGATTTATCCCTGGGATGCAAGGATGGTTCAACATATGCACATCAATCAGTGTGATACATCATATCAAGAGAATGAAGGATAAAAGCTGTATGATCATTTCAATTGATGCTAAAAAGCATTTGATAAAATTCAACATCTTTTCATGCTAAAAACCCTCAAAAAACCGGGTGTAGAAGGTACATACCTCAACATAATAAAGACCATGTATGACAGACCCACAGCTAGTATCGTACCGAATGGGGAAAAACTTAAAGGCTTTCCTCTAAGATCTGGAATGCAATAAGGAGGCCTACTTTCACCACTGTTGTTCAACATAGCACTAGAAGCCCTAGCTAGAACAATCAGACAAGAGAAAGAAATAAAGGGCATCTAAATTGGAATGGAAGAAGTCAAATTATCCTTGTTTGCAGATGATATGATCTTATATTTGGAAAAACCTGCAGATGCCATGAAAAAAAACTGTTAGAACTGATACATTCAGTAAAGTTGCAGGATACAAAATCAACATATAAAAATCTGTAGCATTTCTACATGCCAACAGTGAACAATCTGAAAAAGAAATTTAAAAAGTAATTCAATTTACAATAGCCACTAATAAAATTAATTACCTCGGTATTAACCAGAGAAGTGAAAGATCTCTACAATGAAAACTATAAAACACTGAAGAAAGAAATTTCGGAGGACACCAAAAAATGGAAAAATATTCCATGTTCATGAATTGGAGGAGTCAATACTGTTACTACCCAAAGTGATCTATAGATTCAATGCAATCCCTATCAAAATAAAATACCAATGACATTTTTCACAGAAATAAAAAAAAATAATTCTAAAATTTGTATGGGACCACAGAAGACCCAGAATAGCCAAAGCTATCCTGAGCAAAAAGAATAAAACTGGAAGAATCACATTACCTGACTTCAAATTATACTACAAAGTGATAGTAACCAAAAGAGCATGGAACTGGGATAAAAACACATAAACCAATGGAACAGAATAGAGAACCCAGAAACAAATCCACACACCTACAGTGAACTCATTTTTGACAAAGGTGCCAAGAACATATACCGGGGAAAAGACAGTCTCTTCAATAAATAGTGCTGGGAAAACTGGATGTCTATATGCAGAAGAATGAAACTTGACCCTTGTGTCTCACTGTATACAAAAATCAAATCAAAATGGATGAAAGACTTAGATCTAAGACCTCAAATTATAAAACTACTACAAGAGAACATTAAGGAAAATTTCCAGGCCACTGATCTGGGCGAAAATTTCTTGAGTAATATCCAACAAGCACAGGCAACCAAAGCAAAAATGGACAAATGGGAACACATCAAGTTAAAAAGCTTCTGCACAGCAAAGGGAACAATCAGTAAAGTGAAGAGATAACCTACAGAATGGGAGAAAATAATTGCAAACTACCCATCTGATAAGGGATTAATAGCCAGAATATATAGGAAGCTCAAACAACTCTGTAGGAAAAATTCTAATAATTTGATCAAAAAATAGGCAGAATATTTGAATAGACACTTCTCAAAAGACATACAGATGGCAGACAGGCATATGAAGAGGTGCTCAACACCACTGATCATCAGAGAAATACAAATTAAAACTATAATGAGATATCATCTTACCCTAGTTAAAATGTCTTATATCCAAATGACAGGCAATAACAAATGCTGGCGAGGATGTGGAGAAAAGGAAACCCTAGTACACTGTTAGTGAGAACGTAAATTAGTACAACTACTATGGAAAACAGTTTGGAGGGCCGGGTGTGGTGGCTCATGCCTGTAATCCCAATACTTTGGGAGGCCAAGGCAGGTGGATTTCTTGAGGCCAGGAATTTGAGACCAGCCTGGCCAACATAGCAAAACTCCATCTCTACTAAAAATACAAAAATTAGCTGGACGTGGTGGTGCACAGCTGTAAACTCAGCTACTCAGGAGGCTGAGGCACAAGAATCGCTTCAATGCAGGAGGCAGAGGTTGCAGTGAGCCAAGATTGTGCTACTGCACTCCAGCCTGGACCACAGAGTGAGACTCTGTCTCGAAAAAAAAAAAAAAAAAGAAAAGAAAGCAGTTTGGAGTTTCCTCAAAATACTAAAGGTAGAGCTACCATGTGACCCAGCAATCCCACTGCTGGATCTTTCATATACTGATTTCCTTTCTTTTGGGAAAGAAAGGAAATCAGTATATGAAAGAGGTATCTGTACTCCCATGTTTGCAGCAGCACTGTTCACAATAGCTAAGATTTGGAAGCAATCTAAGTGCCCATCAACAGATAAATGGGTAAAGAAAATGTGGTACATATATACAATGGAGTACTATTCAGCCATAAAAAATGAGATCCTGTCATTTGCAATAACGTGGATAGAACTGGAATCATTATGTTAAGTGAAATAAGCCAGGCACAGAAAGACAAACATCGCATGTTCTCCCTTATTTGTGGGATCTAAAAATCAAAACAATTGAACTCATGGACATAGAAAGTAGAAGGATGGTTAGCAGAGCCTGGGAAGGGTAGTAGGTGGCTGGGAGCAGGAGAGGTGGGGGTGGTTATTAGTGAGTGCAAAAAAAAAATTAGAAAGAATGGATAAAACCTGCTATTTAATAGCACAACAAGGTGACTATAGTCAATAATAATGTAATTGTACATTTTAAAATAATCCACATTTATAGATCAGGCATATGGAAATGAACTTGAAAATGTAGGTAAAACTGGCTTCATCCCACTGTAGGAGAGGCAAGTCAATTCAACTGCCACTGGACAGAATTTACTTGCATGTCTATAGATAAGAATTATTTTGCACTCTGCTGTCAGTTATTTACAATTTACAGAGTTGTAAAATACCTCACAAGCAATAAAAGGGTAGAATCAGATACCTTGGAAAGGTGTGCTCTAAAGAATGTATAGTTTTCCCCTGGAAATACCAGTTACATTTTTGCTTATTCCAAATTTCCTTACACTTCTCATCCTTGAGGTATGTGAAAATTGAGAGCATAAAAAGCTACCGTTTAGGTGAGCAAAAGGGAAAATGTCTTTAAGAGACTGCCAGGTTTTAATAAAGGTAAGAAATTGGGGGAAATGCTTGAGAATGGCAGGGGCTTTTGCAGGTTATGGATCATTAGTTCCAGAGAACACAGTGGAAGAATTTGGAAGGGGAGGGAAGGGAAGGTAGGATGAGGCTGGGAGAGAAGTAATGTTGTAGGGAATATTATAGGCATAATAATTCATTCAGATGGCAATTCTTGAGCCAGATGTGGTACATGCCTGTAGCTCCAGTTACTAGGGAGGCTGAGGCAGGAGCACTGCGTGAGCCCAGGAGTTCAAGACTGCAATGCATTATAATCACACCTGTGAGTAGTCATTGCATTTCAACCTGGGCAACGTAGTGAGACTTCATTGCTTTAAAAAAAGAAAAAAGAGGCTGGGTGCGGTGGCTCATGCCTATAATCCCAGTACTTTGGGAGGCTGAGGCGGGTGGATCACTTGAGGTCAGGAGTTTGAGACCAGACTGGTGACCAATGTGGTGAAACCCCGTCTCTACTAAAAATACAAAAATTAGCTGGGTGAGGTGGCACACACCTCTAATCCCAGCTACTCAGGAGGCTGAGGCAGGAGAATCACTTGAACCCGGGAGGCAGAGGTTGCAGTGAGCCAAGATTGCGCCACTGCACTCCAGCCTGGGTGACAGAGCATGACTCCGTTTCAAAAAAAAAAAAAAAGAAGAAGAAGCAAAAAGAATGGCGCTTCTCAACTGGGGAAGGATGTTGCCCCTCTTCCCCTCTCCTTTAAGGTTGCCAGATAAGGCATAAACCAACCAGTTACATTTGGAATAAAGAAGTTTTTGGCTGGGTGCGGTGGCTCACACCTGTAATCCCAGCATTTTGGGAGGCCAAGGCGGGTGGATCACCTGAGGTCAGGAGTTCAAGACCAGCCTGGCCAAAATCGCAAAACCCCCTCTCTACTAAAAATACAAAAATTAGCCTGGTGTGATAGTGAGCACCTATAATCCCAACTACTCGGGAGGCTGAGACAGAGAGAATTGCTTAAAACCTAGGAGGCGGAGGTTGCAGTGAGCTGAGATCACACCACTGCACTCCAGCCTGGGCGATAGAGCAAGACTCAGTCTCAAAAAAAAAAAAAAAAAAAAAAAGAATTTTCTGTAAATGTGTTCTGATTTTTTGTTTTCACTTTGTTAAATCTGGCATTCCTAACCTAAGGGAACATTTGTCAATGTCTGGAGACACTTTTTGGTTGTCAAAACTGTGTATAGGAGGGGGTGCTGCTGCTGGCATCTAGTGGGTTCAGGCCTAAAATGCTGCTAAATTCTTACAATGCACTGGAAAACTCCTCACAAGAAAAGATTCTCCAGCTCAAAGTGTACATAGTGCCCAGGTTGAGAAACCCTGCATTCGAACAATGATCTCTACATTATTGAATCACAAACTTACCTTTAAATATTTTTCAACATGCACCCTAAGTTATTCATACATTAGAAGCATGTAATACAGTCCTAATATCTTGTGTACCTTTTAAAATGACAAAAATGTTTTAAAGTTAAAGGACAAAATGATGATGCTGCCGAAATAAACTCAGTATTTTAAAAAATATAACATTTTGTGTATGATGGCCCTATCTTGCCCTACAAGCCAGGCCCTACTTTGGGAATAGGCGTCATCCATTGACTTGGGGTGGCAGGGCCCAGTGGTCTGCTTCTAACTAGATTTGTCTGACACCTACTTTGGAGTCCATATGTGTTTGTCAAGCCAAATACCTGTTTTCTGTACTTCTCAAACTTGTGGAAGAGGCCTCAGGCACTTATCTCCTCAGCTTTTTCTAATCCAAGTATTCTTTGGCCCTGCTGAAGCCCTGGAGGGTCCTGTGGATCCAGCTGGAACTGGCCAGAACAGGCTTACTGAGGACTGTGTAGCCTTCAGTGTCGGAGGTTCATTTTCCTGGCCCCCAAAATCCTCTAGTGGCTGTCAGTGCAGTCTAACCCTGGCCTGACTGTCCCTCCAGCCTGGTACCATTTTACCCCACCCACACTCACTCTGCCCCCAGTATATCCTGAGGCCTCAGACCTAGCCTTCCTTCCTCTGTACAGAAAGCCTCTTCTCCACCCACCCGAACCGGGACACCATTGTATGGACCCACCTGAAGTGTTCCAGAGAAGACCACCTGTACTGATTGACAGACCTGAGAGAAGTGAACAGCTTTCCCACTGGAGGGTGATGCCACCTGGGCTGGTTCTAGTTAAAAGCCGGTGGCCTCGTGTTTGCTAGCAGCATGGGGTCACATGGAACTGACAAAGAAAGACTCTTATGGCCATTTTGGCCCCCTTCCCTGCCAGCACGTGGCAAGAGAGCCCCTAATATAAATGTAAGTGCATCTGCATGTGTGTTGGTGTGTGTGTGTTTGTTGCATTATGTTTATTTTATTTACTTATTTATTTTTTAAGAGACAGGGTC
This sequence comes from Homo sapiens, assembly GCF_000001405.40. Taxonomy (NCBI): domain Eukaryota; kingdom Metazoa; phylum Chordata; class Mammalia; order Primates; family Hominidae; genus Homo; species Homo sapiens. Next base: position 69,169,129 of record NC_000014.9, read on the forward strand.
TTGCTATGTTGCTCAGACTGCTGCAGAACTCCTGGCCTCAAGTGATTCTTCCATCTCAGCCTCCTGAGTAGCTAGTATTACAGGTGCCAGCCACCCTGCCTGGCTATATTTTATACATATATTTATGTATATTACTTTATATATACATATATGTAATTATATAGTATATGTATTTATTTGTGTGTGTGAATATATAGATAGATGTATGTGTGAAACATATTTATATACAGACATACACACATATGTATATGTTTCCTTCTTGCCTGCATGAAGAACCACCACCACAGACTGGCAGACAGTGCTACAACATTGTGTGTAAAATCATCTATATTCTAATTTTTATTTCTATGTTGATGCATATATTTATGTTACCTGTTTCTTTAAATACTTAAAATATACACACTTATGTATGCATATAAAAATTACATTTATTATCTGTACAAAGAAAACCCTCTTTTTTTGAGACAGAGTCTCACTCTGTCGCCCAGGCTGGAGTGCAGTGGCGTGATCTCTACTCACTGTAACCTCCGTCTAATGGGTTCAAGCCATTCTCCTGCCTCAGCCCCCTAAGTAACTGAGATTACAGTGTGTGCCACGATGCCCAGCTGCTTTTTGTATTTTTAGTAGAGACGGGGTTCCTTCAGGCCCGGCAGGCTGGTCTTGAACTCCTGACCTCAGGTTATCTGCCTGTCTCAGCTTACCAAAGTGCTGGGATTACAGGCGTGAGCCACCTGCCCAGCCTAAAAAAACCTTTTTTTTTTTGCTCTAATTTATTTTTAAGAGCAACTTTATTGACCCTGCTTTATTTCTGAAATTGTGGTTTAGCACATTACGATATTATAAATTTGAGGCCGGGCACAGTGGTTCATGCCTATAATCCCAGCACTTTGGGAGGCCGAGGCAAGTGGATCAGTTGAGGTTAGGAGTTCAAGACCAGCCTGGGCAACATGGTGAAACCCCGTCTCTGCTAAAAATACAAAAAATTAGCTGGGTGTGGTGGCACGTGCCTGTAATCCTAGCTACTCATGAAGCTGAAGCTGGAGAATTGCTTGAACCCGGGAGGTGGAGGTTGCAGTGAGCCAAGATCGCACAACTGCGTTCCAGCCTGGACAACAGAGTGAGACTCAATCTCAGTAATAATAATAACAATAATTTCAAAGGCTTGTTTCTATGATCTGTTTAGCTTATTACTTGATGGAAATAAACCTGACAAAAATATGAACTCTAAATGGAGGAATTATTGTCTAGGCTTACTCAATAATGAAATTGGTTTTTCAATTTCATTCACCAATTTGTGAAGGTTTTTACTGAAATTCAGCTAATTTTTATCTTCCATGATAGTCAGCTGTCTTTGCAATTAATCAGAAAACACTATATTTTTATATATGAGCATTTCTATAAGTTACATACTTATATAATTTTTAGCAAAAAGTCACACCAAAATGGAAACGCTTCCAAATATAATTTTTCGAAATACTCTTTTGCAATAGCTTTCCAAAAAGCAATTATTTCCCCACTTGTCAAATTATCAACCCTACCTTAAAGAAATGGAATTTTAAAATATTGCTTATTAGTATCTGTAAATAGCATATACTGACAGCCACATTATCATCGAAAAAGGCAACACAGTTTGAATGCTTGTCTTTTTGTCAAAGAAAAGTGCAAGTTATTTATAGATTCTATTTTTAATACTCTGACAAGAAAGACCAAGCAAACCTGTGAGTGAAGTCAAACATCTTCATCATCAATCACCATTTCATCATAGACTACTGTATTATAAAGATTCTGCTATGTAAAAGTCTTTTTTCTACAAAATTAGCATATTGATGTCATCCCTTAGGCACAAAAAAATATAATATGGGGAAGCACCACTATCATTCCATCTGTGCTGTGGAACTCCTATGTCTCTCTCAAGATATTGAAATGACTCATAACCAGCTGGCATCCAGACCAAATAAGGATGCCAGTGTCTATCTGCATATTAAATACTAGCAAAGGTGAACTTCTTTTAGATTTAAAAAATATAAATAGAAATCTAACATTGCCTTCCAGTGCCCTAATGGATCATCATGCATACCCTGGACGTGCCCATCCCACTCTGCTGTGGGACCCTTGTGTTAGAAAATGGGGTCACTGGACTATTTGTACTTCATTATGGAGGAATATGAAGCCTAAATGAGGTCAGTAAATTGAAGTCAGAGAGGCCTGGGTTAGAACTTCCTAAAATGTCTCCATCATTCATCAGCTAAGTAGTCTTATACAAACTGTATAATCACTGTGCTTCTGTTTTTACATTTGTAGAGCAGAATAATATTGTAAAGTAGAGATAATGACACCTCATGGAACTGAGAAAGGATTACATAAAGTAATTTTGTTAATAGGACCGTAACATCTTCTCTAAACCCTCAGAAATTGAGCATACTACCCACGCCCTTGCCCTTAGCCTTGACCTCCCCATCTGCTTCACAAGGATCATGGAAGCCATGAGTTGAGGACTCCAACCAGGTCTCTCTGAGGCAGGGGGCGGGACTCAATTCCAGAGATAGGGCTTAGACACTGGACCAGATTGAGGACTAGCTGAAATGGGGCCAGGGTGAAAGCAGTTTTCAATCAGACACATCCACCAGTATGCCATGTCAATTTACTGTTGCCATGGCAACACCCTGGCATTACCACTCCTTTCCATGACAATGATCCAATGACACAAAAATTACTACCCCTCCCCTAGAAATTTCTGCATAAACCGCCCCTTAATCTGCATGCAATTAAAAGTAGGTATAGGGTGGGCACCATAATCCCAGCACTTTGGGAGGCTGAGGTGGCAGATCACCTGAGGTCAGGAGTTTAAGACCAGCCTGGTCAACATGGCAAAACCCTGTCTCTACTAAAAATACAAAAATTAGCCAGGTGTGGTGGCGGGTGCCTCCCAGCTACTCGGGAGGCTGAGGCAGGAGAATCACTTGAATCTGGGAGGTGGAGATTGCAGTGAGCCGAGCTTGCACCACTGCACTCCAGCCTGAGTGACAGAGTGAGACTCTCTCTCTCTCAAAAAAAAAAAAAAGTGGGTATAAATGTGACTGCAAAACTGTCCTGGGCTGCTCCTCTGCCTGTGGGGGTAGCCTTGCTTGGAAGGAGCAGTCACAGAGCTGTAACACTGCCTCTTGAATAAAGCTGCTTTCCTCTATCTCTGGTTTGCCCTTGAATTCTTTCCTGAGCAAAGCCAAGAACCCTTGCAGGCTAAGATTCACTATGGGGCTCGCCTGCCCTGCGTCATCTCCACTGCAAAACTCCTTATCCAAGTACCATCTTATCCAAGAACCATCTCATGTTATTTTCTCATTTTATCTTTAACTCATTCCATCAGTTATCCCCACTTTCTACTACACATTAATCCACTCCAGTGCTACTAACCTTTCTCCTTAAGTTGTTAAGTTTGTCAAGTGTCTCCCAACATTGAAAAAAAATTTTTTAACTTAGGTAATAAGTTAAAATTCATATTTACCCCCTCTCCCAATCCCACTCACCCTCTGAGAGGAAACCATGATTAACAGTTTAGCATTTATATATTGTATTAGTCCCTTTTTACACTGCTATGAAGAGACACCCAAGACTGGGTAATTTATAAAGAATTTAATTGACTCATAGTTCCACATGGCTGGGGAGGCCTCAGGAAACTTACAATCATGGCAGAAGGGGAAGCAGGCACGTCTTAAATGGAGGCAGGTGAGACAGAGTGTGTGAAGGAGGAACTGTCAAACACTTATAAAACCATCAGTTCTGGTGAGAACTCACTATCATGAGAACAGCATGAAGGAAACCACACCCATGATCCAATCACCTCCCACCAGTTCCCTCCCTCAACACGTGGGGATTCTGGGGATTATAATCCGAGATGAGATTTGGGTGCAGACACAGAGCCAAACCATCTATATCTACCTCATTATTTTAAATTCCTGCATAGCATAGTGTCCCATAGTCAATAAATATCTCTTGAGCACACTGTTCTATGCCCTGACGATATGGCCTTGAACAAAGATGGATAATATTCCCTGCCCTTAAGAAGCTTATATTCTAAAGGCAGTGGGACACAGAAAGCAACTAAGGTAAACAAGTAAAAATATATAATTTTTTTTTGAGACAGGGTCTTGCTCTGTTGCCCCGGCTGGAGTGCAGCGGTGTAATCTCGGCTCACTGCAACCTCTGCCTCCTGGGTTCAAGTGATTCTCCTGCTTCAGCTTCCTGAGTACCTGAGATTACAGGTGTGTCCCACCCCGCCAGGCTAATTTTGTATTTTTAGTAGAGACAGGATTTCACCATGTTGGCCAGGCTGGTCTCAAACTCCTGACCTCAATTGATCCACCTGGTTTGGCCTCCCAAAGTGCTGGGATTTCAGGCGTGAGCCACTGCGCCTGGCATATAATATGTTTTTCCTCAGTCTCCCCAGTAGCTGGGACTACAGACCTGCACCACCAAGCCCATCTATTTTTTGTATTTTTAGTGGAGACGAGGTTTCACCATGTTGGCTAGCCTAGTTTGGAACTCCTGGGCTCAAGCAATCTGCCTGCCTCGGCCTCCCAAAGTGCACCACTGTGCCTGGCCTATAATACATTACATGGTGATAAGTACTATGGAATTTAAATAGGGTGGTTATGGAATATGTCGCTGAGAAAAGTGACATTTGAATAAAGATTTAAGGGAGGTGAGGGCGAAGCACTCATGGATATCTAGGGAAGAGCCTTCCAAGGAGAGGAAACATTGAGTGCAAATGTCCTGAGGCAGGAGAATGCTTGCCATTGAGTCACAGTTGCAGTATCCATATTTAGGCAATGCTAATACTTCTCAAATTCAGTCAAGGTCCTACCTGAATATATTGAAACCTAAAGACAAATTGTCAAGTCAATCATCACCAGCAATCATTACTATAAAACTATAAGGGAAATCAGAAGAGATTACCTTTTTTGTACACACATAAAAAGTTGGAAGAACATATGCATAGATGTTAGTGTGCTCATTTCTTTAAGTGGTCATGATGTCATAGTTGACATTTATAACTGCTGTTTTCCACTATACATTCATTATTTTCTCTTTTTTTTTTCTTTTTTGAGATGAGGTTTCATTCCTGTCACTCAGACTGGAGTGCAATGGTGCGACCTTGGCCATTCCTCGGCAACCTTCACCTCTAGGACCCAAGCGATTCTCCTGCTTCAGCCCCCTGAGTAGCCCATGCCCAGCTAATCTGTGTGTGTGTGTGTGTGTGTGTGTATGTGTGTATATATATATATATTTTGTAGAGACAGGGTTTCACCGTATTGCCTAGGCTGGTCTCCAACTCCTGAGCTCAAGTGATTCATCCGCCTTGGCCTCCCAGAGTGCTAGGATTATAGGTGTGAGCCACCATGTTTGTTCTGCACTTACTATTTTCTTTATCTTCCACAAGAACCTTTTTTTCTGGTCTAGGTTCTTTACCTGGTTGGGGAACCAAACCTTCATTCCTGCAGGATCTAAATTTTCTTCAGCATTCTGCTTTTTTCTGGTTGCCTTAATTTTCCATTAATCTTTCCTATTAAACATGGAGTGCTCAGAGGCTTCCCAGAGAATCTCTTAGATTCAAGAGAAACTCTTGGGTGCATGTCCTCATTGTGTAACAAAGACTCAATTCCCTTTTGGTAATTAGGATCAATCACTTCAGCCAGTTGAGCAATATCTTCTTGGCTATTGGTTCAGTGGCTCCTCAGAGCCCAAAATGGCCAGGTGGTATCTCAACTTCTCATTCAATGGAGCTAGTGTTGTGTTTCATGATAGAAGCATTTCTCTGTGGAAACAAAGTTCATCAAACCTGCAGAACTCAAAGTTGCAGAGGTGGGAATTAAAAATCCCACAAGTTGGTTATTAGGGGTAAGAATGAGAAAAGTCACTTACATGTCCAACCATTTATTCCTGGACCCATGCATTCTGGCTGTGGGAGAAACAGCATGATATACGGGAATATATATGGAATTTTGTAAAACAAAACTTCAGTCTTTCAGGATGCTATCTCTCAACAGGTGCTGGTGCTGAAACCAAGCCATCATTAGGCTAATCCATCATTCCACCAGGCTAGATGCTTCTGGGTAATGAGGCATGTGGAAAGATCATTTTTTCCTTTACATCATTGAATGTAGTTGCAAGATCTGCTTTTAAATCTTGACAATTGCAGCATTTATGTCATATCAGTGTCAGTCTCTGTTGATTATCTTTTCTCTTGAGAAGATGTGCTACATAGTTTTTTTCTTCATATGTCAAATAATTTTGTTTATTTCTGAGACAGGGTCTCCCTCTGTCACCCAGGCTAGAGTGCAGTGATGCAATCATGGCTCACTGCAGCCTTAAACCACTGGGCTCAAGTGATCATCCCACCTGACTCCTGAGTAGCTGGGATTACAGGTGTGTGCCGCCATGCTTGGTTAATTTTTTAAAATTATTTTTAGAGACGAGGTCACCCTATGTTACCCAGGCTGGTCTCAAACTCCTGGGCTCAAGCCATCCTCCTGCCTCAGCCTCCCAAAGCAGTAGGATTACAGGTATAAGTCACCACACCCAGCCATTTGTCAAATAATTGAGTTGTTTTCTGAACATTGCAAATGTTACGTTGTGAACACTAGATACTATTATGTTCCTTAAAGAGTTGAAAGCCAGTTGCAGTGGCACACGCCTGTAGTCCAAGCTACTTGAGAGGCTGAGACAGGATGATTGCTTCAGCCCAGGAGTGTAGTGTAGTGCACTATTATCCCACCTGTGAATAACCACTGTATTCCAGCTTGGGCAACATAGTGAGACCCTGTCTCTAAAAAAAAAAATGAAAAATAAAAAATAAAGTGTTGATTTGTTGTTATATGTTTGTTTTAGCATGCTATTAATTTGGTTGGACTCATATTGCAAACTCTGACTCTGGGCTGCAGAGTGAATCTCAGCTCACTTATTTTATCTTTGGTTGGGTTACTTGCAGTGTACCCAAAGCATGTATGGCTCAGGGGTTCTCCAGATCTCCAGAAAGTTGAATAGCTTTTTCTTCTTTTTCTTTTTTTTGTGTTTTTTGTGAGACAGTCTCGCTCTGTTGCCCAGCCTGGACTGCAGTGGTGCAATCTTGGCTGACTGCAACCTCTGCCTCTCAGGTTCAAGCAATTCTCCTGTCTCAGCTTCCCAAGTAGCTGGGATTACAGGCATGTGCCACCACACCTGGCTAATTTTGTCTTTTTTTAGTAGAGATGGGGTTTCACCATGTTGGCCAGGCTGGTCTCAAACTCCTGACCTCAGGTGATCTACCCGCTTTGGGATTACAGGTGTGAGCCATATCTGACCTCAATTGAGTTTTGATTGAGATTTATTTCATTGTTAGACTGGGGTTATGTGCTTTTGGGAGGAAAGCTATAGAGGTGAAATGCCATTCTCATGAAATCATATCAACTACACATACTGCCAGCGTGACTTATCGCCTTGATAAGTAGTGTTTGTCAGGTTTCTACACTGTAAAGCCACTCTTTATCCCCTTCTTTTTCATATTATACTCTGAAAGGGAGTCTATACATTGTCTCTTGACCCACATTGTCTTTGTCCTCTGTCACCCCAGGATCCCATCACCTCCATCAAAATCAGGGAACCCATCTCAACTATAACATCTTCCTTTATCATATCTACCTATAGAAAACAGCGACCATAGCGTTTACAAGGATATTGGTGCCCATCTGCTAATGTATTTCTCAGTGCCTTAGTGGAGAGCATGTCCTCTGGGATCTCTTAGGTGATATAGTGAGAGGGTGGCCATTCATATATTATAGATTCGCTCCAACATTTCTATCTCCTTAAACTTTGGGATTGCGTCTTCTAAATAATGCCACTAAGTTCTTGCATCTCAACACTATTGAAAGTAGCCTACTGCTGAAATAAAGTTTCAGGCAACCAACCAAGTAACTATTAGAGAGGTTTCCAGCTGCACAAGCTAACACATTAAAACCAGAATTTGTGGTAAAAGCACCCATGCTAACAATTCAACCAAATCCAGTGTTACATTCTGTCTTCTTAGTCTGTTTCCTTCTTGGAAAGGAAGAATCCTCCCTTTCACATGTTCTTCACATATCTGCAGATAAAAATTAGCAAAATATTGAAAGAATAAGTTATTTCTTCCCAGCCACACTGTGGAACATGCCGGGATCTAACCCTAGCTATAGATGTGGAGCTGTGGTTCTCAACTGGGGATGATTTGTTTCCCACAGTACATTTGGCAATGTCTGGAGACAATTTTGGTTGTCACAACTTGGAGGGGAAGGTGCTGCTGGATCTAGTGCGTAGAGGTCAGGAATATTGCTAAATATCGTACAACACATGGGACATCTCCCACAAAGAATTATCCAGCCCAACATGTTGGGAAATCCTGATCTACAGTTAACAATCGGTGGTTGGAGTTAAACTAGAGGAAAGTAGGCCGGGCGCCATGGCTCACACCTGTAATCCCAGCACTTTGGGAGGCCAAGGTGGGTGAATCACCTGAGGTCAGTAGTTTGAGAGACAAGGCTGGCCAACATGGCAAAACCCTGTCTCTACTAAAAATACAAAAATTAGCTGGGCGTGGTGGTGCGCACCTGTAATCCCAGCTACTCAGGAGGCTGAGGCAGGAGAATCGCTTGAACCTGGGAGGAAGAGGTTGCAGTGAGCCGAGATCGCGCCACTGCACTACAGCCTGGGCGACAGAGTGAGACTCCTTCTCAAAAGAAAGAAAGAAAGAAAGAAAAAGAAACTAGAGGAAAGTAGACATCCTTCAAGTGATTAAATTTGTTTTCTTTTTTCTTTAGAGATGGGGTCTCGCTATATTGCCCAGGCTGGTCTCAAGCTCCTGGCCTCAAGGTGTCCTCCCACCTTGGCCTCTCATAATGTTGGGATTACAGGTGTTAGCCACCATGCCTGACACAAATGATGTTATTCTAGTGCCTTTAAGGGAAGAAGGACTGCTTCTACTGGCCTTGTAGATGTTTAGAGAGTTTGGACATTGTAGAACTTCGACTTTCTTTGAGTCAACCCAATACTCCCATTCCCAGTTTCAGCGTTATGCCCCTCCCAGTCAGTGCCCTATTTTTCACTAGAGATATCTAGCAAGGATGTGAGATCAAATTGTATTGTAACTCTGAAAATTGCACAATTAAATTTTATGTTTGATTTTTAGAAAGATAAGTCTGGAGGTACAGGAAATAAGGAATTCTTTTAGGGCTGCTATAGAAGTTTTGTACTCTGTGACTTGAACTGAATGTTTTTTTGTTTGTTTGTTTTGCTTTTTTGCGACAGGGTCTCACTCTGTCTGTTGCCCAGGAAGGAGTGCAGTGGTGCAATCATGGCTCACAGCAGTCTTGATCTCCTGGGCTCAAGCGATCCTCCCACCTCAGCCTCCTAAGTAATGGAGACTACCAAAGAGTCTGGTACAAACCGGCCACCACGTGCAGTCAATTTTATATTTCACTATGTTGCCCAGGCTGATCTCAAACTCATAGGTGCAAGCAATCCTTCCACCTTGGCCTCCCAAAGTGTTGGGATTACAGGAGCGAGACACTGAGCCTGGCCTGAATTGAATGCTTAATAACCTGTACTTTTAATTTATAATAAGTTCCTCGGTGCATTCAAATAAAGCCATGAATAACCTAGAGTTGTTGTAGATATCATTGTCAAACAGTCAAATGTGGCTCCTAATTACTTGCTTTAGTAGGCACTTCGACAAAGTTGATTACAGACGATAAGTTGATTATTTGTGATACCACTACATTCCATTTCCCATTGACAAGTGGCTCAACATTGCATTTGAGTTTAAGGATATGACCAAATAAACTGCTATAATAAATCCTATATCTGAAAGTCTGTTCCCTGGAACAACTCCTGGAAAACCATTTTCTGTATTAGTCAGGATTCAATGAAGAAATGGAAGCCATAGGAGTTATTTTTTTCAATATAAAATGTATTAATTTTCATTGTGGTAAAATTCACATAATAAAATTTATCATCTTAACCATTTTCACGTGTTCAGTTCAAGTAGTATGAAATATATTCATAGTGCTGTGCAACCGTCACCACCATCCATCTCCAGAACTTTTCATTTTGTGAAACTGAAACTCTGTACCCATTAAACAGTAACTCCGGCTGGGAGTGGTGTCTCACACCTGTAATCCTAGCACTTTGGGAGACTGAGGTGGGCGGATCACAAGGTCAGGAGTTCGAGACCAGCCTGGCCAATATGGTGAAACTCCATCTCTACTAAAAATACAAAAATTACCCGGGCATGGTGGCAGGCACCTATAATCAATCCCAGTTGCTTGGGAGGCTGAGGCAGGAGAATCACTTGAACCTGGGAGGCAGAGGTTGTAGTGAGCTGAGATCGTACTACTGCACTCCAGCCTGGGTGACAGAGCAAAACTCCTTCTCAAAAGAAAAGAAAAAAAAAAAAACCCATAACTCCTCATTTCCCCTCCCCCCAGTCCCTGGCAACCATCATCCTACTTTCTGTCTCTATGATTTTTGACTGTCCTAACTTATATAAGTAGAATCATATAGTATTTGTCTTTTGGTAGCTGGCTTATTTCACTTAGCATAATGTCCTCAATGTTCATCCATGTGTCAGGATTTCTTCCTTTTTAAGGCTGAATAATATTCCACTGTAGGTATATACCACACTTTGCTTATCAGTTCATCTGTCAGTGTACACTTGGGTTGTCTCCACATTTTAGCTATTTTGAATAATGCTGCTATGAACACAGGCATGACAAAAACAAACATCTCTTCTTTGAGACCCTGCTTCTGACTCTGAATATATACCCAGAAGTGGAATGCTGGAAGGAACTGCCATATCATAGCAGTTATCTTTTTTTCTTTTTTTTTTAAGATGGGGTCTTGCACTGTTGCCCAGGTTAGAGTGCAGTGGCATGATTACAGTTCACTGCAACCTCTGCCTCCCAGGCTCGAGTGGTCCTCCCACCTCAGCTTCTCAAGTAGCGGTGACCACAGGTGCACAACACCACACCTGGCTAATTTTTTGTTTTGTTGGTAGAGGCAGGGTTTTGCTATGTTGCCTAGGCTGGCCTCGAACTCCTGGGCTCAAGCAATCCACCCGCCTTGGCCTCCCAAAGTACTGGGATTCCAGGTGTGAGCCACCCCTTCCCCCTGGCCAATCTTAACTGAGAAAATTAATATAAAGAATTATTAGAGATATCACAGGTATTGGAGAATTAAAAAGGGAAAATGGAACAAAGAAGTAGTGACTGTAAGAAGTAGACAGGGGAAATAAAAGGTCAAGATTGAGATTACTGGGACCAAACACTTGAAGGAGGAGCCCAGCTAATTTTTGTATTTATAGTAGAGACCGTGTTTCACCATGTTAGCCAGGCTGGTCTCGAACTCCCGACCTCAGGTGATCCACCTGCCTTGGCCTCCCAAAGTGCTGGGATTACAGGCATGAGCCACCGTGCCCAGCCCAGAACAATTTCTTTATAACCAGCACAGTTAGGCAATCATTGTTCAGATTACATACAACGACATGAGGGAGAAGCAAGAGTCTAGGACATTTCACAGGTTTCTAGCTTTAGTAACTAAATGAAAAGTGGAGAGAGGGGTAGAATGTATGTGGAGTAGGGAAGAGCTAGTTTGTAGGGGTTGTAAATATACCAACCCCAACAGAGTTGATATATTTAGAGAGCCTGGACTCTAATATAGCACAATTCAAAATGTGGCCTCTTTACTGGCCAGTCTGCAATTTAAAAAAATTGTAGTAAAATATACATGAAGTAAAATTGTCCATTTTAACTTTTTTTGAGACAAGATCTCCCTCTGTCACCCAGGCTGCAGTGCAGTGGCACGATCATAGTTCACTGCAGCCTCCTGGGCTCAATCAGTACTCCCACCTCAGCCTCCTGAGTAGCTGGGACCACAGGCAGGTGCCATCACTCCTGGCTAATTTTTTAAATTTTTTGTAGAGATGGGATGTCCCTATCTTGCCTAGGCTGGTCTTAAACTCCTGGGCTCAAGTGATCATCCCTCCTCAGCCTCCAAAAGTGCTGGGATAACAGGCAGGAACCACCATGCCCAGCCCCTTTTAACCATTTTTAAGCATACAGTTCAGTGGCATTAAGTACATTCACATTTGTTGTGCAACCATCACCACTGTCTCCAGATTTTTTTCATCATCCTAAACTGAAACTCTGTACCCTTTAAACACTAACTCCACCCTCCAGGCCCTGGTAATCACTATTCTACTTTTAGTCTCTATGAATTTGTCTATTCTAGGTACTCCATATAAGTAGAATCATACAATATTTGTCCTTTTGTGCCTAGCTTATTTCACTTAGCATAATATCTTCAAGGTTTATCCATGTTGTAGCATGAGTCAGAGTTGCATTCCTTTTTGAGGCTGAGTAATATTTCACTGTGCATTTATTCCACATTTTATGCAATTTGTTATCAGTCCTCAACAAGATAAAAGCTTGTCACATAATGTAAAGCAACTGTGTCACTAAACACCAGGTTTAGTTCCCTTAGCATTTTTGTAGGAAGATTTTCTCTTTCTCAATGAAGGAAGCAGAATGCTGATTTACATTCTGGAGTGAGGTCCTTATCTCACTTTATCCTAGTACTCTGAATAGCACTGGTATAGTAAGTATTTAGAGATACAGCTTTGGACTGGAGATTTGAGAGTCATCATCCTACAAAAGAAAAAAATTCCAAACCTGGACTAGGATGCAATCTTTTTGCATGATGTAATTGAAAGCTTCCTTCTAGCAAGAAATTAGGATTTCTTGTAAAATGCCTACACAAATTTCTAATAAATTAATGGGATTAAAACTTCTAAGAAACCAGTCATCCACCCACTTACTTTTCAGTTAAGAGCCCAGTGAGTGACTTACCAAATAGTCTTTTCTTTTTTTTTTGAGACGGAGTCTCGCTCTGTCGCCCAGGCTGTAGTGCAGTGGTGTAATCTCGGCTCACTGTAAGCTCTGCCTCCTGGGTTCACGCCATTCTCCTGCCTCAGCCTCCTGAGTAGCTGGGAATACAGGTGCCTGCCACGACGCCCGGCTAATTTTTTGTATTTTTAGTGGAGACAGGGTTTCACCATGTTAGCCAGGATGGTCTCGATCTCCTGACCTCGTGATACGCCTGCCTCGGCCTCCCAAAGTGCTGCGATTACAGGCATGAGCCACCATGCCCGGCCTTTTTTTTTTTTTTTTTTTTTTTGAGGCAGTCTTGCTCTGTCGCCCAGGCTGGAGTGCAGTCGTGCAACCTCGGCTCACTGCAACCTCCACCTCCCAAGTTCAAGCAATTATCCTGCCTCAGCCTCCCAAGTGTCTGGGATTACAGGTGTGAGCCACTAGGTCTGGCTAATTTTTGCATTTTTAGTAGAGACAGGGGTTTCACCATCTTGGCCAGGTTGGTCTTGAACTCCTGACCTCAGGTGATCCACCCCCTCAGCCTCCCAAAGTGCTGGGATTACAGGTGTGTGCCACCACACCCAGCCTCTCTCTCTCCTCTCTTTTCTCTCTCTCTCTCTGTCTCTCCTGCACCCCCCACCTCTCTGACAGGGTCTTGCTCTGTTGCCCTGGCTGCAGTGCAGTGGTGCCATCATACATCACTGTAACCTCAAACTCCTAGGCTCAAGCAATCCTCCCACCTCAGCCTCCCTAGTAGCTGGGACTACAGGTGCACATCACCATGCCCCGTTAATTAGTTTTTTCTGTAGTGATGGGATCTTGCTATGTTGCTCAGGCTGGGCTCAAGCAATCCTCCTGCTTTGGCCTCCCAAAGTGCTGGGATTATAGGCATGAGCCTCTACACCCCACCTGAAATCAATGTTCTGAATAGAACAGTGAGAAAGGGAAGTCAACAGAAACTTCTCAGAACAGAATTTATTTGTATATCTAAAGACGATAATTATTTATGTTACTCTTAGTTTTCTACAAGTTAGAGTCTATCTCTTTAGAATTGTTAAATACCTCAAAGACAATGAAAGGTATAAACCCCACAGAATCTGATAAGTTGGAAAGGGATACTTAAAACAATGCAGTTTTCCATTTCTCAATAATCTTTTGGTCCATTTCAAAGTCTTTTAGACTTTCCCCCATATGCTACTATAGGCCTGCTCTTATACTATAGGCCTTGCTATGAGATGGTAATGAAATTTCTCCATAGGCTTATAGCAAAATTATCTGAAAAACTTTAACACTTGGCTTCTAACATTGGCTGCTGATTTAGGGGAGTTAAGCAGGAGTCTTGAAAGTAGGTACTTTCACTGAATTGGCATGTTTGTTATGGCATCCCATCCTTAACTAGACAAAGAACTACCTACCCTCTCCAGGGAATCAATCCTGAGTCTTTTGCACCAGGCAGTCATTTGGGAGCTGGGGAAGAAATCCAGTGGTCTAATGCTTCTGAAATAGACTTTGAACCAACTGTCCAATTTCAGCCCCCACTTTATCCCTGCTTCTGGGGGTACCTGGTGCTGCCAATTCTTGAACCTTTGGTGGTTCTCTGGGGCAAATCTGGCTTGCTTTTGGCTATCCCCTTTGATAGATGGCAAGTCTGCTAATTCAGCTCACACTATCCTCCTGCTTTCCAGCTTCCAAAATGTTAATAATTTGATCTCCTCTACTGTTCTCTGAGAGACGGATTATATAAACAGACAGTAGCCAGACCATATATGACAATAGAACTCTGACCCACAACCTCTGCAATTGGCCAGCCTGGGCAGGGCTTGGTCAATGAGTCAGCTTCCCTATATTTTGCCCCTATTTTCAACACAGGACCAACCAGAGAAAGCCAAACCATTACACAAGAAGCCCAGCCTCTAGTTAGCCCACCTGCAGTTTCCCCATGACAATGATCTCCAGTCAGAGCATACCGAAGCCTTCCCCTTTTTTCACTACAGCATAAAGTGTTTCCACTCCCTGCCTGCCTTCAAGTCTCACCAAAGTATAGTGGTATGGTGGCGGACTCCCAACGACAGCAGCCTCTGCATAAATATCCTCTCTTCTTATCTGAGTGGTTTTCATCATTTTCCTTATCTTTTTGATTTTGAAGTTTTATGTTAAAGCACTTTTTTTAAACCATTGTTCTAGAGGGATTTTAGAAGGAGGTGGGTTGTCTGTGGTTCAATCTATCAGCTTTAACTGGAGATCTCTTTCTGTGTTCTTTCCTCTGTGACTAGATGTCAGCTGTCCATCCTCTACCCTCCACCTCCAGCAGGCCCAGAAGTCACCTTTGTATTTTCCTCTTGCAAACCTGGATGCAAAATCCAATATGTATTCAAATTCCTCCAAAGAATCCGCTGGATCAAAAGGATTAGAGAATGACATAGACTTTGCTGAACCTTACCTGTGGAAGATAGAAGATGAAGTTAGGTAACATTCACAAACCCCGTAGCAACTTAAATTCAACTCCCCAAACATCTTAAACATTTCTTTCTCCCCTAAAGTCTCTCCTCTGTAGATATCTTCTTTGCAATAATTTTGGAGCCTTGCTGATTCCCTTCTCAATCTTTGATTGACTCACTGAGCTTTCTAATTCCTTATCCTTTTACCCTACAAAGCAATTCAGCTCGGCACCTCATTTTGCCCCAAACACACCACTTATTGCAGAAACAAAGTTCTCTAAACCACCAAAAACCCTTCTCATTTGCTAACAAACATTCTTTCTTGTGTTTCCAAGTAGCTCCAGAGCTTCTTGAGTGCACAGACAATAGCTATATATTTTATAGTCTGTATAGTACCTAATAATATTACCCAAATTTATAGAGGAAAGGAATCAGTGGGTAGAAAGCATGGATAGAATATCATCAGAAGGGCCGGGCGCGGTGGCTCATGCTTGTAATCCAGCACTTTGGGAGGCCAAAGCGGGTGGATCATGAGGTCAGGAGATCGAGACCATCCTGGCTAACGTGGTGAAATCCCGTCTCTACTAAAAATACAAAAAATTAGCCGGGCGTGGTGGCGGGCGCCTGTAGTCCCAGCTACTCGGGAGGCTGAGGCAGGAGAATGGCGTGAACCCGGGAGGCGGAGCTTGCAGTGAGCCGAGATCGCGCCACTGCACTCCAGCCTGGGTGACAGAGCAAGACTCCATCTCAAAAAAAGATTAAAAAAAATGAATATCATCGGAAGGGGCCAGGCACACTGGCTCACACCTGTAATCCCAGCACTTTAGAAGGCTGAGGTGGGAGGATTGCTTGAGGCTAGGAGTTTGAGACTAGCCTTGGCTGCACAGCAAGACCTTGTCTCTACTAAAAATTAAAAAATTAGTTGAGTGTGGTGGTGCACTCCTGCAGTCCCAGCTACTTGAGAGGCTGAGCGGGGAGGATTGCTTCAGCCCAGAAGTTTGAGGTTGCAGTGAACTAGGATCATGCCACTATACTTCATCCAGCCTGGGCAACAGAGCAAGACCCTGTTTCTTAAAAAAAAAAAAATCAATGGAAGGAAAGATTTTTCAGAAATAGTCTATCAGGCAGCGATTCCTCTAAATTTTGACCTCCATCATTATCTTCTACCTTTTTTGTGTATCTTCAGTGCTGGGCATTGTATTAAATAGGTTTTAGTTGACTGGTGTGGCATGCATTTATCATTAATATCTTTTGTTTTCCATATCAGTTAGGGATTGGATTCTACCACTAGTAACATTGACTGCAGTAGCTTAAGAAAATTAGAGGTTTATTTTCCCATGTAAAAGAAGTACAGGCTGAGTGTGGTGCCTCACACCTGTAATCCCAGCACTTTGGGAGGCCGAGGCAGGTGGATCACGAGGTCAGGAGTTCGAGACCAGCCTGGCCAATATGGTGAAACCCCGTCTCTACTAAAAATATAAAAAATTAGCCAGGTGGAGTGGCATGCACCTGTAGTCCTAGCTACTCAGGAGGGTGAGGCAGGAGAACCACTTGAACCTGGGAGGCAGAGGTTGCAGTGAGCCGATATCGTGCTACTGCACTCCAGCCTGGGCAACAGAATGAGACTCCATCTCAAAAAAAAAAAAAAGTTCAAAGTTCAGAGGTAGGTTGCTCAGGGTTAGTATGGAAACTACAGAAGGCATCAGGGATCCAGGCTACATCTACCTCTCCACTCCGTCTTCCTAAGCACCTGGATTTCATTTTAAATTGCCACTGTGATGGCAGAGAACTGTTGGAGATTCAGCTATCAGGTCTTAGTATAAGCAAGGAAGAAGGGGAAGGGCAATGACAAAAGGCAAAAGAGGCCTTGTGGGAGTTGTCTCTCCCCTCATTATTTATGAGACAGAATCTCTGTCTACCAGGCTAGAGTGCAGTGGCCCAGTCATGGCTCACTGGCAGCCTTGCCCTCCCTGGCTCAAGCAATCCTTCCACCTTGGCCTTCCAAGTAACTGGGACTACAGGCACAAACTACCATGCCCAGCTAATTTTTTACTCTTTTGTAGAAACGGGGTATCCCTATGTTGCCCAGCCTGGTCTTGAACTCCTGGGCTCAAGTGATCCTCCTGTCTTGGCCTCTCAAAGTGCTGGGATTACAGGTGTGGGCCATCACACCCAGCTCTGTCCTCTTCATCCCCTTTTTCTTTTCTTTCTTTCTTTTTTTTTTTTTTTTTGAGACAGAGTCTCTCGCTCTGTCACTCAGGCTGGAGTGCAGTAGTGCAATCTCAGCTCACTGCAACCTCTGCCTCCCAGGTTCAAGTGATTCTCATGCTCCAGCTTCCCAAGTAGCTTGGATTACAGGTATGTGCCACCACATCCAGCTAATTTTTGAATTTTTAGTAGAGATGGGGTTTCACCATGTTGGTGGTCTTGAACTCCTGACCTCAAGTGATCCGCCCGCCTTGGACTTTCAAAGTGCTGGGATTACAGGAATAAGCCACCGCGCCCAGCCTGTCACCTTTTTAGAAACATTACCAAAAGTCCCATGCAAAAACTTTTGCTTATAACTAATTAGCCAGAACTTAGTCACATGGCCACACCTACTCCTAATGAAGACAGAAAATTGTATTTTGTAAATGCAATTGTTTAATGCCCCCTAAGTGGAAAGGGAGAATGCATACTAGGTGGGCAACCAGCACTTCCGGCCACAGTTCCTCGTGAATTTTCTGCACATGATGTCCCATGAATCCCTAGCCCAGTGCTTGACATTAAGTTGTCCTTGGAATGAATAAACAAATGAATAAAGTATTTTAGATAGTTCACACAATAACCTTTTTTAAAAAAAATTAATTGACTTTATTTCTAGAGCAGTTTTAGGTTTACAGAAAATTTGAACAGAATGTGCAGAGAGCTCCCACATACCTCCCCTCACCACATGCAGTTGCAGTTTCATCTATTATTGACATCTTGCACGGGTATTGTACATTTGCTACAAAATTATATTGATACCTTATTAGCCAAAGTTTATAGTTTACATTAGAGTTCACTCATCATGTTGCACAGTTCCACACGTTTTGACAAATGCCTAATGTCATGTATCCACCATTACTGTATCACACAGAATAGTTTCACTGGCCTAAAAATCCCCTTGCTCCAGCTATTCCGCCTTTCCTCCTCCCCTGGAATCCCTGGCAACCATTGATCTTTTTACTATCTCTACAGCTTTGCCTTTTCCAAAATGTCATACTGTTGGAACCATACGGTATGTAGCCATGGCAGACTGACCTCTTTCACTTAGCAATATACATTTAAGGTTTCTCCATGTTATTTTTTGCAGCTTGATAACTTCTTTCTTTTTAGTTCTGAATAATATTCCATTGTAAGGATGTACCAGTTTGGTTATTCTTTCACCTACTGAAAGACATCTTGGTTGTTTCCAGCTTATAAATAAACCTGCTGTCAACATTCATGTGCAAGTTTATGTGTGGTCCTAAGTTTTCAACTCATTTTGGTAAATACCCAAGGGTGTGGCTGCTGGATTGCATGCTGAGACTATCTTTACCTTTATAGGAAACTGCCAAACTGTCTTCAGAAGTGGCTATACCATTTTGCATTCCCAACAGCAATGAATGAGAGTTCCTGTTGCTCCACATCCTTAGCAGAATTTGGTGTTGGCAGTGTTTTGGATTTTAGCCATTGTTTAACCTCCGCCCCCAAGACTCAAGCGATCCTCCCACAACTGCCTCCCGAGTAGCTGGGACCACAGGTGTGTGCCACCACACCCAGCTAATTTTCGTATTTTGGGTAGAGGTGGAGTTTTGCCATGTTGCCCAGAGTGGTCTCAAACTCCTAGGCTCAAGTGATCCACATGCCTAAGTCTCTCAAAGTGCTGGGATTACAGACGTAATTTCCAAGTACACGGAGTTTTAAAAATAATCCTTTCTTTCCCTTCCTTCCTTCCTTCCTTCCTCCCTTCCTTCCTTCCTTCTTCCCTCTCTCCCTCTTTCTTTCTCTCTCTTTCGTTCTCTCTCTCTCTCTTTTTTTTTTTTTTGATGGAGCCTCGCTCTGTTGCCCATGCTGGAATGCATTGGCACGATCTCGGCTTACTGCAACCTCCGTTTCCCCAGTTCAAGCAGTTCTCCTGCCTCAGTCTCCCAAGTAGCTGGGTTTACAGGCATCGGCCACTGTGCCTGGCTAATTTTTGTATTTTTAGTAGAGACAGGGTTTCACCGTGTTGGCCAGGCTGGTCTTGAACTCCTGACCTCAGGTGATCCTCCTGCCTCAGCCTCCCAAACTGCTGGGATTACAGGCATGAGCCACCGCACCCAGCTTCATGATTGATTTCTAACTTAATTGCAATGTAGTCAGAGAATGTGATCTGTATGATAGCAATTTTTTGCAATTTGTAAAAAGTTGCTCAATAGCCTACATTTTTAAAAATTATTTGATTTTAAAAACAGCAACCAGTTAGATAATCAATGGCCTAAATCAAAATTAATTTTCTTAAATCTTCCCTGTAAATGTGAAAAGTATATTTGAGAACAATTTGTGTTTTCACATCGTTGAGGACATAGTTCTTTTCTTTGTCTTCCTCAGGAATGGAGGGTTCTTTACATAGTTCTATACATGCTCCTTAGAAAAGGTTAATTAATTATGTCAGACATTCCCATAATGACTGGTGATTCTTGGATGTCTTCTCATATTTAAAAGTGAGAAACTGTATTTTAAAAGCTGATTAGAAATTCTGTATGCACAGATGAGTCTTGTTGACTGGGCCTTAATGTAGAGTGATTGCTTGTGAACCCAGACAGTTCTTTATGAAATCCTCCAAATGTCAATATTCTGCTATTCTTTTTGTTTTTAATTATTAATTTTTGTGGGCACACAGTAGATGTACATATTTATGGGGTACATGAGATATTTTGATACAAGCATACAATGTATCTGCCATTCTAATCTAATTTCTATCTTTTAAAATTGTATCTTTTTTTTTAGTTTGGTACTATGTCCTTTCCTGTTCTTTCTTCTTTGGGTTAACAAACTTTTCACTCCTTTACTATCATTTTTAAAAACCCTTTTATCGAAGTATATATGAAACCAGAAAAGTGCTCACAAATATAACCTGAACACACATGTAAAGCCGCACTCAGATTAAGAAATAGAACATTATCAGCACTTCGTGAACCTCCTCATGTTCCCTTCCAGTTATTACTACCCTAAGATTAATCATTATATACAGTGACTTCTAATAGCAGGGATATTTGGGTAGTTTCCCGTTTGGGGCTGTTGAAAGTATGGGTATGAGCTTTTTTTTGTACATGTCCTTTTGGTGAATACATGCAGACATTTCAGTTGCATATATATAACTAGGAGTAAAATTGTTTTTTGTTGTTTTTGTTTTCGAGACAGGGTCTAGCTCTGTCACCTATGCTGGACTGCAGTGGTGTGATCACAACTCACTGCAGCCTCAAACTCCAGGGATCAAGACGTCCTCCTGCCTAAGCTTCTGGAGTAGCTGGGACTACAGGTGCACACCATGATGCCCAGCACTTTGGGAGGCCGAGGTGGGAGGATCGCTTGAGGCCAGGAGTTCAAGACCAGCCTGGGCAACACAGTGAAAATCCCTAAAGTGCTGGGATGACACGTTGAGCCACTGTGCCCCAGCTAGGGGTGAAATTGTTGGAACAAAGTCTTTTCACATATTCAGATTCAGTTGATACCGCCAAACAGTTAAACAAAGTGATTGCATCAATTTATGTTCCCTTCAGGAGCATATGAGAGTTGTGGTTGCTCCACAATCTTGCCAATACTTGACATTTTCTTTTTCATTTAGCTATATCTCATTGTGGTTTTAATTTGCATTTCCTCTTTATCCTTTGTTTTTTAAGTGTTTCAAGATGGAGCAGATAAAAATTCAGGGAGTTAATCCTCTATAATAGCTGGAAATTTCCCCCATGGGTACTCATTCAATGGAATTTAAAACATTTGCCCCTGTATTGAAGGCAATATAGTATAAAGGATGGGGCCACATGCTCTGCAATCAGAAATATGAGGTTTGATTCCTAACTCCGGTGCTTACTTGCTGAATTACCTTGAGGAAGTTATTTAACCTTTTTCTATTTTATGTAAAACGGCACTAATAATAGTACTGCCTCACAGGGTTGTTATGGGGATTAAAGGAGAAAAAATAAGTAAAATGCTTTGCAAAGTTCCTAGCAACAGGTGAGCACAAAGTCAACAAATGGTAGCTATTATTATACCTTATATTGGTTATTTATGCACATCTCATTTCTCCTTCTGTTTTACACATTCCATGAGAAAGGAAAAGCATGCATGTAGCACAGATTAACTGCCTCACATATAATTGCTAATAAAGACTGATTGGATGAACGATTTAATATATAAACAAAAAGTATTGTGGTTATCGCTATAAAAGATGGCATAGGTTGGGCATTCACGCCTGTAATCCCAGCACTTTGGGAGGCCGAGTTGTGAGGTTCGCTTGAGCCCAGGAGTTCGAGACCAGCCTAGGCAATGTAGGGAGACAGTATCTACAAAAAAAAAAAAAAAAAAAAAAAAGGAGGGTACATAAAATTATTATAGTGGCTATAGGATAATGTGCACTGCTAATGAAGACTACATTATTTAAATACAGTGTCTTTCCTTCTATTTACTGTTATCGTTTAGCAGAAAAACAGTACGCAGGATACTAAAGAAGGAAAATTCGATGTCCCATATTACATTTGTGAGAGTTCTGGAGGTTTCTCCCTTCAAAGCCAAAACCAAAACACAAACATACCATCCCAGTAACAAATGCGTCACTTTTCTGAAGAAGACGTTAAGCCCTTCCAATTTTAACAGATCCTTTGTTCAACAGAGGAGAGAGACTGGGTAGGCATCACCTGCCCCAGTAGCTTCCGTACAAAATGGCGTTGCCCGTTCCCACACGCCAGCTGGGATTACGTCCTCCAGGCCTGTCGCAGGAACGGAAGTGGTTACGGCCCTAGTGAATCCGGGTGGGTGCGCGCAGGCGGCCGCACAGGTTCCAGGTCTTTAACGTGAGCCCGCTGCAGGTGTGCGGCCCAGTCCGAGACAGCAGGTAAGTGAGGCTCAGAAGCCGGCGAAGCCTTGCACCAGGATTGTGCGCGGGGCAGGGGGTGCTTCCAGTGCAGACTAAGAGGGGTCGTGGAGCGGGGGGATATTACCGTGTACGGGGGTGACATTGCGGGGCCCCCGCTGTCCCGGAGCGAGTTGGCCCTGCCCCTCTCCCCGCCCCTCGGCGTGACCCCCTCGCCCCCGTCGCACACGGCGGGGCGGTTCAGCACCCAGGTGCGCAAGGAGGGCCTCACCCCTGCCCGCGGCCTCCCACGCCCTCCTTGGGCCTCTCCTTTCGACCCCCTTACCCTCTCCCTGGGAGACTCTACCAGACCTTCGAGGCTGCGTGTCCCAGTCAGCTAAAAAGGAGGCCCCGCCCGCGGCACCTGGTAGCTCCTCGGGCGCTGCGGGTTCGACGCGGCAACAGCTGCTGTTTTCTCTCCTGGATTCGTGTGAGCCGCCACCCTCGCTACCATCCCTGTCCTCCCAGACCACACCCTGCTCTGGGCCTTGCCGGGAGCCACCTCTTTGGCTTTTCACATCCCTGGGATGGATCAAAACTAAGAACCTTAATCATTATTTATTACAAAATTGACATCTGCTCCTTAAAATACAAACAAACCAATCCCCCGATAAGCTTTTGATATGATTCCAACATTCAAACTCCTTTATATACCCTCTCCTCAAAAACACAAAATTGAAATTATACTTTATTTTCTTAGTTCTGTTCCAAGGATAGAAGGAATTGAAAGGTTTTGTTAATCATAGGAATTAGGAAGTGCGGGTTGGGGCGCAGCGGGGAAGATGGATTAAATTTGGTCAAGTTGAGCTTGTTTTAAAAATGTATTTTTAAAATATTCTAGTTATAGTCCGTGCATAAAGCCTTGTAACAAAATTATGTAAAAATTTTAAACACAGATCTTTCTTAGCTTGATGTTCTTGGTGGTGAGGGTGGGGAGTGTGGAAGACAGATCCTCTTTGATTTTGTTTTTTTCCATCTCCACCTTCTTTACCAGTCCCTTTCCCACAAAATAAGAACTGTTGTCAGTTTGTGTGTATTTTTCTTTGCATTTATTTGACAAGTATGTGTACGTATAAGATATATGTTTGTAAGATTTCGCTTTAAACTTTTACAAATATGCATGTTTTATGCATTACACAACTTGACGTTTTATGCTTAAAAACGGGTCTTGGAATTTTTTCTTTGTCAGTACCTAGAGATCTACCTATTCTTTCTACTTGCTCTGTAAATTCCATGGTTATGTAAGATTCCATAGATTGTTTCCAGTTTTTCATTGTTAGACACAGTATGGCGGAGAACATCCTTCCCACACACCTCTGTGAGAGCCCATGTGAGAGCATTTCTCAAGGATGGGTACCTGCAGGTGGAATTGCTGGGTGGGAGAGTATGGGGATTTAGGAATGCCAAACTGCCACCCACGGTGGATAATAATTTCCTCCATTCTCTCTCTCTTTTTTTTTTTTTTTTGAGACAGAGTCTTGCTCTGTTGCCCAGGTTGGAGTGCAGTGGCGTGATCTCAGCTCACTGCAGCCTCTGCCTCCCAGGTTCAAGCGATTCTCCTGCCTCAGCCTCCCGAGTAGCTGGTATTACAGGCACCCGCTACCACGCCTGGCTAATTTTTGTATTTTTAGTAGAGACGGGGTTTCACCGTATTTGCCAGGCTGGTCTCAAACTCCTAAACTCGAGTGATCCGCCTGCCTTGGCCTCCCGAAGTGATGGGATTACAGGCGTGAGCCACCGTGTCTGGCCCACCATGCTCTTTTGATCATTTAATGGTATCGATCTTTTTTGTTTTTGCCAATCTGATGGATGGAAAAGTGATTTCTCTTTGCTGTTTTAATTTGCATTCCCCTGATTACTATTGAGATTGAACATCTTCATGATTGTCAGCCATTTGTATTTCCTCTTTTGAGAAACATCTCTTTCTATTGGATTGTCTTTTCCTTATTGATTTATAATAGTATTTTATATGTTCTGGATTTTGATCTTTTGTTATTCATATGTGTTTATAATATTTACTCCCTGCTTATTGCTTTTTTAAGTTGTTGCTTGTCTTTTAACTATATGGCATCTTTGTTGAAACAAAGTTTAAAATTTTAGGTTTTAATTTATCAGTCTGTTATGTGTGTGTTTGTATTTTGTGGCTATCATTCCCAATCCGAGTGGTTCTTAAATGGCAGAGATTTTTGCTCTCGGGGTTATTTGGCAATGTCTGTAAACATTTTTTGTTTGTTCCACTAGGATGGTGCTGCTATTGGTTATCTAGTGAGTAAAAGCGAGGGTGCTGCTAAACATCCTACAGCGCACGGGAAAGCTTCCCACAACAAAGAATTTCACCAGCCAAAAATGTCAGTTGTGCTGAAGTTGAAAAATCCTTCTCTACTTTTAGAGAGAGGAGGGTTTTCTCCTAAAGCTCTGTTTTCTCCTTGAAGTTCTTCTTGTGGGAATAGTTTTTTTTCTTTAATTCCTCTGGAATTGTGTGTGTGTGATTGTTGTTTTCCAAATACTGTCACCTCGAACAGTCAGTCCATTCTTTTTTTTTTTTTTGAGTCAGAGTCTCGCTGTGTCGCCCAGGCTGGAGTGCAGTGGCGCGATCTCAGCTCACTGCAACCTCTGCCTCCCGAGTTCATGCCATTCTCCTGCCTCAGCCTCCCAAGTAGCTGGGACTACAGGCGCCCACCACCTCGCTTGGCTAATTTTTTGTATTTTTAGTAGAGATGGGGTTTCACCGTGTTTGCTAGGATGGTCTCGATCTCCTGACCTCGTGATCCACCTGCCTCGGCCTCCCAAAGTGCTGGGATTACAGGTGTGAGCCACCGCGCCCGGCCTAGTCAGTCCATTCTTGAACCATTAATCCGAAATGCCACACTTACCATGTACTAATTTCTTTTTTTTCTTTTTAATTTTTATTTGTAGAGATAGAGATGAGTTTTTGCTATGTTGTTCAGGCTGGTCTCAAACTCCTGGCCTCAGGAGATTCTCCCCCATCAGCCTCCCAAAGTTCTGGAATTATGGACATGAGCCACCTCGCCTGGCCTCATGTGCTCATTTATCATACAGGATCTGTTTCTAGACTGTCTTCTGTTCTATGGCATACTTTTCTATTTTGCTGGACCAATACCACAACATCCTATATTAAACTATATGTTATATGTTGACATTAATAGGGTAAATACTCCATCATGATTATTATTTTATTGGAAGTCATATACTATATCAGCTCATGTACTCTCATTTAAAAAACAATATTTTTGGTTATTATTAGTTTCTTTTCCAGATTAATTTTACAGTCAACTTGTCAATTATTTTTTTCTTTTAAGAGATGGGAGCCGGGCGCGGTGGCTTACGCCTGTAATCCCAGCACTTTGGGTGGTTGAGACGGGCGGATCACCAGGTCAAGAGTTTGAGACCAGCCTGACCAACATGGTGAAACCCAGTCTCTACTAAAAATACAAAAATTAGCCGGGCGTGATGGTGTGCGCCTGTAATCCCAGCTACTCAGGAGGCTGAGGCAGGAAAATCACTTGAACCCAGAAGGCAGAGGTTGCAGTGAGCTGAAATTGCACCACTGCACTCCAGCCTGAGTAACAGAGCGAGACTCTGTCTCAAAAAAAAAAAAAAAAGAGAGATGAGGTCTCACTCTGTCACTCAGCTGGAGTGCAGTGGCAGCCTTGACCTCCTGGGCTCGAGTGATCCTCCTGCCTCAGCCCCCCAAGTAGCTGGGACTACAGGTGTGTACCACCACACTGGCTAATTTTTGTATTGTTTATAGAGATGAAGTTTCACCATGCTGCGCAGGCTGGTCTTGAACTCCTGGGTTCAAGTGACTCACCCGCCTTGGCCTTCCAAAATGCTGGGATTACAGGTGTGAACCACCACACGCAGCTCCAAATCATTTTTTAATGGCTTTATTGAGAAGTAATTCACACACCATACAATTCTTCAAAGTGTACAATTTAATGATTTTAGTATATTCATAGAGTCGTGCAAACATCACCGTAGTCTAATTTTAGAACATTTTTATCACCCCAAAAAGAAACCCATACCAATTAGAAGTCAGTCCCTATCCCTGACTCCCCTGAGACCCCAGCCCTAGGCAACCACTAATATTTCTGTCTTTCGAGATCTGGGTGTTTTGTGTAAAAGGAATCATACAATGTGTAGTCTTTTGTGACTGACTGCTTTAACTTAGGATAATGTACTGAAGATTCTTCCATGCTATAGCATGTTTCAGTACTTCATTCTTTTTATTACTGAATGAAATTTCATCCTGTGGTATATTTATTTTGTAGGGCTGTGGTCAAAGTAACACAAACTGCTGACTTAAAACAACAGAGGTTTATTCTCTCGCAGTTAAGGAAGCTAGAAGTTCAAAATTAAGGTGTCAGCAGGGTTGTGCTCTTCCTGAAGGCTCTAGGGGAGAATCCTACCTTGCCTCTTCTAGTTCCTGGTGGTTGTTGGCAATCCATGGCATTTCTTGGTTTGCAGTTGCACAACTTCAGTTTCTGCCTCCGTCTTCAAATGGTCACCTTCCCTGTGTGTCTGTCTGCACATTGGATTCGCTCAGCGTAAGCCTGTTTCTTCTCCTCCTCCTGTAAGGACACAAGTCATAGTTGATTAAGGGCGCACCCTACTTCAGTATGACCTCATGTTAACTTGATTACATCTGCGAAGACCCTATTTTCAAATAAGGTCACATTCACAGGTCCTGGGGGTTAGACCTTCAACATATCTTTTTGGGGAATACGATTCAACTCATAACATACGGATATGCTACATTTTATTTATCTGTTCATCAACTAATTGACATTTGAGTTGTTTCCACTTTTGGGCTATTATGAATAGCTATGAACTTTAGTACGGACATGTGTTTTCATTTCCCTTGGGTATATACCTGCCAGTGGCATTGCTAGGTTATATAACTGCCAGACTGTGTTCCAGAGCAGCTGTACCATTTGACATTCCCACCAACAATGCATGAGATTTCTAATTTCTCCACATTATTGCCAGCACTTTTTTTTTTTTTTTTTGAGAGACAGGGTCTTACTCTGTTGACCAGGCTGGAGTGCAGTGGAGTGATCAAAGCTTACTGCAGCCTCAAACTCCTGAACTCAAGCAATCCTCCTGCCTCAGCCTCCCAAGTAGCTAAGTCTATAGGCACACTACCACTCCTGGCCAATTAATTTTTTTTTTTTTTGAGGCAGGGTCTCACTATGTTGCCCAGGCTAGTCTCAAATTCCTGGCGTCAAGTGATCCTCCCACCTTGGATCAGAGTGCTGGAATTACAGGTGTGCACCACCATACTTGGCCTTATTTGTTTTTTTGAATAGAACCATCCTACTTGGTGTAAAGTGGTATCTGATTGTGGTTTGGATTTGCATTTCCCTAACAGCTCATGATATTGAACATCTTTTCAAGTGCTTATTGGCCATTTGTATACCCTCTATCAGGAAATGTCTATTCAGTTAGCTGGACTTGTCTGTTCAGTTAGCACACTTGTAGTCAAGAGGCTGAGGCAGAAGGATCACTTGAGCCCAGGAGTTTGAGGCTGTCGTGAGCTGTGATTGCATCACTGCACTGCAGCCTGGGCAACAGAGCCAGATCTCGTCTCTAAAAAATATATTAAAAAATAAAGAACAGAAATACCTATTCAGATTCTTAGCCAGTTTTTAAATTGGTCTGTCTTTTTATTATTTGGTGGTAAGAGATTTTTGTGTATTCTAGATACACACCCTTCCCAAATATATGATTTGTAAATATTTTTTCCCATTCTGTGGGTTGTCTTTTCGCTGTCTCGATGGTTGATTCATTCTTTTTTTTTTATAATTTCAACTTTTATTTTAAATTCAGGGTGGTACATGTGCAGGTTTGTTACATGGGTAACATGTTATGCTGGAGTTTGGGGTATGGATGAGTCCTTCACTCAGGTATTGGGTATAGGTCGTTTTTCAGCCTGCGGCCCCCTTCCCTGTCTTCCCCTCCCCTCTGGTAGTCCCCAGTGTCTGTTGTTCCCGTCTTTATGTCCATGTGTACTGGGTGTTTAGCTGCACTTACAAGTGAGAACACGCAGTATTTGGTTTTCTGTTCCTGCATTAATTCACTCAGGTCGTGGCCTCCAGCTGATCCATGTTGCTGCATCCATTTTTCTCATCTGCACACAGTCAATTCATTCTTTTAAAAAGTTTTTTAAAATGAAGTTTGTATTGAATTTACATATTATTTTGAGTATTTCTATAAAACAATCTTTTCTTCTTATCAAAAATAGGATAATTATAGTACCTCCCACATAGGGTTATTGAAAGGATTAAATGAATACTTTAATATGAGTATATATGTACATGTAAAGTGCCTGGCACATGATTGGTCCTGTTTGACAGCTGCTATCATACATCTCCACTCTTCTGGTCTTCTTCTAGATCTTCACTAAAGTTTTCTGTTCCTCTTTGTATTGATCTGACACATTTCTTGTTGAATTCTTTCCTAGACTTGTGTATGTGATTATGTGGTTTTTTTATGTAGTTTTAAAATAGTATACAGGTATATTGCTATTATGAATGAGATTTCTTTTTTCACATTTTTATAATAGGTTTGGAAAGCTATTGATTTTATACTCATCAGACTTTCTGAATTACCATATAATTTCTAAAAGTTGGTTGATGACTTTGTTGTTTTTCCAGGTGGTTGTGATGCAGTCATTCTGTTCAGGAGCTGTGGTTCTTTTTCATTCTACATTCCTCTGCCATAATTCGAGTATTCTTTGCCTCTCCGCTCTGCTTTATGAGCTTCTAACAGGTCTCTCTGCCTACGGCCTTGCTCTCCTCCAGGCTAGCACCCACATTAGTACCATGGTGGTCTCATCCTGTCACTCTCCTTATAAGTCTGTTATTTGCTCTCCAGTGTCCTGTAGGATAATGATGGCCCCTCATGACTTGTCCTGTATCTACTCATTCCAGCATCATCTCTATTTCCTTACTTGCACATTATATTTTAGCACAGTAGTGTCCATTAGAAGTAGAATGTGAGCCCCAATTTAAAATTTTCTAGTAGCCACATTAAAGATATAAAAAGAAACAAGGTGAACTGTAGTAATGGCATCACTTAATGAGGATCTGTTCTGTGAAATGTGTCATTTTGTGAACACGATAGAGCACACTTACACGAACCTAGATGGAATAGCTGACTACACACCTAGGCTGTATGGTATAGCTTATTACTCCTAGGCTATAGACCTATATGGCATGTTATTGTACTGAGTCCTGTAGGCAGTTGTAACACAGTGGTAAGTATTTGTGTATCTAAACATACCTAAACATAAAAGTACAGTAAAAATGTGGTATAAAAGCTAAACAGTGGGCCGGGCATGGAGGCTCACGCCTATAATCCCAGTACTTTGGGAGGCTGAGGCGGGCAGATCACCTGAGGTCAGGAGTTCGAGACCAGCCTGGCCAACATGGTGAAACCCCGTCTCTACTAAAAATTTAAAAAATAGTCTTGTGTGGTGGCACACGCCTGTAGCCCCGGCTACTCAGGAGGCTGAGGCAGGAGAATCGCTTGAACTTGGGAGGCAGAGTTTGCAGTGAGCCGAGATCACGCCACTGCACACCAGCCTGGGCAACAGAGTGAGACTCCGTCTCAAGAAAAGATAAATAGTGTTACACTTATGTAGGGTATCTACCATGCATGGAGCTTGCAGGACTGGAAGTTGCTCTGGGTGAACCTGTGAGTGAGTGGTGGGTGAATGTGAAGGCTTAGGACGTGACTGTACACTACTTTAGATCTTATAAACACGTGTGTATTTAGGCTACACTCAAATTATTTAAAATTTTTTTGGAATAATAAGTTAACCTTAGTTTACTATAACTTTTTTATTTTATAAACTTTTTAATTGTTTTAACTTTTTGACTTGTAATAACACTCAGCTTAAGACACAAATATGTTGTACAGCTGTATAAAAATGTTTATCTCTTTATAAGCTCTTTTCAACTTAAAATTTTTTTTTTTTTACCTTTTTAAACTTTTTTGTTAAAAACTAAGACACAAACACATACATTCATGTTAGCTTAGACATACACAGAGTCAGGATCATCAATATCACTGTCTTCCACCTCCACATCTTGTCCCACTGGAAAGTCTTCAGGGGCAATAACAGGCATGGAGCTGTATCTATGATAACAATGCCTTCTGGAATAACTTCGGAAGGAGCTGCCTGAGGTTGCTTTACAGTTAATTTTTTTTATAAGTAGAAGGAGTACACCGTAAAATAAAAAATATGGTAAATAAATAAACCAGTAACATAGTCGTTTATTGTCGTTATCAGGTATGTGCTATACATAATTGCATGTGCTATACTTTTATACGACTGGCTGTGCTGTAGGTTCGTTAACTCCAGCATAATTACACACATTTGTGAGTAACGCATTGTGCAGCAACGTTAGGACGGTTAGGATGGCTATGATGTCACTAGGCAATAGGAATTTTTCTGCACCATTGTAATCTTATAATTTTGTAGAACTATTGTATGTGTCATCTGTTGTTGACCGAAACATTGTTATACAGCACATGACTATATTGAACCCAGTATATTCCAAGCATTATTTCAACATAAATATTAAAAAATCAATATGGAATTCATAGTGATAGAAGGTATAATAGGGCTTATCAGGGGTTAGAAGAGAATGGGAATTCTTGTTGAATTACAGTTTCTATTTGCAAGGATGAAGTTGTTCTGGAAATGGGTGATGGTGATGGTTGCACAGCAGTGTGAATGTACTTATTGTCATTGAATTGTACACTTAAAAATGGCTAAAATGGGCCAGGCGTGGTGGCTCAGGCCTGTAATCCCAGCACTTTGGGAGGCCGAGTCTAGGGGATCGCTTGAGCTCACGAATCTGAGACCAGCCCGGGCAACATTGTGAAACCCCATCTCTACAAAAATAATACAAAAAAAAAATTACCCAGGCATCGTGGGGACTACCTGTAGTCCCAGCTACTTGGGAGGCTAAGATGGGAGGATGGCTTGAGCTCAGGAGGTGGAGGTTGCAGTGAGCCAAGATCGCGCCACTGCACTCCAGCCTTTGCGATAGAGCCAGACCTTGTCTCCAAAAAAAAAAAGGCTAAAATGGTAAATGTTATGTTATATATATTTTACCACGATAAAGAAGTCACCATAAAAATCAGTATGAGGCCAGGCGTGGTGGCTCACGCCTGTAATCTCAGCACTTTGGGAGGCCGAGGTGGGTGGATCACCTGAGGTCAGGAGTTCGAGACCAGCCTGGCCAACATGGTAAAACCCCGTGTCTACTAAAAATACAAAAATTAACCGGGTGTGGTGGCGGGCATCTGTAGTCCTAGCTACTTGGGAGGCTGAGGCAGGAGAATTGCTTGAACTCGGGAGGCAGAAGTTGCAGTGAGCTGAGATCGTGCCATTGCACTCCAGCCGGAGTGACAAGAGCAAAACTCCATCTCAAAAAAAAAAAATCAGTATGGAAATTATAAAAAGTTTACATCCTTTTTTTGTAGTAAGTATTCAAAAATTTGGTGTATATTTTACATGTATAATACATCTTACGTTGGTTTTTTTTGTTTGTTTTTGTTTTTGTGATGGAGTCTTACTCTGTCCCCCAGGCTGGAGTGCAGTGTTATGATCTCAGCTCACTGCAACCTCCGCCTCCTGGGTTCAAGTGATTCTCATGTCTCAGCCTCCTGAGTAACTGGGACTACAAGCACATGCCACAATGCCTGGCTAATTTTTGAATTTTTATTAAAGATGGGGTTTCACCATGCTGACTAGGCCGGTCTCAAACTCCTGATCTCAGGTGATCCTCCCACCTTGGCCTCCCAAACTACTGGGATTACAGGCATGAGCCACTGTGCCCACCTACATTTTACAGTTGTTTAAATGTTTCACCTATCCTGTGGTGCTTCCTGCCCTTCCCATTTGTGCACAAGCTGTTCCCTCCACTTGCAGTGCCCTCCTCCTGTCTGGCTCCTGCACCTGGAGAACTCTTGCTCCTGTTTGAATGCCAGTCTCAGACACCGTCTCTCTCAGCAAGTGTTTTCTCTGTTTTTTTTTTTTTTTTTTTTTTTTTTTTGAGACAGAGTCTTGCTCTGTTGCCCAGGCTGGAGCACAGTGGTGCAATCTCGGCTTACTGCAAGCTCCGCCTCCCGGGTTCAAGCGATTCTTCTGCCTCAGCCTCCTGAGTAGCTGGGAGTGCAGGCGCACACCACCACACCCGGCTAATTTTTGTAATCTTAGTAGAGATGGGGTTTCACCATATTGGTCAGCTGGTGTTGAACTCCTGACCTCAGGTATTCCACCTGCCTCGGCCTCCCAAAGTGCTGGGATTACAGGTGTGAGCCACCGCACTCAGCCATGTTTTCTCTTAATAATACCCCAACTCGGCCAGGTGTGGTGTTCATGCCTGTAATCCTAGCACTTTGGGAGGTTGATGTGGGCAGATCGCTTGAGCTCAGGAGTTCAAGACCAGCCTGGGCAACCTGGCGAAACCCCGTTTCTACCAAAAATATAAAATATTAGCGGGTGTTGGAGCTCAGGAGTTTGAGACCAGCCCAAGCAACCTGGCAAAACCCCGTTTCTACCAAAAATACAAAATATTAGTTGGGGTGCTGTCATGTGCCTGTGGTTGGTCCTAGCTACTTGGGGGGGTTGAGGTGGGAGGATCACTTGAACCCAAGAGGTCAAGGGTGCAGTGAGCTGAGATCATGCCACGGCACTGTAGCCTGGGTGACAAAGTGAGGCCCTGTCTCAAAAAAATAAATAAAAATAAAAACAATATCCCCACTCTTTCCTCAAGTCCAAGCCATTCATGTACTTGTGTGTGCTTCACTTGTTGGTGTTATCCCACTCTTTGCAACTTGTTCATTACGTGTATTTTTCCTTGGCTAAATCATGAATTTTTCGAAGGCAGATTGTGCCTTTCGACTCTTTTTACCCGGGGTCTATCAGTGTCTGACTTATATAATGTGTTGTGTAAAAAGTTTGCTGAATGAATCCCTTGGCTGGAAAAGAAAAAAAAATGCAGTTTACAAAACCTCTTCAAATAAAAATGAATTAATAAAACCGTATGTTAGGAGATGTTATTTTCTCTGAAAACAAATATTCAGTTTTTTATGTAAAATTATGTTTGAGAGGGAAGCATAATCAAGATGCAGATTGGCCTCAATAGATGAAACATTTGGCTGAAACAGACAAGATGAAATTTAGAAGAAGGATTTTTGATTTAAGTACAAAATATAAATTACAAATATATAAAATGAAGAACTTGATTTGGCATCAGTGAATTTTAATTTACTACAAGCTTTATATGACCCAACAATGAGATTCTGTTACTTAAAAATGTATCATTTCATACAGCATTAATATAGGATCCAGCTGCTGGGAAGTAATAGTATCACTGTAGCCTGCATCAGTTAGACCGTGTCTCAAGTTTGTTTGTTTGTTTGTTTGAGGCAGGGTCTCACTCCTGTTGCCTAGGCTGGACAGCAGTGGTGTGATCACAGCTCACTTCAGTCTTGACTTCCCAGGCTCAGGTGATTCTCCCATCTCAGCCTCCTCAGTAGCTGGGGCTATAGGTGCATGCCACCATGCCTGGCTGGCTAGTTTTTTGTAATTTTTTTTTTTTTTTAAGTAGAGATGGGATTTCACCATGTTGCCCTAGGTAGTCTTGAACTCCTGGGCTCAAGCAGTCCGCCTACCTCAGCCTCCCAAAGTGCTGGGATTACAGGCCTGAGCCATCATGCCTGGCTTCAAGTATTGCGTATAGACCTGAATGCCACATTTGAAGAGATACATTAACAAACTTGGGTCTGTGCAGAAGGCCTTGGCCAGGAGAGTCTATAAACCAGGTCACAGGAAGACTATAAGGGGAGTCTCAGAGCTCTCTTCACCTATTTAACAGGCTTTAAGGAGGGAGTAAACACTTGTCATTGCAGAGGCTGTCAAAGAGGGCAATTTGTAAGCAGGAAACTTTTATAGAACGCAAGGACTTTCAACAAAAACTGCCTCTGAAGGTGATGAACTCGGTTACTGGAAGTATTCAGTCAGAGACTAGGTCATGATCTGTTGGGATTATCATGGAAAGGATTCTTGAATTGGGTGGGAGCTGAACTTGACTCCAAAATTTTAACTCTGATTTTTTGATTTCCTTTAATAGAAGTTCTGTGGTTTTGTAGTAATAGCTAACATTTATAGAATCCTAATGTTCTAGCCAATATACTAGGTGAATTTTATTTATCATTTTACTTAAGCCTCACAGTAATCCTACATAATGGTATTCCTATTTCACAGATGAGGAGACTGTCCTTCCTGTTTCGCAGATGAGGAAACTGAGGCTTAGAGAAGTTTGGCAAATTGGCTAAGTTCCTACAGCTAGTGAGTAACAGAGGCTGGATTTAAGCCTACGCTATTTGATGTTAGGTCTTGTGTTGTCTACCATATACTGCATTTCAAACACTTTATACATAATCATTTAACTCATTAAAGTGTGATTTATTCCAAGAATATGATTCTGTGTTTTGTCAAGTGGGATTGCCTATCTCTAAAGAGCACCAGTTTAAAAAGAGTGTATTTTTCTAATTACAAATATGTACATATTCGTATAAAATTTGAAAAATAAAAATTGTTAATAATCCTACTATCATTAGGTAGCCGTTGATATTTAGCCAGGCATAAGGCTCACACCTATAACCCGAGCACTTTGGGAAGGTGAGGCAGGAGGATCACTTGAGCCTAGGAGTTTGAGACCAGCCTGGGCAATATAGTGTGACCCGCATCTCTACAAGAAATCAAAAAATGTGCTGAGCATGGTGGCATGCACCTGTACCCCCAGCTACTCAGGAGGCTGAAGTGGGAGCCCAGGAGGTCGAGGCTGCAGTGAGCCGTGATTGTGCTGCAGTCTAGTCTGGGCAACAGAGTGAAACTCTGTCTTAAAAAAAAAAGTTTTATGTTCAGTTAATTTATATAAAAAACTTAAGAATGACAGATTGTTTCACTGATGAGATTTAGTGAGGGATCGAAAAGCTTGGATCCCAGAGTAAACTGTTACCACAGTTTAATTTTTTTCTGACTCCCAACCCAGTACTGAACCATACTACCTCTTTATAACATCAAGGCTCGATAAGGTTAAAAAACTTTTTTCATTTCAATAAACAGAATGTTGTAATCTGGTGATTGAATTAGAGACATTTATCATACAAATGTTAACATATAATACCTTGAGCTGAATTTCATTCATTCAGTAAATATTTACTGAGTATCATCAGCTCCCTGCTAGTCACTGGGGATAATGGTGGTAACAAAGCCAGTTAAGGTTCCTGTTCTCATGGACAGACAATGAATGAACCAACAGTCACACATTAATCATTCAGGCCAACAGGCTGTTTCCAGTTTTTGGCTGTTACAAATAAGTAACTGCTATGAACATTCTTATATGAGTCTTTTTGTGAATAGATTTAATTTATCCAGCTTGGGGCTCAGAGAATAGTACCAAATCTGACCCCCTTCATACATTCCAAATCTTTATTCCATGAATATTGGAGTTTCTCAGTCCATTCCCCATGTCTCTGCTTTGTTGTGTATTCTTTCTGTTTTAAAATTTTTTTTAGTAAAGATGGGATCTCATTATGTTGCCCAGGTTGGTCTTGAACTCCTGGGCTCAAGTGATGCTCCCACCTCGGCCTCCCAAAGCGTTGAGATTACAGGCGTGAGACACCATGCTTCGCCTCAGTATGTTTTCTCCCTCTTTATCTGTCTACTACATTCTGGTGACTTCCTCAGATTTTTTTCTTCAATTCATTAACTCTTTCTGTATGTCTGGTCTACATTTTAACCTGTCTATTGAGTATTGAGTTTTTAAAAATTTTTAATAAATATTTTTCATATCTAGAATGTATATATTTTTGTCTTTGTTTTAGTTATTATTTTCATTAATATCTCTGAATATTCTTTAAAGTCCTTTTCAGATCTCAAGTATGGAAATCTTTGTTTGATGGCTCTATGCACTATTTTTATTGGCTTTAGGATTTTGTTTTGTTGTGATTCATTGTGAGACCCCTTCTAGGGACTGATCTTCCATGGTAGTCCTGTATGTTTCCTATGTGGGGTGTGTTTGTGTGTGTGTGTTATGATAGACTCTGCCTGGTTCCAATAGAATTTACCAGTTCTGAACCAGTGTAAATTCAATTTCTTGGCTTAGGGTTCCCTTTTATGAGGATAATGTGAACTTGGGCCTTGTATCTGCTTGAGCCATAGAGAAGTGTAGGCTTGAGGATTTGTCTTTTATTTTTTAATTTATTTTTTATTTTTATTTGAGACATAGTCTCACTCTGTTGCCCAGGTTGGAGTGCAGTGGCGTGATCTTGGCTCACTGCAATCTCCACCTCCCAGGTTCTAGTGATTCTCATGCCTCAGCCTCTGGAGTAGCTGGGATTACAGGCATGCACCACCACACCTGGCTAATTTTTGTGTTTTTAGTAGAGAGACGGGCTTTCACTAAGTTGGCCAGGCTGATTTCAAACTCCTGGGCTCAAGCTGTCTGTCCGCCTTGGCCTCCCAAAGTGCTGGGATTACAGGTGTGAGCCACTGCACCCAGCTGAGGAATTTTCCTCTTTCAAGGGACTCTGTTCATGCCTTTGGCCTGGGGCAGGTGGCTTGCCCAGGCCAAGGTGGGTAAATACTTCTGGTTTGTGGATAGGGTGGCACTCCCCTGGATTCCAGCTGTGTCTTGGGCCTGTGGCCTAGAGTTCTGCCTCTGGGTTGCTGATATACTCCAGCGCTGGGGCTGGCATGAGTTCTGGTCTCTGCCCAGCTTCATCTCCCACCCACCCACTTTTTTTTTTTTTTTTTTTTTTTTTTTTTTTGAGATAGGGTCTCACTCTCTCACCCAGGCTAGAGTGCAGTGGGTGCAGTGGCACACCATCACAGCTTCCTGTAGCCTTGACCTCCCCGGCTCAAGCTATCCTCCCACCTCAGGCCCCCCAAGTAGCTGATACTTAAGGCATGTGCCACCACGCCCAGCTAATTTTTTATATTTTTGGTGTAGATGGGGTTTCACCATGTTGCCCAGGCTGATCTCAAACTCCTAGGCTCAAGCCGTCCACCTGCCTCGGCCTCCCAAAGTGCTGGGATTACAGGCATGAGCCACTGCGCCCAGCCTTCCACCCACTTGGGGTTTCCTCCTCCCTTTCTGGCACCTGATGATTTCTTTCTTTCTTTTGGGGGCTTAACTGTGTTTTACATTTTTATCTTTTCAGTGGTTTCTCCAGCATTTGCATTGTTTAGAGTGGAAAAGGGAAGGACTTTTATGTCTTCTCAGATTACCTTAATCAGCAGTTTCTCTACACAAGTTATTTAATCTCATTAAGCTTCAGTTTCCTCTTCAATAAAAGCACTGGAGAAAATACATATGAAATTCTTAGCACAGTTTCTGGAATAAAGTAAATGTTTTTAAAACAGCATAACTATTACCACTTTTCATTATTACTCTAATAATTGTTGTAATTCAGTTTTTCTTCTCTAATACTCACATATCTCTACAGGCATGATTATAATCCAGAAGTTATTGTAAATATGAAATTTTTTTTTTGGCCCAGTGCAGTGGCTCACACCTGTAATCACAGCATTTTGGGAGGCTGAGACAGGTGAATCACTTGAGGTCAGGAGTTCAAGACCAGCCTGGCCAACATGGTAAAACCCTGTCTCTACTAAAAATACACAAATTAGCTGGGTATGGTGGCATACCCCTGTAGTCCCAGCTGCTTGGGAGGCTGAGGCAGGAGAATCACTTGAACTCAGGAGGCGGATACTGCAGTGAGCCGAGATCATGCCACTGCACACAGGTCTGGGCGACGGCGAGAGACTCCATCTAATAAAAAAAAAATTTAAAGTTATTGATGAAACTTTTAAATAGTAATAAAAACCATACACATTCAGTGGGAAACCTTCAGCCATAGAGAAGTATAGGCAGGGTGCAGCTGATTGCTCTGTCTTTGGGCAATTTAGCTTTTAGGCCAGAGGCCACAGATGGGTAGCCTGGTGTGTGCCTAGGGTGTTTTTGTTTGGCTGGCGCAATATTTTTTAAAACTGTAAGTTTATTGCCAGCATTTAAAAATGGTGACATTTCATGTAAAATTCAGATACCTGACTTATCTTAAACAAGCAAAGTATTTGACCACACTGGGCCTTCTTCCTGCACAGGATCATCAGCTTGTGCCGAATGGTTGCTGCTCCATGTTTTCTCCCTGGCCCTGAGACCAAAGGCCATTTACTTTTTTTTTTTTTTTCTTTTTTGAGACAGAGTCTTACTCTTATCACCCAGGCTGGAGTGCAGTGGCTCAGTTTCGGCTGACTGAAACCTCCACCTCCCAAGTTCCAGCTATTCTCCTGCCTCAGCCTCCTGAGTAGCTGGGATTACAGGTGCCCACCACCACGCCTGGCTAATTTTTGTGTTTTTAGTAGAGATGGGGTTTCACCATGTTAGCCAGGCTGGAACGAACTCCTGACCTCAGGTGATCCACCTGCCTTGGCCTCCCAAAGTCCTGGGATTACAGGCATGAGCCACTGCACCTGGCCAGGCCACTTACTATTTTTTTTTTTTTTTTTTGAGACGGAGTCTCACTCTGTCACCCAGACTGGAGTGCAGTGGCACGATCTCGGCTCACTGCAAGCTCCGCCTCCCGGGTTCATACCATTCTCCTGCCTCAGCCTCCCAAGTAGCTGCGGCAACAGGCGCCCGCCACCACGCCTGGCTAATTTCTTGTCTTTTTAGTAGAGACGGGGTTTCACTGTGTTAGCCGGGATGGTCTCGATCTCCTGACCTCGTGATCCACCTGCCTCGGCCTCCCAAAGTGCTGGGATTACAGGCATGAGCCACCGCGCCCGGCCCAGGCCACTTACTATTTACTGTTGCACTTTTACTGTTATTTTAATAGAACAGAAATAGTGCTGTATACTCATTTCTTTCTCACATATAGGAAAACAGAAACTACATGGAGAAAGCCACATGTTACAGAAAAATGAAAAAGGAACTATTTTGTGGCTTGCTTCATTGATTTACATTAACCTGCCTGGCGCTGTGGACACTTCAGTTTGCATCCGCCTTCTATGCATCTTGTATATCTCTCTAAGTTCTACCTTTTTCTTTTGCTTTTCTGATCCTTTCTCTTTTGTACCCCCGCTGGCTTACCCTACAATAACCGTATCAGTTTCTATGGAGAACTGCTGAGCCTTCTGGAGCAACAGAAAGTGTTGAGTCAAACCTGTTTCCTCCACTCCCTCACTGCCGCACCTTCCAGAGAAGTAAAAAAAGTCTCCCTACCAACTGACTGATGATTACAATTTTTTTTAAATTGAGAAGCAGTTTTCCTTCAACTGTTAGGTGATCAAAGGTTTAAAATACAAAATACTTTGAAGAAGATCCATTAACTAAAAAATTCATTCATTAATCAGCAGTTAGAGGTGAGAGTCTAGCTTATTGTTTTTTTTTCTTCCTAGATCACACTTCATTGTGTACATAGCCTGTTGTTTTGACTGATATGATTTTATATCATTAAGAGAGCCATGGGGAACTGTCAGAGGGCAGGGAGATTTCCTGGGGTGAGGATGGAGATAGAGATGGAATACAGAGATTATAAAGATGAAGAAATTAAACCATTGCTACTATTTCACATGGAAATTTATAGCAGTTGTTTTAGTTTGTGGGCACAGAGATTATAAATGGGGCATTTTTTAGAGGAAAACTTGTTTATGTAAAGGTTTATATTCTGTATATAAATATATTTTTGCCATTTGTTTTGCAGATTGTGGGATTAGTGATATGCTTTTCTAAAGAGTAGAAAAGTCGAAGATGTCTAGACAGAACTTAGTGGCTTTGACAGTGACTACCCTTCTGGGTGTGGCTGTAGGGGGGTTTGTCCTCTGGAAAGGCATCCAGCGCCGCCGAAGGAGTAAAACGAGTCCTGTGACCCAACAGCCACAGCAGAAAGTGCTGGGCAGTAGAGAGCTGCCCCCTCCAGAAGATGATCAGCTGCACTCCAGTGCCCCCAGATCCTCGTGGAAGGAACGGATCCTTAAAGCAAAGGTGGTGACGGTGTCTCAGGAGGCAGAGTGGGATCAAATCGAGCCCTTGCTTAGAAGTGAATTAGAAGATTTTCCAGTACTTGGAATTGACTGTGAGTGGGTAAGTTAAAAAGCAAAAGTTAAAAAAAAAAAAAAAAAACAACTTCTGCTTTTCCAACTGGGACCTTGGACAGTCAAGTAGAAAATAAGGTTAAAGGAGAATGAATTAGCTTGTTCTCAACTTGCTTATAAGCAGATTTTAGCAGAAGAAGAAGCTGCTGTTCCTCTCAGGATGGCGGAGTGCTTACAATTATGGATTACAATTATGTCAAACCTATATGAATTGTATTTTCCCCACTTATCATTCCGTGAACTTGGACAAGCTATTTAGCCTCTCTAAGTCTTTGTTTGTTTGGTTGTTTGTAATAGGAACGTCATGGTACCTACCTCCAGTGGCTTTTCTAAGGATTCAAATAGATCACCCCCATAAAGGATTCAGCACAGTGTGAACATATAGTAGTAAGTGTTCATGAAATATTAGCCACTGTTAATATTTGTAGTAGCATTTTCATAAGGATGCCGTGGAGAAAATAGCTAAGGAATTCTATTTAAATGGAAATTATTACTTAGGATTTTAAAAGATAACAGTTAACATTTGAAACATCATTTACTCTAAGCCATGTACTATATGTTTTGCTTGCATCATCTAATTTTCACCATATGGGCATAACTTGGAGATATTGTAGGTTCGATGTTAGACCATGGCAATAAAGCAAATCTTGCAAAAAAGTGAGTTACATGAGTTTTTTGGTTTCCCAGTGCATATAAAAGTTATGCTTATGCTGAGTGTGGCGGTGGCTCATGACTGTAATCCCAGCACTTTGGTAGGCTAAGGTGGGGAAAATCAGTTGAGGCGGGGAGTTTAATACCAGTCAGCCAGGTCAGCATAGCGAGACTCCATCTCTACAAAAAGAGAAATTAGCCAGGTGTGGTGACACCCACCTGTAGTCCCAGCAACTTGGGAGGCTGAGGCAGGAGGATTGCTTGAGCCCAGGAGGTTGAAGCTGTCGTGAGCTATGAACACACCACTGCACTTCAGCCTGAGTGGCAGAGGGAGATCCTGTCTCGGGGAAAAAAAAATGTTGTGTTTATACTATACTATAGTTTATTAAGTATGCAATAACATTATATCTTTAAAAAGTACATTAATTAGTTTATTGCTAGAAATTGCTAATAATTATCTAAGCCTTCAGCAAGTTGTAATCTTTTTGCTGGTGGAGGGTCTTGCCTTGATATTGATGGCTGCTGACTGATCAGGGTAGTGGTTGCTGAAGGTTGGAGTTCCTGTGACAGTTTCTTAAAATAAGACAACAAAGAAGTTTGCCACATTGGTTGACTCTTCCTTTCATGAGAGATTTTTCTCTACTATGTGGTGCTGTTTAATAGCATTTTACCCACAGTAGAACTTCTTTCAAAATTGGAGTCAGTCCTCTGAAACCCTGCCATTGCTTTATCAACTAAGTTTATGCAATATTCTAAATCTTTTGTTGTCATTTCAACAGTGTTCACAGCATCTTTACCAGGAGTAGATTCCATCTCAAGAAACCACTTTCTTTGCTCATCCATAAAAAGCAACTCTTCATCTGTTAAAGTTTTATCATGAGATTGCAGCAGTTTAATAACATCTTCAGGTTCCACCCCTAATGCTATTTCTCTTGCTGTATCCAGGAAATGTAATTAAAAGAGTCCCTAAGCAGAATGGCTCCACAAAATCAGTTCACAGGTTGATAGAAGAGGCTACTAGATGCCAACACTGTGATGACCAAAAAGAGAACACCTGACAGTGTGGGGAAATCTTTGTAGTCACAAAAGCCCTTACACCACAGCTACTGAGGGTGTTTCTTTATATCAGCAATAGTAGTAGTCGTTTATACCAATGACCTTGGGCCATCAAGAAAGGATCAGTGATTTTAATCTATTCTGTGTAAAAAGTTACATCATTTTAGAACTATTTACATCAGCAACAATAGAAGAAAATAGGGTTTAAGTGGTAAGCTCTAGCAGATTAGGAAAATTCACCTGTGCCAAGCACCTGGATTATTCCAACTAAACGAAGGATAACTTGAGCAACAGCAGGGTAGACTGAAGTGAATAGTAATTGATCTGATAATAATACACTTTAATTACTATAGCAGAGGCATAGAAAAGTTAAAGTGGCAAATAATCTAACCCCACCTCATTTTGACTTTTGATGTGTATTAAACTCAGGTTGGATTCCACATTTCCCTTTAGGCATGACTGCATTTTCCTGATTGCTGTCATAAAAAACTCAATGAAAAAGTCATTCATGGCTTCCTTCCTTGTAAAAATAAGATAGAATAAATTTAAGAGATGAATAGAAAACAAAAATAGGCTGGGCGCGGTAGCCCACGCCTGTAATCCTAGCACTTTGGGAGGCCGAGGCGGGCAGATCACTTGAGGTCAGGAGTTCGAGACCAGCCTGGCAAGCATGGTGAAATCCTCCCCTCTACTAAAAATACAAAAATTAGCCAGGCGTGGTAGCAGGCGCCTGTAATCCTAGCTACTTGGGAGGCTGAGGCAGGAGAATTGCTTGAGCCCAGGAGGTGGAGGTTGCAGTGAGCCGAGATCACGCCACTGCATTCCAACCTGAGCGACAGAGCAAGTGAGACCCTGTCTCAAAAAAAGAAAAAACGAAGACAGAAATGAAAAATCATCCATTCTTGCTCTATTTATTCCTCCATTCCTGTTTTGCTTTCCTTTTCATTCACTTTTATGTAAATGTTTATTCGATTATTATTTTTGTTCTTCTTTATTGTTTTTTTTTTTTAGAGACAGGGTGGTGTCACTCTGTTTCCCAGGCTGGAATGCAGTGGTACTTATCATAGTTCACTGAACCTCGAACTCATGGGCTAAAATGATCCTTCTGTCTCAGCCTCCCATGTAGCTAGGACTACAGGTATGTGCCACCACTGTCACTTGGTTCCAATGGTTCTTGATTTTTTTTTTTTTTTTTTTTTTTTTTGAGACAAGATCTTACTCTGTCACCCAGGCTGGAGTGCAGTGGTGGGATTTTGGCTCACTTTAGCCTTGACCTCCCTGGGCTCAGATGATTGTCTCACCTCAGCCTCCTGAGTAGCTGGAACTACAGGTGTGCGCCACCACACCTGGCTAATTTTTTTGTATTTTTAGTAGAGACGGGGTTTTGCGGTGTGGTCCGGGCTGGTTTCAAACTCTTGGACTCAAGCAATCCATTCGCCTCAGTCCCACAAAGTGCTGAGATTACAGGCGTGAGCAACCGTGCCTGGCCTATGTTGTTGTTTTATAGTCAATATTTGTTTAGATTTACCAAAGTGTTTACCTTCCTGTATTCTTCTTCTTTTCTTTTTTTTTTTTTTTTGTAGATGGGGTCTTGCTCTTTTGCCCAGGCTGGAATGCAGTTGTGCGATCACAGCTAACTGCAGCCTTAACCTCCCAGGCCCAAGTAATCCTCCCTCCTGAGTAGCTGGGATTACAGGTGTGAGCCACCACATGCCATCTCTTTTTCACAGAGACAGGATTTTGCTGTGTTGCCCAGGCTGGTCCCAAACTCCTAGGCTCAAGTGATCCTCCTGCCTTGGCCTCCCAAAATGTGCTGGGGTTACAGGTGTGTGTGAGCTACCATGCTGGGCCCTTTTTTTTTTTTTTTTTTTTTTTTTAAGAGATGAGGTCTTGCTTTGTTGTGCAGTTGTGTGAGCATGGCTCACTGCAGCCTCAAACTCCTGGGCTCAAGTGATCCTCCTGCCTCAGCCTCCTGAGTAACTGGGACTACAGGCATGTGCCACTGCACCTGGATAATTTTTTTTTTTTTTTTTTTTGTAGAAATGGGGTCTTGTTGTGTTGCCCTGGCTGGTCTTCAACTCCTGGCCTCAAGTGATCCTCTCACTTGGTCCTCCTACAAGCATAAGCCACTGCATCCAGCTGTATTTACCTTTTTTTTTGTTTTTTTTTTGAGACAGAGTCTCCAAGGCTGGAGTACATTAGTGCAATCTTGACTCACTGCAACCTTTGCCTCCCGGGTTCAAGTGATTCTCCTGCCTCAGCCTCCTGAGTAGCTGGGAGTACAGGTGTGTGCCACAATGCCCGTCTAATTTTTTCTATTTTTAGTAGAGACAGGGTTTCACTGTGTTAGCCAGGGTGGTCTCGATCTCCTGACCTTGTATTTACCTTTTTCTTTGCTTACATTTTTCTTATATCTCTGACCTTCTTTTGGGGATCATTTTC
This sequence comes from Homo sapiens, assembly GCF_000001405.40. Lineage (NCBI taxonomy): Eukaryota > Metazoa > Chordata > Mammalia > Primates > Hominidae > Homo > Homo sapiens. Next base: position 69,213,964 of record NC_000014.9, read on the forward strand.
CTTAAAATCGTTCTTTAACAGTTTAGGGCCCATTGATAATAAACTTCATCATTTTGAAAATGTCTGTATTTTGATTTTAATCTTAAAGAGATTTTCTCTGGGTGTAAAGTTCTGGTTTGGCAGTTTATCATTTTCAGGATAGTATTCCATTGCCTTCTGGCTTCCGTTATTGCTGTTGAAGATAACTGTCAGTCTATACCTTGATTCTTTGTAAGTAATGTAATTTTTTCATATCTCTTCTTAAGATCTTCTCTTTGAGTTTATGGTTCTGAAGGTTCACTATGATGAGTCTAGGTGTTTTATTTCTAGCTTGGGATTCAGAAAAATATCTGGATAATAGGATTGATGTTTTATCAATTTAAAATTTCTCTTTAAAGATTGTCTTTATCCTTTCTTCTTTCTTGCTGGAATTTAATATTTAACATATCTTAGTCTCTCTAGATTCATTATATACGATTTCTTCTGGTCTCTTTTACAATTCCCTTTTTCTTTATTTGGCTTTGTCTAATCTGTTTAACCTGCCCCTGAGTCTTTTTTTAGACTTTTTTATTGTGAAATATAACACATCAAGAAAAGTGCCTGGAACAAAAATAAACACTGAATGATTTATGTAAAGAGAACAGCTCAGCTGTGTAACTAGAAACTAGGTCAAGAAACGTAAGATTGCTAGGACTCCAGGAGCTCCTGTTGTGTCCACTTGAAATCATTGTCCCCTCACTGCCCTCTGAGGGTTACCATTATCCTGTCTCAAGAAAGTCTATTTACTTTCTTGTTTTCTTTATACTTTTACTGCTTAGGCATGCCTCCCTCATCACTATAGTTTAATTTTACCTGTTTTTTAAATTTAGTATAAATGAATCATCGAGTATGTGCTCTTTTTTGTCTTGCTTCTTTTTCCAAACATTGTGAGATTTACCTGTGTTGGGTGTGACTATGATTTGTTGCCATATAGTGTTCCATGGTATAAATATACCATGACTTATTTTTCCATTCTATTATTGATGGACATTTATATATATATATAAAATACAGTATAGTCCGGGCGTGGTGGCTAACACCTGTAATCTCAGCACTTTGGGAGGCCAAGGTGGGTGGATCACCTGAACCTGAGGTCAGGAGTTCAAGACCAGCCTGGCCAACATGGTGAAACCCCGTCTCTACTAAAAATACAAAAATTAGCCAGGTGTGGTGATGCATACAGGTATAATCCCAGTTACTTGGGAGGCTGAGGCAGAAGAATTGCTGGAACCCAGGAGGCAGAGGTTGCAGTGAGCTGAGAGTGTGCCACTGCACTCCAGCCTGGGTGACACAGCGAGACTCCATCTCAAAAATATATGTGTGTGTGTGTGTGTGTGTGTGTGTGTGTGTGTATAATACAATATATCATTTACATTTGGGGGCTCTTGCAAAGAATGGTGCAATTGAACATTTACACTCATTATTGGGCGTATGTGTCTATGAGTGGAGTTCTGGGTCAAGGAGTTTGTGTGCACATGCACGCACAATTTTAACTTTTATAGATGATGCCAAACTGTTTACCAAGATCTTTTTATGAATTTACCTTCCCATCCGTAGCATATGACTGATTCCATTGTTTCTAGCTGTTTTCAGAAGTGATTACACTAATTTAACCTCCCTATATATGAAAATTGCCTTTGTTTTACATCCTTGTCCACATTTGGTACTGTCATATTTTAAAATTTTATCCATTCTGTTGGGCTTGTAGTAATAGTTCACTATTATTTTAATTTGCATATTCCAGATTACTAATGAAATTGAACATCTTTTTGTATTTTAATGGTCATTTAGATATCCTCTTTTATGCAGTGTCCATTCAAGTCTCTTGCCTCATTTTCTTTTTTTTTTTTGCCTCATTTTCTATCGAGTTGTCTTTATAGAAGTTCTTTACATATTCTGCATATGAACCCTCCGGGAGTTAAATTTGTGTTGTGAATGTTTTCTCCCATTCTGTGAATTGCCTTTACATTCTTTTGATGTTTAATTTTGATAAACAGAAGATCTGTGTAGTACAGTTGATCAAGTCTTTCCCTATACACAGTCATGAACATATTCTCCCCATGTCATTTTCTTGGAGTTTTATGGTTTTAACCTTGGCGATTCAGATTTACAATCCACCTGAAATTGATTTTTTAGGTGTGTTTGTATATGATGTGTGGTAGGGTTAAGTTTAATTTTTTCTCCTAAAGGGATAGTCAATCTGCCTAGAATCACAGATTGAACAGATAAACCTTTCCTGATTGCTCTGCAATGCCACTTTATCACAAAACAAGTGTCTGTATGTGTCTAGATCTGTTTTTGTCTTCTTGATTGTCTAATTTTCTGTTGTTGCACCAATTATTATATACTTTCTTATTTACCATTGCTTTAAAATAACTCTGGATATCTGGGGCAGCAAGACCTGCCATCTTGTTCTTTTTCCACAATATCTTGGATAATCTTGATACTCTACATTTTCTTTTTTGTGATGGAGTCTCACTCTGTCACTCAGACTGGAGTGCAGTGGCATGATCTCGGCTCACTGCAGCCTCCACCTCCTGGGTTCAAGCCATTCTCCTGCCTCAGCCACCCGAGTAGCTGGGACAATAGGTGCCTGCTACCACACCTGGCTTACATTTTCTTATACGTTTTAGAATCAATTTTCAGGTCCTATAAAATTTTCTTGAAATTTTGATTGAGATTGTATTGTATAGATCAGTTTGTAGGGAACTGACTTCTTTATATTATTGAAGGGTTTTAAAAAATTGACATGAAATTATATATATTATGTATAATGTTTTATGCATATATACATTGCGGGATAATTAAATCTAGCTAATTAACAAGTGCATTACTTCACATAGTTATCATTTTTAATGATGAGAACACTTAACATACACTATCTTTGCATTTTAGTAATACAATATATCATCATTAACTATAGTCACCATGCTGTACACTAGATGTCTTGAACTCATCCCTCCTATGTAACTGTAATTATATATTCTTTGATCAACATTTTCTCATCCTCCTCTCCTCCCAACCATCCTGGCCTGTGGTAAACACTATTCTACTCTCTACTTCTATGAGATCAACTCTTTTATTTTTTAGAGACATGTTCTCGCTCTGTTACCCAGGCTAGAGTGCAGTGGCGTGATCATAACTCACTACAGCCTTGAGGTCCTAGGCTCAATCAGTCCTCCTGCCTTACCCTCCCAAGTAGCTAGGACTATAGGCACACACTACCACAACTGGCTAATTTTTATTTTTATTTTTTAGAGATGAAGTCTCACTGTGATTCTTAGGCTGGTCTTGAATTTCTGGCCTCAAGTGATCCTTCCACCTCAGCCTCCCGAGTAGCTGGGATTATGGGAGGGAGCTACTATGCCCACCAAGGTCAACTTTTTTAGATTCCACATATGAGTGGGCTCATGCAGTATTTATCTTTCTGTGCCTGGCTTATTTCACTTAACATAATGTCTTCCAGGTTTAGCCATGTTGTCACAAATGACAAGATTTCATTATTTTTTATGGACAAATAATATTCCATTTTGGAGGGAGAGATTTATATATCACATTTTCTTTTTTTTTTATTATACTTTAAGTTATAGGGTACATGTACACAACATGCAGGTTTGTTACATATGTATACTTGTGCCATGTTGGTGTGCTGCACCCATTAACTCGTCATTTACATTAGGTATATCTCCTAATGCTATCCCTTCCCCCTCCCCCCACTCCATGACAGGCCCCAGTGTGTGATGTTCCCCTTCCTGTGACCAAGTGTTCTCATTGTTCAATTCCCACCTATGAGTGAGAACATGCGGTGTTTGGTTTTTTGTCCTTGCGATAGTTTGCTGAGAATGATGGTTTCCAACTTCATCTATGTCCCTACAAAGGACATGAACTCATCCTTTTTTATGGCTGCATAGTATTCCATGGTGTATATGTGCCACATTTTCTTAATCCAGTCTATCATTGATGGACATTTGGTTCCAAGTCTTTGCTGTTGTGAATAGTGCCACAATAAACATACGTGTGCATGTGTCTTTATAGCAGCATGATTTATAATCCTTTGGGTATATACCCAGTAATGGGATGGCTGAGTCAAATGGTATTTCTAATTCTGGATCCTTGAGGAATCGCCACACTGTCTTCTACAATGGTTGAACTAGTTTACAGTCCCACCAACAGTGTAAAAGTGTTCCTATTTCTCCACATCCTCTCCAGCACCTGTTGTTTCCTGACTTTTTAATGATCGCCATTCTAACTGGTGTGAGATGGTATCTCATTGTGGTTTTGATTTGCATTTCTCTGATGGCCCGTGATGATGAACATTTTTTCATGTGTCTTTTGGCTGCATAAATGTCTTCTTTTGAGTAGTGTCTGTTCATATCCTTTGCCCACTTTTTGATGGAGTTTTTTTCTTGTAAATTTGTTTGAGTTCTTTGTTGATTCTGGATATTAGCCCTTTATCAGATGAGTAGATTGCAAAAATTTTCTCCCATTCTGTAGGTTGCCTGTTCACTCTGATGGTAGTTTCTTTTGCTGTGCAGAAGCTCTTTAGTTTAATTAGATCCCATTTGTCAATTTTGTCTTTGTTGCCATTGCTTTTGGTGTTTTAGACATGAAGTCCTTGCCCATGCCTATGTCCTGGCATGGACAAGGTTTATGGTTTTAGGTCTAACATTTAAGTCTTTAATCCATCTTGAATTAATTTTTGTATAAGGTGTAAGGAAGGGATCCAGTTTCAGCTTTCTAGATATGCTAGCCAGTTTTCCCAGCACCATTTATTAAATAGGGAATCCTTTCCCCATTTCTTGTTTTTTTCAGGTTTGTCAAAGATCAGATGGTTGTAGATGTGTGGTATTATTTTTGAGCGCTCTGTTCCGTTCCAGTGGTCTATATCTCTGTTTTGGTACCAGTACCATGCTGCTTTGGTTACTGTAGCCTTGTAGTATAGTTTGAAGTCAGGTAGCATGATGTCTCCAGCTTTGTTCTTTTGGCTTAGGATTGTCTTGGCAATGCAGGCTGTTTTTTGGTTACATATGAACTTTAAAGTAGTTTTTTCCAATTCTGTGAAGAAAGTCATTGGTAGCTTGATAAGGATGGCATTGAATCTATAAATTACCTTGGGCAGTATGGCCATTTTCACGATATTGATTCTTCCTATCCATGAGCATGGAATATTCTTCCATTTGTTTGTGTCCTGTTTTATTTCATTGAGCAGTGGTTTGTAGTTCTCCTTGAAGAGGTCCTTCACATCCCTTGTAAGTTGGATTCCTAGGTATTTTATTCTCTTTGAAGCAATTGTGAATGGGAGTTCACTCATGATTTGGCTCTCTGTTTGTCTGTTATTGGTGTATAAAAATGCTTTGATTTTTGCACATTGATTTTATATCCTGAGTCACATTTTCTTTATCCATTCTTCTGTTGATGAACACTTAGGTTGATTCTATATCTTGGCTATTATGAATGGTGCTGCAGTAAACATGGGTGTGCAGCTATCTCTTTGACATACTAATTTTATTTCACTTGGGTATATATCCAGTAGTGGAATTGTTAGACCACAATATTGAGTTTTTGAATCTAAGTGTTTGTTTAGACCTTTAGTTTCTTTTAATAATGTATTTATAGTTTTCTGTGATTTTTAAATTTAAGTATAAATGGAGATTTTAAACATTTTTCTGTTTCTGGTACATGGAAAAATGCAACTGAGTTTTACATATTTCTCTTGTATTAAGGAATCTTTCTAAACTCACTTGTTCTAATTACTTGTAGATTCTTTTGGATTTCTATATAGACTATTATCTTTGAAAATGACCATTTTATTTCTTTCCCGTCCTTGTCATTTTTTCTTTCTTTTCTTGCCTTGGTGTACCTGGCTAGGATCACAGTACAGTGTTCAGTAGATGTGGTGATAGTGGACATCCTTGACTTATGCCCTATCTCAAAATGACAGCTTTTAACATTTCACCTTGAAGTATAATATCTGCAGTAGGTTTGTAGATCCCTTTATCAGATTAAATCTGTTCATTTCTATTCTTGGTTTGCTAAGAGTTTTTTTTTTAAATCATGAATGGTTGGTGAATTTAATCAAATGTTTTCTGCATTTGTTGAGATAATTATATATCTTCTCTCTTTATGCTGTTATTGTGTTGAAATACATTGATTTTTGAATTCCTGGGATAAATGCCCTCCTCCTGTCTGGCGCCTGCACCTGGGCAACTCTTGCTCCTGTTTGAATGCCAGTCTCAGACACCATCTCTCTCAGCAAGTGTTTTGTCTCTCTGTTTTTTTTTTTTTTTTTTTTTTTTTTTTTTTTTTTGAGACAGAGTCTCGCTCTGTCACCCAGGCTGGAGTACAGTGGCATGATCTTGGCTCACTTCAAGCTCCACCTCCCGGGTTCACGCCATACTCCTGCCTCAGCCTCCCGAGTAGCTGGGACTACAGGCGCCCGCCACCATGCCCGGCTAATTTTTTGTATTTTTAGTAGAGACGGGGTTTCACTGTGGTCTCGATCTCCTGACCTCGTGATCCGCCCACCTCAGCCTCCCAAAGTGCTGGGATTACAAGTGTGAGCCACCGTGCTGGGCATTTTTTTTTTTTTTTTAAAGAGACAGAGTTGGGCCGGGTGCAGTGGCTCACTCCGGTAATCCCAGCACTTTGGGAGGCCGAGGTGGGCGGATCATGAAGTCAGGAGTTCGAGACCAGCCTGGCCAACATGGTGAAACCCCGTCTCTTCTAAAAATACAAAAATTAGCCGGGCTTGGTTGTGGGTGCCTGTAATCCCAGCTACTGGGAAGGCTGAGGCAGGAGAATCGCTTGAAACCGGAAGGCAGAGGTTGCAGTGAACCAAGATTGTGCCACTGCACTCCAGCCTGGTCAACAAGAGTGAAACTCTTTCTAAGTCAATCAATCAATAAGAGATAGAGTTGTCCTTTTGCCCAGGTTGGAGTGCAGTGTCTCAGTCATAGCTCACTGCAGCCTCAAATTCCTGGGCTCAAGCAATCCTCCCACCTCAGCCTCCCAGGTAGCTGGGACTACAGGTGCATACCACCATGCCTGGCTAATCTTTTAATTTTTTTGTGGAGATGGGAGTCTTGCCATGTTGTCCAGGCTGGTGTCAAACTCCTGAGCTCAAGCAGTCCTTCTGCCTCAGCCTCCCAAAGTGCTGGGATTACAGGTGTGAGCCACTGTGCTTGGCCGTTGTCAGGCTTTGATTTAAAAAAGTTATGCTAGCTTCATACAACAGGTTAGGGGTGTTTCCTATTTTTATGTTCTCTGGAAGAGTTTGTATAAGATTGTCATTCTTTTTTACTTAAAATGTTTAGTTAGAATCTACTGGTGAAGCCATCTGGAGTTCTCCTTTAAGGGAAGTTTTTGAATTATGGATACAATTTCTTGAATAGTTATAGAGCTATTAATATTTTCTATTTCTTAATGTCTCAGTTTTGATAAGTTATATATTTCATTTATCATCTAAATATGTTATCTTTAAAATTTTTTAATTATTGGCATAAACCAAGTGTAGTGGCTCATGCCTGTAATCCCACCACTATGGGAGGCTGAGGCAGGAGGATCACACTTCAGGCAAGGAGTATGAGACCAGCCTGGTCAACACAATGAGAATCTGTCTTTACAAAAAAATTAAAAAATTAGCCTGGCATGGTGGTGTGAGTCTTTAGTCCCAGATACTCAGGAGGCTAAGGTGGTAGGATGGCTTGGGCCCAGGAGTTCAAGGCTGCAGTGAGCTATGATCATGCCACTGCACTACAGCCTGGGCAGCAAAGCGAGACCCTGTCTCCCCCTCCAAAAAAAATTATTGGCTGGCTGGGTGAGGTGGCTCATGCCTATAATCCCAGCACTTTGGGAGGCCAAGGCAGGTGGATCACAAGGTCAGGAGTTCAAGACCAGCCTGGCCAACATGGTGAAACCCTGTCTCTACTAAAAAAAAAAAAAAAAAAAAAAAAAAAAATTAGCCAGGCGTGGTGGTGCGCACCTGTAATCCCAGCTACTCGGGAGGCTGAGGCAGGAGAATCGCTTGAACCTGGGAGGTGGAGGTTGCAGTGAGCCAAGATCGTGCCATTGCACTCCACCTAGGTGGTAGGGTGAGACTCTATCTCAAAAAAAAAAAAAAATTATTGGCATATATTTGTTTATGATATCCTCTGAAAAATTTTACCCCATTTGGTAGATAACTAGGAATGTCTCTTTTTTCATTCCTGACTTTGCTTACTTGTGCTTCTTTTTTCTTCATAATTCCTTCCATGGGTTTATTAATTTTATTAGTCTTTTCAAATAACCAACTTTTTGCTTTGTTGATCTTCTTTATATTTGTGTTTAATTGATTTCTACTCTTATGTCTATTGTTTCTTTCCTTCTGTTCTCTTGGATATAATTTCTTATTCTTCATTATTCTTCAACCAACTTTAATCTGACATCTTTCCATATTACTCCACTGAAACTGGTCAAGTTGATGGCTTTCTTGTTTTCTAGTCCAGTGGACACTTATTTGGACTCGTTATTCTTGCTCTCAAAAGCATCACACTCACATTCTTCTATCTCCTATCTTATTATCCTTTCTACTTTTTCCTTTTCTGATTCCTGTTTTACCTGATATCTAAATATTGAAATGGGTCAGGCTTGGTCTCTTCTGTATCCACCCCAGATATTGCAAACTGAGATGCCTACAAGAGTCAAGCACGTTCTGTAAATGAATGATATAGAGTGATTGTTTGCTTTTTTTTAATACATAGGAATGTTCTTAAATTCGTAAGGAAATGTATTACCTTTCATGTTTTCTTTAAACATAAGGCCTCTAGGGTCTATCTTTCATTTTTGTAGTTTTACTAGCAACATGGATCCTGAGAAATATTTCTTTGTATTAGAAAAATAGTGGTGTACAAATATGATGGTAAGTGAAGACAACATTTGGCTTCAGTTGAAAAGACATATGGTGAATTAGAGAATTCATGCCTCATATAAATGAAAAAGCTGCCATATAGTTCAAACCAACTGTTACTGGATTGCCCAGTTCTTTAAAAAGAAACTTGGAGTATGGATTCTTTAAAATGTGAACTCTACTAATTTAAAAATTCTGGCGTAAGTTTTTAAATACGTGGAGACCAAAAATAATATTATAATAAAAGCATGTCTGTGAGTCAGCAGATGGATCCGTGGGCCACTAATTTATGTCTTCTAATTTCCATTCTTTTCCTGTATTCCCATCTAATTGTATGGCTTTAAATACCATTGATATGGTGATTACTCTCAAATTCAGAATGCCAGCCTTTCATATTCACCTGCCTACTTGACATCTCTCCTTGAATGTCTAATAGTCATCTCAAACTTAACATGTTCCTAACAGAATTCATTCTTGATTTTTCTTCCCAAACTTGTTATCCCTAGTCTTCCCCACATTTAAGATTAAAATCAGTGAGACATTCTTCTCTCAGAGGGTTGTCCAACAGGATGGTGATATGATTGAAAGGCAGAAATAAACAGACAGTATATGTTAAATTTCTTTAATGGCAAAATATATGCAAATCCAAAGAAGTGGTTATACAAAGCAGGAAATAACAGCATGCTATCACAAAGAGGTATAGGTTTCTTTGAGTTACCTATAATGAGGTATAACTGTGGATAAATCACCTGTACAAAATGAATATTCTGCCATGTTTTAGGAGCTATTATTGCCCTTCTCCTGAGGCAGGTGGAGACATTAAATACCTTTTTGATCCCCTGACTCCTGCCTGGTCCTTTCTGGAGACTCTGGCTACATATTTCCTTGCATAACAGGTACAAATAATTGGTGCAATAAAGGCTGAGCAAGGTGATTTTCCCAAAACCATCATCCTGTAGACCCAGTGTATTAGTCCATTCTTGCCCTGCTATAAAGAAATAGCTGAGACTGGGTAATTTATAAAGAAAAGGAGTTTAATTGGCTGTGCAGGAAGCATGGCCACATCTGCTTCTGGTGAGGCCTCCAGGAGCTTTTACTCATGGTGGAAGGCAAAGCGGGAACAGGCATCTTACATGGCAGGAGCAGCACCAAGACGGCGGGGAGGTGCCACACACTTTTTTTTTTTTGAGACAGGGTTTTACTCTGTCACCTAGGTTGGAGTGCAGTGGCGCAGTCTTGGCTCACTGCACTCTCCACCTCCCAGGCTTAAGTGATCCTCCCACCTCGGCCTCTGGAGTAGCTGGGACTACAGGTGCACACCACCATACCCATCCCCATGTTGCCCAGGCTGGTATCAAACTCCTGGACTTAAGCGATCCGCCCACCTTGGCCTCCCAAAGTGCTGGGATTACAGGTATGAGCCACCATACTCAGCCACCACACATTTTTAAACAACCATATCTTGTGAGAACTCACTCAGTATACAGTAACAAGGGGGAAGGGTGCTAAACCATGTATAAGAACTCCATCTCATGATCCAGTCATCTCCCACCAGGCTCTACCTCCAACATTGGGGATTAGAATTCAACATGAGATTTGGGTGGGGACACAGATCCAAACTATATCACACCCCTACTACCTCCTGAGTCCAAGCTTCAAGTATCTCTCACCTGGACTATTGCAAATCTTCCCTTGACTGGCCTCCCTGCTTTGACTCTTGTGCATGTACAATCCTTTCTCCATGCAGTCACCAAAATATTTTTTTTAAATGCAAATTAGATTGTGTCAGTCCTCTGCCCAAAACCCTTCCATTGCTTAGAGTAAAATGCAGATGGCCAGGTGCAGTGGCTCATGCCTGTAATCCAAGCATGTTGGGAGGCCGAGGCGGGTGGATCATGATGTCAAGAGATCGAGACCATCCTGGCCAACATGGTGAAACCCTGTCTCTACTAAAAATACAAAAATTAGCTGGGTGTGGTAGCGGGCACCTGAAGTCCCAGCTACTCAGGAGGCTGAGGCAGGAGAATCACTTGAACCCGGGAGGCAGAGGTTGCAGTGAGCCGAGATCACACCACTGCACTCCAGCCTGGCAACAGAGACTCCGTCTCAAAAAAAAAGAATAAAACGCAGATGTCTCAATTACCTACATGCTCTTAAGGTCTTACTTGCTGTAGCTTCTTTCAGCATCTCTGATTTTGTCTCCTCCTACTCTCTTTTCATCCTACTCTTATCGGCGTCTAGCCACATTGGGCCTTAGTTCTGTTGCCTGAACAGGGTAAACTCATTCCTATCTCAAAACCCTGGTCTAAATTTAACTGATACATAAACTCCACAGACTAGGGGTGCTCATTAGTTAACCTGTTCCAGCCCAGAAGATGGTCCCATGTCATTCTTTACTCTCTGTAGCCTTCATGAAGTCATTTAAAGAATCACAGGCCATTCCAGAAACTATTTTTTATGAATACTGTTTTGTTGGTTTTTTTCTTTTAAGAATACTGAAGCCAAAATGGATTATCCCCTGGCTCGTGGAAGGAGGACTCTAACCCATTGTTCTCTAAATGAATCACTGGAACAGCAGAGTGTTAGAAATTGTATCTGTAATGATTGTTGTTATTGTTCAGTTAAACTTTGTACTTTTGTGTATATATAACACATTAATACAGTATTATATGTGCGTAATTTATAAATATATATAGTATATGTCTCAAACATTTTCATATATGTTGACTAATTTTAAAAACCCTAGATTAAATAATGCTAATAAGACCACTGGTTTAAATAATGCTAATGAAATTAAAACGTGTCACTTTTTAATAATGTTGATAAGCCAAGGGTTTCTTGTTTCCCATGAGTAGTGATGTCAGGGCAAAAAGACATTAGAAAGCAAAAAGGGGGAAATATGAGAAATAGAGACTAGATATCTTATTCTTTAAGCTAAATTGACTCTCCTAGAAACATTATTCTTCCAATTATATATTCAATATAAGTTATGTACCTAGTGGAATCATAAACATTTGGATTCCTAGTGAGAAAACTTTGATTATAGTATATTGGATCTTAAGCACAATCCAGAAACATTAAAGACAACTCAATTTACCTATCTGTCTATTTATCTAGTTATTTATTTAATGTATTTTATCTTTTCTTTTTACTCACCACTGTATTAACAAGGAAATTAATGTATGGTAGACAATGAGACCTGACTGTAAAGAGGTACAAATATTGAACCTTAGGAATTTGTAGTGAGTTTTATGTCAAATTAGCAGTACTAGCTATTAGAAGTAGAGATTTATAGCTTTTTCTTGGAGAAAGCTGATATCACAGAGGGAAAGAACTACTCATTAATTTTTAAAAAAGTGATTTGGTCACATCCGGATGAATTATTAGAGAACTGGAACCCCAGTAGTCGTGTTTCTCACAGGTCTTTGTAACCTTGGCTGAGCCTCAAGAAATAGACAATGAGATCAAACTGGCATGCTTTCGTGTGAGGATACGAAAATAGCTCTCACTGATAAAGCAGTGCCTAAGAAGGAAGCGTAAGTCTTTTGTGAGTTAGATCATGGTTTTACTCCGCCTTAGAAAAGAAGTTGAGGGCTAGAGGGCCGGGCATGGTATCTCACGCCTGTAATCACAGCACTTTGGGAGGCTGAGATGGGCGGATCATTTGAGGTCAGGAGTTTGAGACCAGCCTGGCCAACATGGTGAAACCCTGTCTCTACTAAAAATACAAAAATTAGCTGGGTGTGGTGGCAGGCGCCTATAATCCCAGCTACTCGGGAGGCTGAGGCAGGAGAATCGCTTGAACCCGGGAGGGAGAGGTTGCAGTGAGCTGAGATTGCACTACTGTACTCCAGCCTAGGCAACAGAGCGAGACTTGGAAAAAAAGTTGAGGGCCAGAGCCCTCCCAGTTTTTTTTTTTTTTTTTTTAACAGCAGTTCTTTTGTGATCTTGACTATTTCCTCTGTGTGATTTTGGTCACTTCAATTATGCAATGTACCTCCTCTGATTAATTGTGACACTTTGCTTGAAACATTCCTTTGGCATTTACCATGTCATTTTCTGTGTGTGTGAGCTTGTGTTTATGTGTATCCCTCCTACTCCTCCTGTAAGATTATAAATTCCTTAAATCAGCACGCTCTCTTCCATTACTTTGTATGCAACTGTGGCACTGCAGGCCCAGCAGGCAGCTAGTACAGTAGCAAGAGGACCACATTGCCCTAGAGCAGAGTTTCTCAGCCTCCCCGCTATTGACATTTTGGGCAGATGATTCTTTTTTGTACATTGTAGGATGTTTAGCAGCCTTCTGGCCTTTACTTACTAGATGCCTATGTACTTCCTCCCCACTTGTGACAACCAAAAATTTTTCCAGATATTGCCAAATGTCTCTTGGGGTACAAAATTACCCTCAGTTGAGAACTACTATTCTAGGGACTGGGAAATTTAGGTGATAGTGTGATAGCCCTAGCTTTGCCATGATCTCACCATACTTGGTCAAACTGATTCACCTATATTCCTCTCCTGACAAGTGAGAAGGATTAGAATTTATTGGGTGTTTAATCTGGGTTCTATGGATAGCTTTAGGGAAATTTTAATCCCTTGAAAATGTATGTGAGTTTTGTATGTACATTTTTCTAGGAATAACATCCTTAGCTTTCAGCATTTTTTCAAACTTATCTATGACCCCAAAAAGATTAAACCTCAGCCAGGCGCAGTGGCTCATGCCTGTAATCCCAGCACTCTGGAAGGCCGAGGCAGAAGGATCACTTGAGGTCAGGAGTTCGAGACCAGGGTGACATGGTGAAACTTCATCTCTACAAAAAATACAAAAATTAGCTGGGCGTGCCTGTAACCCCAGCTACTCGGGAGGCTGAGGCAGGAGAATAGCTTGAACTCGGGAGGCGGAGGTTGCAGTGAGCCAAGATTGAGCCACTGCACTCAAGCCTGGGCGACAGACCCAGACTCCATCTAAAAAAAAGAAAAAAGATTAAACCTCGATCACTTATTGTATAAAGTTTTTTGTATCTTTTAAGATTTAAAGGCCCTAACTTATGCTCAATATACATTTTTTTTTCTTTTTATGAAAGCCATTTGTGACTAGAAAATGCTGAGAAAGCACTTGGTGCTACCTGGATTTATTATATTATCAGGTACCACTTATTTACAGTACTCTATCTTCTACCTCTTTTTAAAAATTGGATCTTGAGTCAGTGATGATAAGGTAAATGACTAGAGTTACCTGCGTGTACATTAGAGAGGCTGGATAATGAAAAGAGGATGTTTATCATTTCTCACTCTACTCCTGGGCCTTTTTTCCTTAGCCTTTTTTTTTTTTTTTTTTTTTTTGAGACAGAGTTTCACTCTTGTCGTTCAGGCTGGAGTGCAGTGGCGCAATCTCGGCTCACTGCAACCTCTGCCTCCCGGGTTCAAGCAATTCTCCTGCCTCAGGCTCCCATGTAGCTGGGATTACAGGCACATGCCACCATGCCCAGCTAATTTTTATAATTTTGGTAGAGACGGGGTTTCACCATGTTGGCCAAGCTTGTCTTGAACTCCTGACCTCAGGTGATCCGCCCGCCTTGGCCTCCCAAAGTGCTGGGATTACAGGCATGAGCTACCGTGCCCAGCCTCCTTAGCCTTTTAAAACCAGCATGTTCCATATGACTGCCAGTGTATGTCCCAGAGCTCCCCTGTGTCGGCTGGTCGCTGTTTATGGACTTATATTTCAGACCTTGGCGTTTGGGGTTCTCGGTAACCTTTGTTTAGGTCACTGCTTCACAAAGTCCATTGCATTTGTTACTGTAGACTTATCTGTAGATGCAAACCAAAACCTGGTCAGATGCTACCTTTGGGAAGTTAAGGATGTACCTCTTAGACTTTTTTGTCACAGTTATATGTTATGCTCGCTGCTGTGCTCAGGTGTGAACCACAACCTTGTCTTCCTCTGTTGCAGGTAAATTTGGAAGGCAAAGCCAGCCCTCTGTCACTTCTACAAATGGCCTCCCCAAGTGGCCTGTGTGTCTTGGTTCGCCTGCCCAAGCTAATCTGTGGAGGAAAAACACTACCAAGAACGTTATTGGATATTTTGGCAGATGGCACCATTTTGAAAGTTGGAGTGGGATGCTCAGAAGATGCCAGCAAGCTTCTGCAGGATTATGGCCTCGTTGTTAGGGGGTGCCTGGACCTCCGATACCTAGCCATGCGGCAGAGGTGTGGTTTGTATGAATGCTGGGATTCCTATAGCTGCGGGACAAATATTTTAGCCAGATTTGTAGATGCCTGGGACTCAATAGTGAGACATGTGAAATTGTATAGGAGCCTAGAGGCTTCTAAGATGCATATTGAATTTGTAAGGAGACATTCCACCTTCTGTGAAACTTTGGTTACCTAGAATTAGCCTTTTTAGATCAAACATTACTGAGGGATCTCTGTAAGCTACAGGCTAAAAGCTGGTGGTCCCACTGGCTAAATTATGGCTGCAAAGGGTTTTTGGTTTTCTTTTTTCCCATATGATATTTTTGGGAATTTTTGTTTAAATCAAGAATATTTAATGTAAAAATCTGTATTTCTGGCTTCTCTTGAAATTAGGTAATCTGACTACACTGAGTCTACAGTTCTAGATGGCAGCATTTGGCTGGGTAGCATATGTGCCCTTTAGATGAGCGTGCTCTGTTCAGTTTGCCAGAGTCCCCACCACTCCCATTGTAACCCTGGCTCCTCCTAATAAGCCTTTGAGTTTGTAGAGCCTGCTTTAGGCCAAAAATGATGGTAGACCAGCCCTTATCTGGGAGGAAGAGAGATTTCCTTTAGAATTTTATTCCTATGGAAATTTGATTTCAGCTTGTCTTTTTGGGGCGGGGAGTCGTAATTACCTCCTCATGTTTATGTATGGGTCCTCATTTATAACAACGTGGACTGAAACAGCCTCTTGCCCTGCCTGAAGTGACACAGTCACTAAAAGTTTGGAGATTTGGTAAACTAAAAGAAGGCCTGATTAAAATCTGTACTTATCACAATTTTTTAGTATAAAATGAAATTTTATTTTAGTTTGTTAGTTTGGCTTATATAAAGATCTTATAAGTGAAGTATAATTTTTTAAAGTAATACATTAAGATATTGCTGTGAAAATTAAAACTCTGCGAAAGTCTATGGAGTATAACAGTAAAAGCCCCCCTTCATCAGGCCCTCCTTTCTTTGGCACCAGCTCCCCAGAATGCCACTGTCACTGTGTGCTGTTAGAGGCAGTGTGGATAGAGGCTAAAAGCTGACTCGGGAGCACACTGCATGGGTAGGAGTCTCAGTGCTGCCACTTGCCAGCTGTATGACCTTTGGCACAGTACTAAGCCTCTCTGTTCCTCAGTTTCCTCATCTGTAAAGTAGAGTTGATAATGTAGCCACCTCACAGGGTTGGTGTGAGTATTAAATGAGTTAAACTACAGAAAGGATTTATAAAGTGTTTCACAAATAGATAACAAATTATCATTTTCTTCGATTTCTAGTGAGATTCAGTATGTTATCTCTGTTTATTGGCCATTTATATGTCTTTTTTGATTTTCTTGTCCATGTCCTTTGCCCGTTTTTGATGCATGGTTTTCTTTGTTTCTTTTAGAAACAATTTGCTCTGTAATGGGCTTAGCCTGAAGTCCCTCGCTGAGACTGTTTTGAACTTTCCCCTTGACAAGTCCCTTCTACTTCGTTGCAGCAACTGGGATGCTGAGACTCTCACAGAGGACCAGGTACTTCTTATCAGAGTAGTTGAAGAATGGAAAGTCATTGTTTCTGAAGTATAACTGTTTATAAAATTCGAATTCTCAAATATAGTATAAGTATTGGATGGAGATGCCTTAAAATAGATTCATTCTCTGGTGATACTCCAGCTAACTGGTCTACAATAATCACTTAAATAAAGGATAAGAGTCCTGCTTTTGTTTTATTTTTGAGATGGAGTCTCACTCTGTTGCCCAAGCTGGAGTGCAGTGGTACGGTCTTGGCTCACTGCAACCTCTGCCTCCTGGGTTCAAGCAATTCTCCTGCCTCAGCCTCCTGAGTAGCTGAGATTACAGATGTGCACCACCATGCCTGGCTAATATTTTTAGATTTTCAGTAGAGATGGGGTTTCACCACGTTGGTCAGGCTGGTCTCGAACTTCTGACCTCAAGTGATCCACCCACCTCAACCTCCAGGTGTGAGCTACCGAGCCTGGCCAAGAGTCCTGATTTTTTTTGAGCATTTACTATATGTTGGGCATTTCAGAAAAAGGGATTTTTTTTATGAATACAAATGTATAATTTAAAAAAAATATAGTGTTATAAGTGTGTAGGAGTTATAACTTATTTTAAGAAGCAGTAAGTAGTTCCCTGCATTACCTTTCCCCATTCCTAATCCTTCTTCCTTCTTCTCCTCAGAGGCAACCACTTTCATTTCTTTCTGGTAATTATCATTATACTTCTAAATTACATGCATGCGTTATTCTTTCTTATTTATTTATATTATCTTTTGACATCATACTGTGGGAGATACGGTTTAGTACTCTTGCAGCTCCCCTGTCCCCGGACAAATACTTCTCTTCCCCATCCTCCCAATTTAGGTAAATCATCATTTTTATCAGGTTAATATACAGTATTTATATTATTTATAGCTGAGTCACATAGTAAACTGCAGTTACTTTTATTTCCCAGGATTAATAATTAGTATTTTGTTTGCATAGTGTTCCATGTACCTATTATTTCCACCCCAGACTCCTTATCAGAACTATGGATCTCCTCTGGGCTGGTTCAGACACACGTCAGGTCACTTACTTGTTTCATTTTCCCTTGGAGCCTTCTCTCCTAGAGCCCTCTATCATCTGGCTCCTCCCAGGACGGAGTGCACTCTAGGCCTGCTGCCCAACTCTCATCCTGGAATTTGCATTTACCATCAGCCTGGAATTCCCTTCACCTTTCTCTTTCATAGTAGATCCTCTGTTTTTTAAATTCCATGTCTTCTTCCTTTCTTGCCTTGGTGGAGTACATTCATAACAGTTTCTTGAGAAAGGGAGCATGAGCAGTAAAAAAAAAAAAAAAAAAAAAAAAAAAGTCAGTAACTGTCTTTTCTCTCAGGTGACTTAGTTTCTCCACAGATGAATCTTCTAGTATTCTATTCAAGAAGTGTAAGTCCCACTGCCTATATTCCAGTCACTGAGTGGGGGAAAGGTGCCAGTGGTTTTAACATTCAATGTGTAATCTCTCCCTTAATCCCCCTTTCTTCAGGTGACATTTTGTCCCTCCCTTCAGTTTTGCCTGGTATTACCAGGTCCAGATCCTCTGTGGTTTAACCATTATATGATTTAAACTTTTACTGTCTTTTGGGCTAGGGGAGGGATAGTTGTCTGGCCCTGTGCTGTAAAGGAGGAGATCAGGGTGTAAGTGTTCTCTATAGAGATTTCACCTTATCCTTCTGTTTCCGCCCTTGCCTTCACAGATACCTGGTGTCTCCATTCCTTATGCTTTCCTGGTCTCTGTGGCTCAAACTCATTTGAACTTAGGCTTTTTGCCATACCACTTGCATAGGCCTAGTTTCAACCTTGCTTGCCAAGTCAGTTACCACTTGTTCATCCTTGAGAAATGTTAACTGGTTTCCAAAGTAGCTACACCATTTTGTATTCCCACCAGCAGTGTATGAGGGTGTCGGGGTTCTGCATCCTTGCTGACATTTGTTATTGTCAGTCTTTTCCATTAGAGCCATCCTAGTAGGTGTGAAGCGGTATTTCATTGTGGTTTTGATTTACATTTCCCTTGTGACTAATGATGCTGGGCATCTGTTCATGTGGGTATTGGCCATTTGTATATCTTCCGTGGAGAAATGTCTATTCATACATATCCTTTGCCCATGTTTTAATTGGGTCATTTGTTATTTTATTTTTGAGTTTTAGGAATTCTTTGTATACTCTAGATCCTTTTCAGATAGATGATCTATAAAGTATTTTCTACCATTGGTTGTTTGAAGCACAATAGTTTTTAATTTTGATGAGCTCCAGTTATCAGTTTCTTTTTAAAAATCTCTTCCTTTAATTGCTTATGCTTTTGGTGTCATAGTCAAGAAATCATTGCCTCACCCAAGGTCATGATGATTGGCTCCTATATTTTCTTCTAAAAGTCATATAGTTTTAGCTCTTGCATTTAAGTCTGTGATCCATTTTGAGTTAATTTTTGTGTGTCTTGTGAGGTAGGGGTCCACATTCACTCTTTTGCATGTGGACCTCCAGTCATCCTAGTACCATTTGTTTCTTTATCATTAGAAAATAATGTGTTAGAGGGAACTCTAAAGTCTTCTCATTCAAGCACACATTCTTCTGTGGGAAACAGTCTGCTAATAGATATGTAGATTGTTGGATCTAGGTGGAAAATTTTATCCAAACTTGTTTTACTCTAAAAGTATAAATGATCCTTACTAATAGAATTATTCACTGGCTTGGTTATTAAAGGTGAAATAATAGAATTTTAAAGTCCTTACACTTTTTGTTGGGAAAAGCTATTAATTTTAGTTTTTTTAAAATTTTAGTTTTTTTTTTAAATTTAATTTAATTAATTTATTTATTTATTTTGAGATGGAGTCCCACTCTGTCGCTCAGGCTGGAGTGCAGTGGTGCGATCTCAGCTCACTGCAACTTCTGCCTCCTGGGTTCAAGCCCCAGGTTCAAGCGATTCTCCTGCCTCAGCCTTCCGAGTAGATGGGATTACAGGCGCGTGCCACCGCGCCCAGCTGATTTTTTTTATTTTTAGTAGAGATGGGGTTTCCCCATGTTGGCTGCGCTGGTCTCAAATTCCTGACCTCAAGTGATCTACCCGCCTCAGCCTCCCAAAGTGTTGGGATTACAAGCGTGAGCCACCACACCCAGCCGAATTTTAGTTTTGACCACGCTACTTTTTTTTTTTTTTTTTTTGAGATAGAGTCCTGTTCTGTCTCCTAGGCTGGAGTGCAGTGGCACGGTCTCAGCTCACTGCAATCTTCGTCTCCTGGGTTCAAGCGATTCTCCTGCCTTAGGCCTCCTGAGTAGCTGGGATTACAGGCGTCCACCACCACACCCAGCTAATTTTTGTATTTTTAGTAGAGACAGGGTTTCACCATGTTGGCCAGGCTGGTTTCGAACTCCTGACCTCAGGTGATCTGTTCGCCTTGGCCTCCTAAAGTGCTGGGATTACAGGTGTGAGCCACCATACCTGGCCCACAGTACTTTTCTTTATGACCAGCTTGCCTATCACCAGTTGCTTAGGAGAATGACTTACCACTATTAAATAAGTAAATTCCAGGAATGGGCCCTGTGACTTTGATTTGAGGCCCATGTTTGAAACCTATTTGTTTTTTTTGTTTTCAATATCATATTAATAGATATGGCAGTTCATTTCTGATTGACAGTCACACAGGCCTCTTAATGAATCATGATTTCAGCCATTCCAGAGGATGACTGCCTCCAAAGTGAATTTCATGTACTAGTTATCAGGCCTTTGTTAACTACCCTTCCCCCAAACTTGAGAGAAATCTGTCCAGCAATTTGGTAGTAGATAGAAACTTCACTGATTTATATAGGTGAGGATTTTCCAGCATTTAGAGTAAGTCATTATTTTAGCTATTTTAGTTAAAAACATAGGGAACATGAGAGTTAATCATACTATTCAATTTACTTTTGTGTAGTTTGAAAATTTTTATAATAAGAAGTTTTAAGGAAGTGTATGGTGCCCAGGTTGTCGTACATTTTGAATTAGGATCCTAAGAGTTATCTATTTCTTTGTGATTGACTTTGAAGTTTTTCTCTCTGGTTTGCCTTCCAGATTCCACTGATCTCTGACTTTTCTCTTCAGGTAATTTATGCTGCCAGGGATGCCCAGATTTCAGTGGCTCTCTTTCTTCATCTTCTTGGATACCCTTTCTCTAGGAATTCACCTGGAGAAAAAAACGATGACCACAGTAGCTGGAGAAAAGTCTTGGAAAAATGCCAGGGTGTGGTCGACATCCCATTTCGAAGCAAAGGAATGAGCAGATTGGGAGAAGAGGTTAATGGGGAAGCAACAGAATCTCAGCAGAAGCCAAGAAATAAGAAGTCTAAGATGGATGGGATGGTGCCAGGCAACCACCAAGGGAGAGACCCCAGAAAACATAAAAGAAAGCCTCTGGGGGTGGGCTATTCTGCCAGGTAACTGAATCACTCCCTGTCTAGTAAAGAGTCAGTGGCCCAGCCTTAGCAAAGGGTTTGATGCTTCCCTGGGGTCTGGGGAGAAGGCTTGTAGTAGGGGAGCAGCAGCTCTCCCGGGGTTAATCTTGCTTTTTCTTTCCATCAGAGACATTTGGTCTCTCCTTTGCTTTATTTGTGTATTTTTCTCCTTTTCCCTTATTTTACCTTTTTATTTATTGACAGTTGGGGTGGAAATGAGGAAAGCTTAGCTTAGTTCTGTCATTGACCCTGATGTGACCTTAGGCCTTAACTTCTCCAACTGTAAATGGGGATATAATTATCATTCCTTCCTTGTTTCAGGCTAGCTGTGGAAAATAAATAACATGTAGTGCCTCATACTTTTCAGGAGAAATGCATCATCTGATTTCTTGTTCATATGTTATTTGATTATTTAGAATGACATCCAGCTCCAAGAAAATGTTACTCTCTAGCCAATGAAAAATGTCCTGTATAACTTATTCCTCTATTGTAGGAAGATGACTAATAAGTACTTTGGAGCATAAATTTGGTCCCTGTAGCAAAGTGCCTTTAGGAATTAATTGGATGATTAAATTGAAGGAAGTGTTACTGCATGTGAGTTAGAAGTAAATCCACATGGCCCTCATTACTTTGGCTTGAACTTTAAAATTTTTAATGTACTTTGTTTAATCCAGTGATTTGGCAGTTTTCTTGTTGCTTGGTTCTTTTTTGCATTCACAGCAGAGCTGTGTGTAAACCACTTGACACACTCCCTAATGTCCTAGTCCATAAGTGTAAAAACTAGAGGCATAAACTCATTCATTTTTAGTTCTGTTTCCTAGCCCAGTGCAGGTGAGGATTAAACATGGTTTCTCACTCTGTTTTTTCCATAGTGGTGTGTTTGACCTTAGTGTTGAGAATAGTTTTGAGTCACTCAGAAGAGAGCATGGGAAGGCAACAGACATTTTGACCCACAGTTAGCTTCCGGTTTGAGATTTCTCTTTCCTTTCCCTGCAGAAAATCACCTCTTTATGATAACTGCTTTCTCCATGCTCCTGATGGACAGCCCCTCTGCACTTGTGATAGAAGAAAAGCTCAGTGGTACCTGGACAAAGGCATTGGTGGTATGAGATTCAGCTGTCCTTGTTTATCTCTAATTAGGTGCATTGGATGCTGGCAGGAGTGGGGAGTGAGATAAGGAAGAGGGAGGGATAGAAGAAGGCAGAGAGACCGTGAGATGCATGGGACTGGGTAGGCACAACCCAGAAATCATGTTCTCTGCCAGGCCATAGCAGAGAACAGTGAAGGTAGTGCTGCTTCTTGGGTGTGGTGGTGGGGGCAGGGGGAGCAGTCAAACACTGATGTCTCTTCTCTTAAGAGCTGGTGAGTGAAGAGCCCTTTGTGGTGAAGCTACGGTTTGAACCTGCAGGAAGGCCCGAATCTCCTGGAGACTATTACTTGATGGTTAAAGAGAACCTGTGTGTAGTGTGTGGCAAGAGAGACTCCTACATTCGGTGAGTGCAGCATTGGGCCACCCTGGTTGTCTGTGGCAGATGGAAATTGCTTTTGTAGCCATATGCAGAGCCTTTGGGGGCTGTGGCTGAGTCTGTCCACTTTGGCTGAGAGGCTTGTTCCTAGTATCCAGCTTCCCCAAGAGCTTTGGTATTCTGCCGCCCTTGCTATAGTGGCCCTTACCCCTCCTGAGCCGTTTCTCAGTTTCTGGAGTGCAACACCATACTCAGTAATGGTCTGTCATGGGGACAGTGGTTCCCTTTTGCTCATGAAAGACTGAAGACCAGTTCCTTCAGAAGCTGTGTCCCTCTCATCCTCTCTTGACTGGCTGACCAGCTTTTTGAGCCATGGTTTTATTCATGGAGTATCCAGATGTCCTGAAGCCTGCTCTGTGTTGTAATACTGTTTCACATCAGGGCCCCTGCACTGTGAGGGTGAGGCTGCCGACTACGTCTGAGTGCCCAGACACTTGGGCTTTCTCCCTGGCTTCTGTGGAGTCACTCACTTTCCTCCTTTCTCCCCTGCAAAGTGAGACAAAGTCATTGCTGCCAAGAGTTTTTCCTGAGAGCTTAGTTCTCCTTAGAAAATAATGATGAACCTGGTGAACCAGGGAAATAGATTAAGGTATTCCTCAGATGAAGGAAATTGGCTTTTTCAGGTTCCTAGGCCTTCTTGAGAGAGTTGTTTTCCAGTTGTCAAAGGCCATTAGAGTATCTTTTCAGTTCTCTGAGACTTTCCCTTCTGGGAGCACAGCCTTCTCAGAGGTTGTTATTAACCTGTCACTATGCTGGCCCACCACTGAAGCCCACAGCAGGTGGTCTGTACTTACTTGCAGGAGAGAGGAAGCTAAGACACAGATGGGCTGAGAGTGGAATAGGTGATACTGCCTTTCTGTGATCTGTGTTGGGCGGTGGTGCCCAAGGCTTCTCAGTCATGGTTAGGCCCCAGTTAGAACCCCAGTAGCCTGTCTGCTGTCTTCCCATGTGCTCTGTCATACACTTATGAGCGCTGCTTTCCGGCTGGGCTTGTTCCAGGAAGAACGTGATTCCACATGAGTACCGGAAGCACTTCCCCATCGAGATGAAGGACCACAACTCCCACGATGTGCTGCTGCTCTGCACCTCCTGCCATGCCATTTCCAACTACTATGACAACCATCTGAAGCAGCAGCTGGCCAAGGAGTTCCAGGCCCCCATCGGCTCTGAGGAGGGCTTGCGCCTGCTGGAAGATCCTGAGCGCCGGCAGGTGCGTTCTGGGGCCAGGGCCCTGCTCAACGCGGAGAGCCTGCCTACTCAGCGAAAGGAGGAGCTGCTGCAAGCACTCAGAGAGTTTTATAACACAGACGTGGTCACAGAGGAGATGCTTCAAGAGGCTGCCAGCCTGGAGACCAGGTACAAAGCACAGGAATTGTGGAATGTACCAGGGACATTAACCCTCATTACTTAGTGAGAATGCTTGCCAGGGAGGGGGCATTGGCTGCTTAGGCACAGTGCCTAGCCTCATGCTTCACCTAGTAGGTGTCTAGTAGTTTAAGATACCTTGGAAGTGGAATAGAACAATCTACTTGAGGAGTTCCTTTCCATAGGAAACTTGCTTTTGTGAGGTGCCTATCTTTGACCTTTTTAAAGATCATACACTTAATTTCGGTCATTTTTGTGATTAGCGTGCGAGTGCAGTTGTGGTGGAGCTGCATCTTACACATTCTATGCAGACGTAAATCCTCATGCCAGCACATGAGATGAAATAATAGTCCAATAACACCCTCGAAGTTCTGAAGTTCCCCATGAGATACAGTACATTCACCCCTCAGTATCCATGGGGGATTGGTTCCAGGACCTCCCTTGGATACTAAAATCCACCAATGCTTAAGTGCCTGATATACAATGGCATAGTATTTGCATATATCCTGCACACATCCTCCTGTATACTTTAAATAACCTGTAAATTACTTATAATACCTAATACAATGCAAATGCTATGTAAGTAGCTTTTATATTTTATTGTTTATGAAGTAATGAGAAAAAAGTTTGTACATGTTTGGTACAGATAGTACAGATAGTTTTTTTTTTTTTTTTTCCAAATAGTTTTGTGGTTTTTTTGTTTTGTTTTTTTGAGATAGTATATGGCTCTGTCACCCAGGCTGGAGTGCAGTGGCACTATCTTGGCTCACTGTAACTTCCACCTCCCAGGCTCAAGTGATCCTCTCACCTCAGCCTCCCAAGTAGCTGGGACTACAAGCATGCACCACCACACCCAGCTAATCTTTGTATTTTTTGTAGAGATGGGGTTTCACCAGGCTGCCCAGGCTGGTCTCAGATTCCTGACCTCAAGCAATCCACCTGCCTTGGAAGAACTGGGATTACAGGCATGAACCACTGTGCCTGGCCCCAAATCATTTTGATCTGAGGTTTGAATCCACAGATGCAGAACCCACAAAGATGGAGGGCCAATTCTATGTGTGGTTTTGTGTCTCCGACTTTATACAGGTCTGTGAGAACTGTGACTAATGAATTCATGGTTCCTATCTCACCTGCACTCCAGGGTATCGGCTCACTGAATGGAATGTTGAGCAGAATTGCTGTTACTATGTAAATTACTTTTCTCTTTTTTCCTTCCTTGCTTTCTCCCTCCTTCTCCATGAGTACATAGTTGAATTCTTGTGACACAATGCAGTATTCTGAAATGAGAAATGAATGGGCACGTGGCTCAGATGGTAAGAGCTCTGGGCTACCATGCGCAGTTCTGCCTCCCAACTGTCACTTTTTCCAACAGGACCAGGAGTTGAAATAAGGGAACTGATAAGTTCACAAAACCTTGAGCGTGATGCTGGTTTTTGTTAACTGAAAAATAAAAAAGTAACTCCAATTATAAGCAAATATTTAATTTTTTTAGAAAACAAAAATTTTTTTACTCTTATCCATTACTACTGATCCATTACAGATACTGCAAATATTTATTGAACAGTTATTTATAGATATACTATATCTTGCAGCAAACCAGCTAATAAACTTCACATAAATTGCCTTAATTGTTTCTCATGACAACCCGACAAAGTAGGATTTAGATTTCTTACTGGTTAACTGCTACTATATCTTAAATTTAAAAAATCTTTCAGGGTTTTAAAAGAATTATAGAATTTTATCCCCATAACTATTTTGTGAGGTTGTAGAATAGATGTTGTTTTGTAAGTAGCTGGGATTACAAGTGTGTGCCACCACACACGGCTAATTTTTGTATTTTTAGTAGAGGCAGGGTTTCACCTCGTTGGTCAGGCTGGTCTCGAACTCCTGACCTCAAGTGATCCTCCTGCTTTGGCCTCCCAAAGTGCTGGGATTACAGGCATGAGCCACCACGCCCAGCTGCCAATATGTTTTCTAAAGCAGCTAAACCTCCCCTTTCGGCCACAGACTTTTCTAACAAATTCATCTTGCTGAATTGGGTAGATGAATGCTGGACTTGTGACTGAGAAGAACAGTTGTTTGGAGACAGGCAAGTTAGTGGGAAGCGCATGAGCTAAATATTAATAATAAAGTGTCTGCAGATACCCAGAGACGCCAACACTGCTGGGGTGGCGGGTGTCTTGGGAGGGAGGATTGAACATGGGGTATGGATGTAGGGAGAGGAGAGTGTGTGTGGGCAGGGTGCTTCCTTGAGGAAGGTCATCTTTATTCACAGGAGGTGAAAGCACCATTCACACAGCATCGGAGCAGTTTTTTAAGGACTCTGCTTAGTTAGGAAGGAGGGAGGCATTCATCTTCTCATTTAATGGCACCATTTGCACAACTGAGCAACCATGGAAGCATTTCACTGTGACCGAAACACTTCTCACCACTGTGGCTTGGCATCTTTTTGTGAGAAAAAAGGCTCTAAAGAAATATGCTACCTTGCATTTGACATTCAGTTATTAAATTGTGTTGTGAAAAAGTGTAACATGCGGGCCGATTTAACAGCCTCATATAAATACTGTGTCCCAGAATGAACAACTTAAAAGAGGGGTGAACTGGTCACTGGGTAATCCTGGAAGAAATGGAAGACCAGCATTCTTCATCCATTATCAGCTGGATGGTAGTGCCCCTCTCGTGGGAGCTGAACATTATGAAGTGGCCTTCCTGTCAGTAGAGCTCAGAACCCTCAAATACCTTCTGTTGGGATTGCGAGTCGTATGTTCAGACTATAAAAAGGGCAGAGATAAGAAAGAGGATGTTTCGAAAACACCAAAGTAACTAACCCTTTAGGAGTCCTTCAACCTCCCCAGTTACCCTTGGCGCGCAGCATTTGAAGCTGTCTGTGAGGCCATCCTGCGCTTGTTTCCCTCAGACACTTTGTTTTTCATGTTTTGGCAGAATCTCCAATGAAAACTATGTTCCTCACGGGCTGAAGGTGGTGCAGTGTCACAGCCAGGGTGGCCTGCGCTCCCTCATGCAGCTGGAGAGCCGCTGGCGTCAGCACTTCCTGGACTCCATGCAGCCCAAGCACCTGCCCCAGCAGTGGTCAGTGGACCACAACCATCAGAAGCTGCTCCGGAAATTCGGGGAAGATCTTCCCATCCAGCTGTCTTGATAGCTGCTTTCCTCCCAGTTAGGACAAGTGGGAAGCTGGAGCCAAGGTTGAAGAGTCACCTCTTCCCATTTTAGTACATCATTAATTGTCAAAGCCTGTGTGACACAACTCAGAATACTAACCTAGACTAATCCCAGGATGCTTCTGCTGGAGCAAAGATATTGTTTGAAGGAGAGTTTATGGTTTTGGATTTTAAACGGGCAGGGTCTTTTTTCCTCTCATTTTTGTGGACAAGAGAGGCCTTCGCCTTTATTTTTACTCTCCCTCTTCTGCTGTCCCTGTGCAGAGGAAAAATGAAGAATTCTCCCAGAAGTGACTTGTCAAGACTTAAAAAAAATGTTTTTAATGCATTTCTTCCTTGTCTAGTGCCTCGGTTTATCTCTAACAGGGGCTGTCCAGTATATCGGTCCTGTTAGGAGGGGAGAAAAAGTTCTTCCAAAGGCTGGAGAAGTGAACAAGGAGTCAAATTTATTTTCCCAATTCAACTTCATAATTATCATTTCTTTGGCTTCATGCTCTCCCGTAACTCATGTGGTTGGGATCCATCCCATCTGGGTCACTTCAGTCTACTTCACGTACTTGAAAAGGCTTTCCTTTACACTTCCAGGACCAAACAGCAACTTCCTGCCACACACTTCCACCCTATCACTGGGAGAAATCCTTTTCTGGACATGAGCCTTTGACCTGGGTGGGGCAGAAAGAACCACAAACTCCATCTCCCAATAGAACTTTGAAATTCACTCAGCTTTTCCTTTCATGCTGTTTGTTGCCTGCTTGTTGCACTCCTCCTGCCCCAGAACTGCAAGATTTTTAGCTTCACCCCTTTCTGAGAGTAATGTTATCTTTTATCAGAATCAGTATCAGTTCCCCTGTATTCTGTGCTTCATCGAATTTGCAAGACTGACCTCTTTTAAGCATTTAATTCACTCCCAGAGTCATCTGGTCAGGTTGCAATATGAGGACTTCTCTGTCTCCTCTGAAGCCTGGGACACTGAGCTTACTTAATACATTAGATGTTCAAAAGAGGAGCGTTGTTTCATCTTTCAAAATGTTAGGCCATTACTTTGAGTATAAAATCGACTTATTAATGATTAGTAATTTTTCTAAAGTATTGGGAAAACTTTCTTATTTTATAAGATCTTAACAAGCTTAAAAAAGAATTTTATGACCAGAATCCAACAAGAGCTCTATTTTGGAATTGTGCCCAAGTTGGTGATGTTTACTCTAAAATTAATAATAAAACTACTTGTAAGCACAAGGCTCACTGGATGTAAATGTAAAACTTCGCGACTTTATAAAACTGGCATTCCTAGGGGAGGGGCTATTTATCCTACAGGTCCCTGCCTCCTGGCAGTGCCATGGTATGTGTGCATGGATATACCAGACACAGTCACCATCGGCCATCAGTAGCAGCCCATGAACCCACGTGCACATCCTGCATCTTGCTCTTCTGACCCTTCATTCCCACTTGTCTTCAGGCAGGCATTTCTGGGATCTAAACTAGAAATCCTTGAAAACAAATAGTACCAGCCACTTTGAGGAATGTGCATTCACTGTAGTGGGTTATTATGGGGTCTCTGCCTCCTGGCTGTGTTATGCGGAGCCCAGGAGTGGAGGAGAGCCGTGGAAATAGACAGGGAGAGGCTGGTACTTGGGTTGTGGTAATAGTCAGGCTTGCCACAAGAGGGCACTCATAGATTTGTTTTTATATTCATTCTTGAGAAAAAAGCAACTGGTTACTGAACGTAACTCATGACTTATGTTTCAAATTTTGCATAGCTGATTTTAAGTCATTTTGATAGCTTTGCAAGAAAAATTTTTCCTTTGAAACAAGGGAGTAGGGCTGTTTCATTTTCTTTCCTTCTAATCCTCATGCCAAGAGGTGAGAAACACTTAAGGTCATTTAAGGTGCTAGGGAAAGGGTTTTCCCATGGAGCTTTCTGTGAGGCGCAGTAAAATAGAGCCAGCAGCAAAGTAGAGGAAAAAGCCAGACTGCGTCACACAAGATTTCTCATCCTTTTCAGGAGAGAGTCACTGTGTAGATTTGAATCTTTTTTCTTTGAGTCTGCTTTGAACTTTAGCAGGCTTTTCCTAAGACTGACAATTGTCGTCTTAAATCAGAGATTTGAGGGTAGACTTATTTTATGGCAAATGTCTATTTTTCTGATATAAAAGTAACAATGCTCATTACAGAAGAATCTAAACAAAGAATAAAAATTAGCCATCTTCTCTCCATCTAAAACAGAGCTAAACTTTGCTGATATGTTTATGAATTTCCTTTCAGTATTAAAAAGTGCATATAAGGTGTATATTTACACAAAATTGAAGGTCATACATAGATACAGGTTGGTATCCTAACTTTACCCTCTCACTGATTAACATGGTATCACGAGTAACTTCCTATGTTTTTAAATCTTTGAAAATAGATTTCTAGTGGTTCTACCTTATCCATCCCCACACTGTTGAAAATTTTGGTTGTTTCAGATACTTTTATTATCAATGATGATGTGATAAAGTTTCTTGTATATATCTCTTTGGCTCTATCTTTGGTAATTTCTTAAGAATGGAATCTTAGAATTGGACTGTGAAGAGGGGGATTCACATTGCTGGGGCTAAGTACAAATTGACATCACCTTTTAGGAATGAAATGCTTCTCTTTGACCCTTTAGCTCCAGTGTCCCAGCATAGTCACTGGGCTTCATAGGAGTAGCAGTGAGAGGACAGTGTCACAGCAAGGGCCTCTCTGCATGCTCCCTGATCATTGTGTTTGCAGGTTCAGCATTTCTTCTTGAGTCCTTCCCTTCTTCCAACCTTATTGCCTCATTTCCCCCTTGTAGTCAATGTTTTTTGGAAACACTGTTTATTTTAAAATAAAAATGTAAAAAAAAGGTAAAAAAATAAAATTTTAAATTTTAAAATATAGGCTGTAGGCAGATGTTTTTTCCCTGCTACACAAACAATTAGTGATTTGCCATCCCAAAGTGAATGAGGCACAATATTCAGGGATTTGTTACGGCTTACGCTTAAGAGCACAGCCATAAGTTACTTATTCTTATCCATGTCACGGATAGAGATCAGATGACAAAATGTGTTCTGTTGAAATAAAGCCATTTTAATCATGCATTTTAGACTCTTAAGAATCCAGCAGGCAGAAAGAGGTTTTGTTCACCTTCCTATTCGCCTATTAGTTTGGGGCCCTAACATTTGACTGTAAGTTAAGTTCTTAGTTTACCCTGCCTCTCAATTTTTCATTCATTTATTTATCCTTTCTTCCTTTTTTTCCCCTTCCTTATGTCTCAGCCTTATAAGAAGTATCATTTTTTCTTTTAAAGGAGATATTTTCTCAGTTTGCTAGTTTACTAATTATTATGTATTTTAAATGGATCTTTCTTTCTGGTCTTTTATGTTTCCTATTATAAGATGGTTATTTTTTGAGAGTACCTAATCCCCTTAGGGATACACTGAGAATCAGTTTCTGTTGGAAGAGATAAACTAAAAGAGGGTATAAGAATGATTCTTGTTTTGATTAACTGTTGATTGATATGAATAACATAAAAATAATACATAATCTCCCCAGTACTTTTTTTTTTTTTTTTTTTTTGACATGGTCTCACTCCAGACTGGAGTGCAGTGGTGCAGTCATGGCTCACTGCTGCTTCAACCTCCAGGGCTCAGGCAATCCTCCCATCTCAGCTTCCCAAGTAGCTGGGACTACAGCCTTGTGGCACCATGCCTGGCTAATTTTTTAATTTTTTTGTAGAGATAGAGTCATGCTTTGTTGCACAAGCTGGTCTCAAACTCCTGGCCTCAAGCCGTCCTCTCACCTTAGCTCCCAAAGTACTGGGATTACAGGTATGAGCCACTGTGCTCAGTCCCCCAAATACTTTTGTTTTGGAATTCAGGTATAATTTTCAGGCATTCACCAAGATACCCCTTGTGCAAGAGCCCAGCACCTTCTGCCTGTCCCAGTCCTGGAGTAGTTTTGCATCAGGCAATGGAGTAGGGATGACGTGCAGCCACACAGCCCATGTGTTCAAAAGTACCGATTCCACCAGCCTGCTAGGAGACGTATTAGTCACTCCCTTTGCTTGAGGAAGCAAGGCCTTGCTTAAATGCTAGCATGTTATTTAGAAAGGTGGGAAGTACATTAGACCATTTTTTTTTTAACCAGCTTTATCTGTGGCCAACTCTGGTTGAAGGCCCCTAGAAACTGGGTAACTGGACCAAATGGTTAATCATTTGAGAGATAATCAAGAACTGCCTTTGCAGAGGAACAGAGTTGTCAAAGGACCTAGTTCATGCATCCTGGGTTGTACCCCCTTCTGATGTGGTGCAGGCTGCCTCAAAGGTCATTTTGTGTTGTGACTGAATGGAGATAATGTCATACCCTCCAGACTGAACTCAAAGCATTTGCTTTTTGCTATTTGTTATTCTTGAATTTTTCTCTCTTGCTGGATGGGTAGCCTGTTGCCTTTCTCCCAGCATAAGCTTCAAAAGCTGCCGAGTTTACAGGCAGCATTATTATAAGCATGATGTTTGGGTTCAGAAAATTCCTGAGTTGAAATGGCTACTTAGAATCTGCTTCTGCTGCTGCTGCTTTTTTTTTTGTTTTTTTTTTTTTTTTGAGACAGAGTTTTGCTCATGTCATCCAGGCTGGAGTGCAGTGATGCAATCTTGGCTCCCTGCAAACTCTGCCTCCTGGATTTAAGCGAGTCTCCTGCTTCAGCCTCCCAAGTAGCTGGGGTTACAGGCGTGCACCACCGCACCTGGCTAATTCTTGTATTTTTAGTAGAGACGTGGTTTCACCATGTTGGTCAGGCTGGTCTCGAACTCCTGACCTTAGGTGATCCGCCCGCCTCAGCCTCCCAAAGTGCTGGGATTACAGGCGTGAGCCATCGCACCCGGCCCCTACTTCTGCTTCCTAAAGATCTCCCTTCTCAGGCTGCAGCACGCCAGGGCGGAGTTGAGATTCTGGCCACTCAGGCCACCAGGGTATCTATTAAGTCCTGGGTAAGAAACAGAATTTTGAGCTTAGTCAGCTACAGGGGGCTGAAAAGGAATGAGACTGAAACATGGATAATTTTAAAGGAGGTATGTTTGTTTAGTGGGGATGGGGTAGGCTGGGGGCTTGTTCATGAACTGAACTTTAAATTTTGCTCTTTCCTATACCTAGTTCTGTCATGTATTGGAGGATCAAAAAAAAGTGTGCTGGTGACTGAGGTTCTGGTTCCAGCCACCAGCTGTGTGCCTTTGGACAGATCACTTTTCTGGGCTCCTTTCTGTATCTATAGAGGTTTGAATTAGATGTGCTGTAAGGGCCCTCCTAGCTGTAGCATTCTGTAATCCACCCCACTGTTTCCTTATGTGGCCCTTTCCCTTGAGTACTGTGTACTTTCTGCTTTGTTGCACACTCTCGTCCCACCCCCAGCGCTGGGAATGGAGACTGCATGGAAAGAAGGGTAATGAGGGAAGCAGGATGCCACACCATGGCCTCATTGACTAGGGAGAAGCCTGCTCTCTCCATCTGGTGTCAGAATACCTGTCTCACCAGAGATGTCTGTGTGTGGGGAGCTCACATTTCCCTATCGCCCAGTCCACTGAATAATCAGAAAGAGAGAAGGGAAATCTGTATGTTTAACCACATTGCCAGTGCTCTAGGATTTAATAGGAGATAAGTGTAAAAGGGAAATGAGGCAAGTGTGCCAGGTGTTGTAGATGGGAGGATATTGAGTGGGGAAAGACTGTTTCTCATTTTAAGGATAAAGAAATTAAGATTTTATATATATATACACACACACACGTATATATACATATATACGTATATATGTGTGTATATATACATATGTATATATACACACATATATGTATGTATATATGTATGTAATGGAGAATTGAATTGGGTACTTTGAAAAAAAAACCTTAAACCAATAAGTAAAAATACTCTTTCTGTGTTTTGTGTGTGGGGTTGTAACAGCCCAAGAATATTGGAGGCGTCCACACTGTTAACGTGTTCTTACCCATCCATGAGTGCTAAGACATGAAGAACTCACAGGGAGACAGGGAAGCATCTCCGGAGCCTGTTTTGTATAACCCTGACATGCCTTGGACTTTGTCCTGCTTGCCTTTGCCTTTGCCTGGGCATCAGCTAGACAGACATGTGCAAAATGTAAAGTTTGCATTTTATAAGCTGCTGAAGACATTTCTTTCTATATCTCCATCCCCTATGACCTGACAGAAAATACAATTTCTAGTCCATCCTTGTGCTTAGTTTCAGTCCCAAAGTGGATTGGCTTTTCATTGTGTAACACAGATTTGTATCAAATGTGTTCATCTTGGAGCTCTTTCCACAATAATCACCTAGATCTAGACATGAGCCCCTGCT
Organism: Homo sapiens; assembly: GCF_000001405.40. Classification (NCBI taxonomy): domain Eukaryota; kingdom Metazoa; phylum Chordata; class Mammalia; order Primates; family Hominidae; genus Homo; species Homo sapiens. Next base: position 69,247,483 of record NC_000014.9, read on the forward strand.
TTTACCAAATTGGGGTCCTTTTGTTGTTTGTTTCAGAAAAAGTAGGCAGCTAGCCAAACAGGAAGCTCAACTACATTTCTCTGCCCTCTCCTCGATGGACCCTAACTTTATCTAAAATTCTGAAATTTCTCCTTATATCCCATGGAATCAACTAAAGCCCTGTTGGCTGGCTTCGTTTCTTTTTAATCACGATATGTATGTTTGGCCCTGGAGGTTTGGTAAGCCTGAGCTGTTGCACATATGGCTGCCTCTGAGTTCTTGGACACAATGAGCAGGACTAAAGTTGGCTACAAAAAGGAACAGAAGATGACTTAGGTTAGTTTTTCTTTTTTAAATGTTATACAAGTGCAGAGCACTTGGCTGCCATCCCCCTCTCAGACCATCAACAGAACTTGACCTTGGCCAAGATTTTGCCTCATCCTCTCGGCATTTCAGCATAGAGTTGCGTTTCAGCCATGGAATGCTTAACCAAAAGCACATGCTGTAGTGGTGGTTTCCAAAGAGTAAGTTTTTGCAAAAAGTCCACATAATGTTTCCTCATAACAGCAGCTTTCTCTGAACCACCAACCCAACAAACCTCTAAGTGGTGATTTTTTGGCTTATTTGTCCACAAGGACTGTGATTTTTTGTTTTGTTTTTAGCAATACTTTATTAAAGTGCAGTATAAGTAACATATGATAAAGTGCACACATCTAAGAATACAACTCAATGAATTTTGACAAATGCATATATCCATATAACCACCAGGGGCTGGTGTTTTTAATATTTTGTGAAGCACCTATTCTAATGATGTACGTTTTGGGATTGGAAGGTTGTGCATTCTTCTAGCTGAGAAAATTACTATAAAACAGTAAATCCAGATCAAAATGTGATGAAGATCCACCTGCCACAGAGAAAGTATTAATAGAATATAAGGCTAGGGTGTAGGAGAAGTGGCCCAGGAAAGCCATCCATGCAAATTTTGTTTCCTTCCTACTTGAGAGGGTTGGGGATGAGAGGTCCGTCCTTCCCTGGCTCATAAGCCCATGAGTTGTGTAAAACACTGTTCAGTAAGGCAGAATATAAGTCCTCTTATATATTGAGTCCAGACAGTTTTCCCTTTTGTCACATCTAGTGGATTTGGTTATTGCAAAGCTTCATGTTTGTTTTTAGTAAGTTAATTTTTAAAAATAGGTAAAATGTGCACATAGTATAAAATTTTTAAAAAACATATAATGAAAATCGCTCCAGTCTTTCTGCCCTCCTTGAAGGCAACCAGTGTTACTATTAATTTGCATCCCTCAGAGAGATTGTATGTGTGTGTGGTTTTGTTTTGTGTTTTAATTCCCAGGTTTCTTATTTGGTCGCGAACCAATAATATTCTCCACCCCTTTGTTTCACACTTTAGGCTCTAGTTTAGGGCATTTATGCAGAAACGTTTTGGATACTGCAGCCTGAGTAGGACTACTTCTTTTTGTTCTGTACCACGAAGTTCATCCTCTATATCTGTCAGCTGGTTCAAAAGTTCATGTTTCTCACAGGATTGGCCATGGGTTGAGAATCACTGAAGCTGTGTGTTTATCATAGTGGGCCCCCTCTCTCTCTATATATATATATATATATATTTGAAATTTTCCATTAAAAATGTTCTTTAAAAACTCAGTCTTTTGTTTGTTTTAAAGTAATGCTTAGTTGCAACCTAAAAGCAAACCATAGATTAATCTCTAGACAGAACCCCCTGCCCCACCATCCAAGTCAGACATTCAGAGTTCCCAATTTGCAAATTGTGACCTAGGATGGTTATTCACCTTTACAAGCCATCCTTCTGTTTAAACATAGGATTGACTTCAAATTTATTTTGAAAAGCCAGCTTCTCTGGCAGGTAAAATTTGATTTATACACTAATTCTTTCAAGAATATGAATATCATGCACAACAGAGGGCTTATATTCTGCCTTCTTGAACAGTGTTTTACACAACTCATGGGCTTATGAGCCAGGGAAGGAAGGACCTCTCATCCCCAACCCTCTCAAGTAGGAAGGAAACAAAATTTGCATAGATGGCTTTCCTGGGCCACTTCTCATAGACCCTAGCCTCATATTTTATTAATACTTTCTCTGTGGCAGGTGGATAAGGAGTCAGGTCTTCTCCAAATTAGAACTTCCCAAAGATACACAGTCCAGAGAAAGGAGCGAGGCTGTTGGTGTTTTCCAATTCAAGTCCCGTATGGTTTCCCTAGGGCCATTTTACCCTTGATGCCCTTTCATGCTCGCTCCTTTGTCTTGCCATAGTCTAAACACCCAAGGCCTCTCAGTCATCATTAAGAATATTCCCACTGGTCAGGGAGTGCCCTTTGAGCGTGCCCTTAAGAGCAGCTGTCAGATTTGAGCAGCATCTGCTTTCTGACAAGCTTGAAAACAGGATGAAGGAAGCCATTGAGTATTTCCCAGTGGAAATGGTACCACAAGCTGCCTTTGGGACTGTGTTCAATATGCGAGGAGTTTAGTGGCCTGGCAGCTTAGGTGGGGGTGGGGGATGTAAGTGTGGGTCATTCAGGATGGAGCAGGGATCTTCCCCATCCTGAATGGTCTCAGCCATGTCATCCATGCAGGGTCCTGATGCTGGAATCCTTCCCTCTCCCTCAGCCTTCGGCTCCAGCCTTTTCTGGGCAGGGAAACAGAATGAGGCAAAATGCCTGGTGTGTTTTAAATAGATTCTTCTTGTGGCAGCCAATGAGTCCAACAGCTTGGAAGGTGAGTGACCCTTCCCGAGAGACTTATGTTGTGCCATTTCTCTTGTCCCTAGCCCCTGGAATACTGACCACCTCGACCCCTCCTGCTGTCCTCCCCTTCGACCTAAACTCCAGTGATGTTAGCCATCCTCCTGCTGCTCCCTAGATGGACTGTCTTCAGGCTTTTCTGGTTTTAGTATTTATTACACTTCCCACTTGGCTTTTTCTGTCCCCAAAGCTGATTTTCCTCGTGCTATTTGTCCACTCCACCCAGTGCACATCCCCATCTGCTGCTGCTTGTCTGACTGTCATGGCTTCCCGATGATCTTCTTGCCTCCACCTTCCCGTGGCCTGCTTGGGGACAGCCCAGCCCCACCTGGGCCTGTGTGCAGCTGGGGAGGCAGGAGAGGCTGCTCATTGCAGTGGCAAACACTGGGGCCTGCAATGTGAGGTCAGCAGTCAGTGCTCCAGCACAGCCAGGACACCCCAGATTGAGCATGGGCAGCGTGCAGAGCCATTTTCAAAAGAGTATCTTTTAGCAAAGAGAGTTAGGACTTCAGAAGACCAATGTGGCCTCTTCCCACCCTATCCACGGAGACCACTTACAAGACCTAAGCATCATGATCTCTGGATTCCCAGTAAGGGGTCATACAAAGGAAGGACATGAATATTTTTTACTTGCTAAGGGGAGATTGGCTGTGTTGATTCTGGAAAGATGTAGGGTATGGGGTATGTGAATGGACGGTAGAGGCTCCTACCTCGAACAATCTCGGTTGTGGGGCAAGTGAGAGCTCCAGACTAGGAAGCAGACCTCAGTGATGATGGCTATTCTTGGCAGTGTGGCAGTGCCATAAGTCGGTGAAACAGGTAATGGGGGGGATCAGAAATCTGAGGAGGGGCATAGAGAACATAGGACACACAAGTGATGGGCCAGCACCCATTAAAGGTTAGAATCAAAAGAGGAAGGTCAGGTGGAGGCTGGATGTCATGAGGGAAAGTTGATGAGGAGCAGGCACTGGGGAGACCAGGGCAGTGGGACCCTGCCAGAGACCCTGCAGCTCAGCTCTGCCACATGGAGGCAAGCAGTTTGGGGATAAGGCCAGGAACAAAGGGATCTGTGAGGACCCTGTCTCCTACTCATCTCTTGCCCTTTTATTATTTTTTATGAGCCTGTCCTCATGTTATATTAGTAGTAGAAAACAAACAAAGGCAGTCTGCATTTGAAAGGGGATGGCACAGCCTGGAGAATTTAAGGCTGGATGTACTTCCCCTTTTGCTGAATTCTTAGGCCTCTTTGCCCATCTGCTGCTGGAGCTATGGGGCCAGTCCCTTACTGGAGCACTCTGAATGGAATCCCTACACAGCTCGACAGCTCAGATGAGTGCCGGCGGCAGGGGTAGCCAGCAGCGGGTGTGCACCCACAGAACCCCTCCAGGCCCATGGGGCAGCCGGGGGAGCAAGGCTGTTGGCCAGCCTGGCTAGAGAGGGACCCTTAGGGAGGGTCTGGTCTGAAGGCAGCTTCCAGCGTGTGACTCCAGCTCAGTCACTGGGCTCCTCTTCCCCTAGGCACTGAGCTGCAGAGAGGCCTGAGGTAGAAGAAAGAGGAAGGAAAACTTTTTTCTTGCTGGAAAAGAATTTTAGGTAAAGAGGTAAAAAAAATTGAAAAGGCACAAAGGGTATACAATGAAGGTCTCTCTCCTACTCATGCTCCCCTCAAACTCCCCTCCTCAGAGGCATCCCCAGATGTACCAATTTCTTGTACATTCTTCCAATTTCTCCTTTTTTAGTCTGCTGTAATCCAGAAGTTTCCAGATTCTTGAACAAATGGACTATTTTCAGTTGTTGGGATGTGTGTGTGTGTGTGTGTGTGTGTGTGTGTATGTCTGTGTGTGTGTAAGATGTAGAGGGGGGGATCAAATGATAATAAAGAAAATTGTATCCTAGTTGATTGCCCATCATTCTTGCTGAGGCAGGGAATGGTTTAAAACATTAAAACAAGTAAATAGAATTCTAAAATGCTAGCACTTGAAAGGACCTTCCAAGTACTTTTTTCTTTCTTCTTTTCTTTTTTCTTTTCTCTTCTTTTCTTTTTCTTCCTTCCTTTTTTTCCCAAAGCCCTCCCCATAAACATGAGGAAGAGGCCCAGATAAGTGACTTTTCCAGGGTCACCATGCTAGCTGACAGCATATCAGCTACTGAAGTGGAAATTAAAGCAGTGTTCCTGGAATTGGTATGTATCTTGAAGCTGTCAGTATGGCTGAAGATATCCATCGATATATTCTGAAGTGTCATTTCTAAAACCCAGGTTTCCCATCTCCCAGTTGTCCCAGTTGCCCAAGAAAATACTGCGTGCTCCATCTTTAGGTAGTGGTCTTTGTAAAGATAAGTGATTCAGAGGTGGAAGGAAAGACAAGTGATCAGACATGGATTTAGAAATTTTCTCCGGTGGACACAAATAGGAGGAAAGAAATTAGTAATTCCAGGAAAAGCCTGAAGTCAAATTCCAATTGAAAACAGAGCCTGTGCACACATGCACCCGCCCACCCACCCATACACAAGTACTGGCAGAAGACAGAAGATGGCTGCCGGCAAAGTCTATTGTCTGTCTGTCCTGCTGGGCTCCGGGCTGAGATTCAGGGTCCAGGCAGAGGCTGTGAGAGGCAGCATAGCGCCATCCCTCTGCCAAAAAACTTGCAGCCCTCTGGCTTACTGTCACTGGGCAGGTATTTTCTTGTTGGGCAAAAGGGATAAATGTCAACTTAGACTGGACAACTAAGAAGACAAGCTGTGCGTGGGGAGGATGTGCCTGGCCATGCCACCATGGAGCTCTGCCACCACTGGCTCCATGAGCACTGATAGACAGCCCCAGCTGTTTCCTACCACCTACCAGGAGGAAACTCCATAAAATTTACACGCTGATAAAATGGCAGGATGATATTTTAAAATCCTCCCTGTTTTGGCATCAGCTCCAGACACTGTGAGCAATTTCAGTGTCCAAGCCAGACTGATGGGCCTTTTGATGGCTTCAGAGGGTGGCTTCAGTGAGAAGGGGACATGTAGGACTGTAAACATTGGCTGTAAAAGCCTTCAATTGCTTTGAAATGGTAAATTTCCAGGCAATGTAGATCTGATGTTATATGCCTCCTGCATTAACAGCTTTTTCTTCCCGTTCAATTATTTTGACTGGTAAGGGAGTAGAAATTACACTTCAAAATATATCGATGGATATTTTCAGCCTTGCTGAGAGCTTCAAAATATGTACCAATCCTGGGAACATTGCTTTAATTTCTACTTCCCAGTTTCACAAGGAAAATGGAGATATCAATTATAAGCACCATTAAACTGAAGGAAATGCAGGACCAGGACTATGGATCTCTCTTCAAATTCTCTTTGGTCTTGTCACCTGACCTTTTTGATATGGAGACAAATTTTATTCAAACCCTAGGTCAAGGGGTCCATCCTGGGTTTCCCGATAAAGCAATGAGTATTCCTAAGAGACTGGGTCCAGGGACTTGAATTAAGGCATCTGACAGAGGCAGAAAAAAATGCCAGTTTTCTGTCTCTCCATCTTCACACGAGGCATCCAGAAGCCCTCATCTCTGACAACATGGCCTTTCTGCCATGCCTAGGTGCTGGGTACATAGGCAGCCACCCAGCAACATGTTCACCCCAGTTGTGTTTCTGGCTTTCTCATCTCTACCTGACTGGCGACGTCCACTCTCCCTGAGCTCCATATCTGGATTTATAGATGCCTTCCTGGACCGACCACAGACAACTCAAGTTCACTGAACACACCTCCCAAATTGGCTCCTCCTCCTATATTCCCCATTTCAGTTAATGGTTACATTACACCAAAGCACTAGTCTCCTAATCAAGAAACTTAACACGCTATTCTCAAATCCTTTCTCTCACATCCACCTCAAACTGACCACCAAATCCTACCCTCTTTCTCTCCTGCTTCAGTGTTACTGCTCTAATCTGTGCTTCTGTGGAGCTCTATTATATCATCTTGTGATTTTTTTTTCCTCTGAGGCAGGGTCTTGCTCTGTCACCCAGGCTGGAGTGCAGTGGCATGATCATAGCTCACTGCAACCTCAAACTCCTAGGCTCAAGCTATTCTCCCCACTAACCCTCATGAATAGCTAAGACTACAGGCATGCACCACCATGCCCAGATAATTTTTAAATTTTTAATGGAGATGAGGGCTCACTATGTCTCCCAGGCTGGTCTCGAACTCCTGCTCTCAAGCAGTCCTCCTGCCTTGGCCTCCCAAAGTGCTAGGATTACAGGCATGAGCCACCACACCCGGACTCATCTTGTGATTATCTATGTGTATTTCCCCATTGTCAATTACTGGACTCTTCAGAGGCTACAACCAGATTCTATTAATTTTTGTATCCCCAGTACCTAGAAGTGCCTGGCATGGTAGGTGTTCAAGAAGGAAAGGAAAGGAAGGGACTGGAAATTCCACGCCAATGGGCAATCAAGCACTGGCTTTACAGTCTGAGTGGGCTATTTGGCATTTTCATGGGACAGAATGGGGAGTAGCAGCAGCTGCCACCCTCAATATTCATTCATTCATTTACTCTGCCTAGATATTTAGCGAGTGCTGCCAAGATGCCCAACACTGTGCTAGAAACTCATGATACATAAAAGGAGGCTGCCAGTCTCTGCTTAGAGGAGCTCCCATTCAAGGGAAAGACAGGCATGTGGTAGGCACTAACCTGGCATCTTGGGCCATGTAGTCTGATCTGAGGACCTTGGCCACCCAGCTCTGCAGAGGCTACGGAGAAGGGGAAGTGACTCAGGAGAAGGTAGTGGAGACGGGAAGGTCAGAGAGGCCTTGGAAAGGGCTCTGCCTCTGGGATCAACTCTGCTGAGGAGTGGTTTTATTTATGTATTTCTCCTTTGTACAAATTCCTTGCTTGTTAATGAAAATCATTTGACACATTTCTAATTAGCCTGCAGCCTCTGCAATCCTATTATTCCCAAATGCAACACCTGGGTTATTTCATGATCCCTGGTAACATTTATGGTTCTTGCAGTTGTCCACCAGAATTGGGGTCATTCCTTCTGCTACTTCTCATGGGACCACAAAGGACTTTCTCTCCCCCCTCATCCTGGGGCAGGAAGGTTTGGCCCTGGCTCCATGACTTGGGGAGGAAGCACTGGCAGGGGACTCCCTACACTGGCCCGCCCTGACCCTAAACGAATCACCCCCTTTGTCTGTGCTCTAGTCCTGTACTCATTTCTCAAGTGCTTGGCTTAAGAGAGAAGTGCATTTTTTCATAGAGCTACACTGCCTTTTCTCCTCCTTCCCTCTTCCTCTCCCTTCCTTCCATCAACAAATAACTATGCGATCGCATTCCAAGGGCTTCAGACAAACAAACAAACAAAAAAACAAATACTACACACTAACAAGCATGTACTATTTGCCACTACTATAGGCACCGGGGAAACAGTGGTAAGGAAAATATACAAGAACCCCAGTCCTCTTGGAATTTTTACTCCAGTGGCAGAAACTAATAAGTAAGAAACCAGGGTTATCAGACAAGTAGGAGGAGGAGGATTGACAATAAGAAAACTGCCAAGTTCCTTTCAAAGAGCTAAGTCCTTTCCTCCATCTATAATGGTTTATAGAAACTACCTTATAAATATCTTTTCCTTAGAGACGATTGGTGCATTGAGTGCGCTCAGCTGGCAGTGGGCAGCGCATGCTCCACTTTATGCTGGCACCTCCGTGGGCATCAGTCTCCTCCCCTGTGGAAGGGGGATGATTGCGCCTTCCTCACAGGGTCGTTATGAGTATTCTGAGATCGTGTATCAGCACATTGCCTGTTGCTTGGTAACATACATTCTGTCCACCATCCCTGCCTTCTTTCCTGCTTAGAGCAGACATGGGCCAGTAAGGGTATCCAATCAGGTCCCTTCCCTACCTTCTGGGCCCTGCTGCTGTGGACAGAGCAAGAGCTTCTGAGCTGGCCCAGCACCTCAAATGGGAGGCTGGGGCCCTGCTCTGTGCCTCTCCCCTGCCTTGCCTCCAGCCTGCTCAGCAGAGGCTCTGGAAGATGCAGCCACCCACCCACGGGCAGGACAGTCTATGACTGCTGGACATTAGCCATGGCCAAAGAGGCTGGCATCAGGTCTGTTCTTGGCAGCAATAGTGAGCAGTCCCTTTCAGGAGGCCCCTTTCACCTCCAGCAGCCAGCAACAGCCTGCAGGAGAGAGCCCCTGGGGGGTGCTTATGAGGCACTGGATTTTACATGACTTTATTTCATCCTATCTTTCCCAACAAAGTTGTGAGGTAAGAGCTGTCAGTGCCCCATTTTGCAGTTGAGGAAACTGAGGTTAAGAATTTGCCCAAACCACTCTCTTAATTTGTGACAGGATCAGCATTCAAGTTCAGGTTGTCCAATTCCAGAGCCAGGGCCTTACACTGAGCTGTACCCTTTCCCCCTCGGTTATCCACTCCTCCACAACCCCCACACCAAAGGCCCAGAGGCAGAGAGCTCCCTGGGGCATCTGGGAGCCCCAGGGGCATGTGGAACTTTGCCCAGCTTACCCTGAGTGCTGGCTTTGACAGCTTTAAAACAATATGAACTGTGCCTAAGAGAAATCCTGAAAAGGAGGAAATGCAAGTTCAAAGTGGCACAGTTGGTGAGACCCCCCCACCCCAGGACATCTTATATCCCTCCTTTTATGGATGAGAAAACGGAGAACTGTGGGCAGGGAAAGTGAGACTCCTGCATACAGAAATTCAGACCACACTGCAGATTTCCCAGTGGCCTCAGAAGCCCTGTACTCGTACCCAGACACAAGCGTTGAAAATGGCACAGGACTTAAACCGAGCTTCACCACTTACTTGCTGTAGGATTCCAGGCAAGTTGAGTAGCCGTTGAGCTTCAGTGTCATCATCTGCAGTTGGGGATATGATCATCCTTAGCTCAGGGTTGTAGGGGCTTTAGAGACAGTATAGGTGACAGTACCTGGTAGGTACTGAGTAAACTGCAGCTATTATGATGACTCTTGTTTTCACAGTTCAAAGTATGTGAAGAAACAGTGAATTCCTTAGGTGTTGCTTTGATTCTGTGATGCTGCTGGAGTCCATTCCTAGTACCAGAGAGGAAACAACACTCATTGTCATTTCTGAGCATTGAAACCTATCCCAGGGAGGGCCAGTTCTGCACCCACTTGGGATTACAATCTGAAACGAAGACCACAGACTGTAGCCAAGGTGGCAATTCCTGGTCTTTAGCTCTGCCAGAGTGCCTATGGCTTCAGGCACATTACTCCACCTCTGTCTATGTGGAATTCCTGTCAGTCAAATGAGCATGGCAATTACTTGCTGTCTTACCCCCACCCCACCCCCATCATCCCCCAGGGAAGTGCCCAACTAAGGAACAACTGTGGTGAAGTCATCTAGAGAGGCTACGCTTCACTTCTGTGCAGTCTTTCTGGTGGTGGGGGCCAAGCAAACCTTCTCTCAGGGACAGAACTACCAGGAGTGACCATTTGGGGCAGATATATAGCATCCTCACCACTGAGCCCTGGGCAGTAAGTGGTGAGATGTGAGAAACCCTGCCACATTCCAGCCCATCCCACCCCTCCCTCCTTCCCCCCATGGAGCCTTCCTTTTGGAGTCACCAGAAGCCCCAACTGTCTGGTTTCAGTCAGCATGGTCCAGCTTCATCCCCGTGCCGAGGGGTGAGTTTGGAGCCTTTTACCAGGAGGTGATAGGTGATGTGATGTCTTCGAATCCCACATCCAAAGGCAACTAGAGATGCACAGACCAGGCTGGGATGAGGGGAGCAGCCTATGACAACAGGGCTACTCCCCAAGTTTTCACCTGGCTCACCTGAGAGATGTGTGAAAATGGGGGCACCAGGAGGGTAGTTCCCTTACATTTTCTTGGTTGACCTGAGAGGCCTGTGGAGCCTGATTCCCAAGGAGCAAGGTCTTTCCTGGCCTCCCACAAATGGCACCGCTGGATCTGCCCCATGATTCCTGCGGAAACCAGATGGAGGTTTGGCAGTGGTTTTCTCCATCTATGCAAACAAGCCCTGGCCCCTGGCGCAGTCTTATTAAACTCCCCAGGGGAGAGAGACCTGGGAGAGCATCTGGCGTCTCCAGACTCCTGCCCCTGTTGTGACTGCCACACCTTATGCCTGAAATTCCCTGCTACTTGTGTAGACCCTTTGTGAGGCCCTCTTTGTGCATTCTCTTCTTTCTAGGTCCCATTCCTGCGTGGGTCACTTTTGGACTTGTCTAAGTGTCATCGTAATTAGTCTTCTGAGTGAGGATATCGTATTGCAGTAATGACCCTGGGTTTTCCTCAGCAAAAACCCAACTAGGGTTTCTTCACCTCAACAGAAATGTATTGAGCATCTATTATATGTGCGGTTCAGTCTCGAGTGCTGGAGAAATGGAGAAAAGCCACCTGATTTTACTTCTATCTGTCAGGGTGGTGCTCATGGGATGCTTGTGGGGGGGCATGATGCTGTGACTTCAGTTTGCCTGATTCCCCAGATGGCTTCATTTAGAGGCTGGACCCTATGTGGGTCTTCGGAGTAGCCATGGTGTCCAGCAGTGCCAGCAGGAAGCAGACTCCTCAACAACTCTGCCCCGGCATTCAAGGACCTCCTGAGTTCAGACTCACCCAGCCTGGCCAACCTCAACTCCTATCAAATCCTAGGCCCCCTGCAACGCCTGGCAGCTCTCTCTCTTGAACACATCAAGCTCTTCCATCCTCTGGATTTTTGCAAGGCCTATTTCTGCAGTCTCTCCCCTGTCCTCACCTCCCCCTTCCTTACCTCTTAAGTGATTCATCCACCTTTCTGAGAGCTTTCCCAAAGGCCACCTTACAATAAATTATTTCTTCCTCTGTTGGATCCCTACTTTGTTGTTACACATCTATTCATTGAGCGCTCTGTGCCCGACACTGTGCTGGTTTCCTAAAACTCATCCAAGCCTCTTGCTTTCTGCCTGGAGTGAAGAGTAGTTCACGTTCTGATTCTCAGTGCCTCTAGGGCTGGAGCGGAATCTTAATGTCTGTGTCCTCGTCTCTCACCACCGCGTTTTGCACTTTGTCGAAAGGTGTCAGATGGTGAGATGGCTTCTAGACTGGGCTCTGCCCACTAATTAGCTGTGTGGCCTTGGGAGAATCATCCGGCCTCTCTTGCTGCCCTTCTTTCCGATGAAATAATGCTGACGATGATATTTCAGGGTTGTCCAGGGGTCAATGAGGCGGGATAGAGGGAAGCATCGTGAAATCTGGGAGCCCCAGGCCAGCGAAAAATGTGGAAGGGCCGTACCCGCACTCTCCTAGCACTGGGTGTGAGGCAGCGTCGTTTCCCCTTCGCGCTCTTCGAATGTCAAGTGCACCAGCTTCCAATCCCTCCTCTGGGCGGGCCCGGTCTGGCTAATCTCAGCTGCAGATTCCAGTACAAACTCAGGACTCTCCCCCGCCCAGCCGCCCCTACACAAGGACTCGCCGAACACACCTTGAATCCCGCGCCAGAGCGCAGCCCGGAACTGCAGCTCGCGGCGCGGGCCCAGGTCGGGGGTCGCGCGTCTCCAGTCGGTGACTCAAGGCCGCTCGGTCCGGGGGTGGGTGTGGGTCGGCAGGACCGACCAGGGCCGCGCGGGGGCAGCTGCCGGGCGTTCGGTCACCTAGCGGTGGGAGCCGAGGCTGGCTTTGGCCAGTCGCCATTCCGCCGCGGGCGTCTGTCTCGCCGGGTTCCCGGGCGCGGGAGGAAGGCCCGCGCCGCTTCCCACTCGGCGCGCTTCTCTCCCAGTGCGCAGTGGCCTGGTGGGTCAGCCGGCGGCGGCTGGAGCGCGGGGCCGGCCCTGCGCACGAATGAATGGGCGCCCGGGGGACGCGCGCGCTCGGGGCTGAAGGGCATTAGGACCGTGAGGATCGCTCCGCGATCCTGTCTCTCCCTATCACCCCCCCGCCCCCCCACCTCTCTCCTTTTTCTGCTCTGCAGGACTGAGCAGCTAGGCGCGAGCGAAAACAAACAGCTGGGGCTGCGAGCGCCCCCGCCCCGGCCCCGAGAGCACGCCGGCCCAGTCCCCCACCTGGGGCGCCCGTCTGCCCACCATGAGGAAGATCCGCGCCAATGCCATCGCCATCCTGACCGTAGCCTGGATCCTGGGCACTTTCTACTACTTATGGCAGGACAACCGAGCCCACGCAGCATCCTCCGGCGGCCGGGGCGCGCAGAGGGCAGGCAGGAGGTCGGAGCAGCTCCGCGAGGACCGCACCATCCCGCTCATTGTGAGTACGCCCCGAGCGTCGGCCGGCCGGCTAGGGAGCCGCGGCGCGCGTCCAGACCCTGCGCGGCGGCCGAGGGCGCGGGGCCCGGCCAGGGCTGAGTGCCCGCTGCGCCGGGCCGGCTTTGTATATGTTGGAGCATTCCTGCCCGTTGTTATGGCAACCTCTGCCGGGCGGCGGGGCTGGGGCGCACCGACTAAGGGAGGGTGACAGAGGGTGGGGGCTGGGAGAAAGTGCTGCAAGTTTGGTGGGCCCGGCGTGCGCGCGCGGCTGGGAACGTGGCGGCTCTCCCGGCTCTGCGCTGCCGGGGCCGGGAGTCTGGGGGCTGCGGGAGCCTCGTGTGCCCCGGAAGGCTGCCGGGCCCAGCGCGCGGCGAGCGGGCGGTGGGAACCACTCGCAGCCGAGCGCGTAGGTGGCAGTGCGCAGCCCCTCTCCAGCCTTCTGGGGGCAGAGGACATCGGGTGGGGGCGTGGGTAGGGGAAGGCTCTCTAGGCGCTGCGCCTGGCTTCGAACCCCCTTCTGAGCCGGGTCAACTTGAACCCGCTTCTTCGGCGCGGACACCCAGCTTCCCCGGAGTTCTCTGGGTTGAGGAGAGGTCTCGCACTGTACGCGTCTCTCACTCCCAACCTTAGGGTCCGCCACCACGGGTAGGTGGGCAGTGTCAGCGCCCGAACTTGGCGATACCCTTGCATGAAGTCAGCCTCGCGACATCTAAGCGGGCAGGGAAACAAAGGCAGTGTGGCACAGCGGGGGCGGCGGCGGGGCTGCGGGGGCCCTTGGCGCTCTGGGGACCCGGGCGGGGGCGTGCGGAGCCGCAGCCGCCCTGCAGGGGGCGATCCTGTCGCCGTCTCCGTCCGAGCCCCAGGTGACAGAGCTGTGCGTGGCCAGGCAGGGGCACCTGTTGAGGCGGGAGGCTTTGGCACCCGCCGAGAGTGCGCTCGAGCGGGCGCATTCTTCCAGACGGGGGCGGTTGGTGGACGAGAGCCTCGGACGACCCTCGGGAACTACCAGGGCGGGGCAGCCTGGCCGGATGAGGACCAGGAAGAGGAGAGCCGAGTGGGGCGGGGGTAAAGGAGTGAGGAAGCGTGGCGATTCCGACAAGGAAAGATCTGGGCCTGGGGGTGGAGGGGTGAGGAGATCCGCGGGGGAGGTGCAAGGTCCGGAGGGCTGAGGCTTGTGTGGAGCCGAATCCGAGAAACGCATCCAGACGCGGATCTGAACCCCAGGAATATCGGGAAGTTCATTGGAGAGTGTCCCCTCATATTCCCATCCTGCCCCAGATTCCGAGTCCCCTGCAAAGGAAACATTATTTCAGGGCTTTGCCTGAGGAGACCTGGGGCGGGGGGGTGAGGTTGTGGGTTTTGTCCTAGATACCAGTCTGGGTGAACTCTCTGGGGGCAAGCCTGATTAGGTGCACTGTTCCCTTCTGGGCTGTTCTCCCAGGACACTGTTTCCAAAGCACTTGTCGCCCTTTGGACAGAAAACTGATAAGGAAAAGCCTCCTGTGCTGAGGCCCCAGAGTGTTGTGATCTGAGCAGAGGGACAGGTTGGAGCTGGAACTGTCCAAACCAGCAGTGGCCTCCAGACCCCAGGGAGCTTCCTCTCCAGGAGCCCAGGCTGCCACATTCATACTCAGTGGCAGGAAGAGCCCTAGTCTCAGGCAAGGCAGGCTGGCCAGATGCTCTGTCCCTCTTTCTGGTGAGGCGATGAGAAGAGGGTCTGAGTTGGAAGGGGCGGAGAAAGAGGCTGGGCAGGGAGGAGAGGAGGGAAGAGAGCACAGGAGACTGCTGCTCAGAGCCTCTGCTTTGGAACCCGGAACCTGAACCCTGACCTGGCCCATGCACCTCTCTCCTGCTCCTTCCAGAGTCCTGTAAGATGCACTGGGAGGGCCGCTCACATTTCTCAAGAGTCCCAGAATGGTGTAGGGGACCTGCTGGAAGGATTCAGCACTCATTTTGAGGGGTGGGAATTGGAGGTCATGAGAATCACCAGTAAACATCCTCTTGTCCCTGCTTATTCCCACAGGGTTTGACTTGCTGCAGGTAAGAAAAGGTCTCAGAGCGGGAAGCTAAGTTTAAAGTATGAAGGAGTATCAGGGAGATACCTGGGAGCTGGGAAGTGAAGGTGCAGGAAGAAAGGGAGAATGGAAGTCCCTGGGAGTGGCAGAGCCTTCTGTGGCCACTTAGGGGCACAGCCAGCTCCCTCTTTGTTCTTAAGCTTTAGATGCCTGTTCCACCAGCACTGACCCCCCCGTCAGGCACCACTTTTGACAACTGCCTTGCATTGTTTCATTGTATTCCTCTCTTCCAGTTATTTCTTCCATGTGATTTGCAGCTGAATGTAAGTGATGCATGCGGGAACTGTGCTGGAAGCTCCTTGCATCCCCACATTGATGCACACAGCAAGATTTCTTTTTTTCTTTTTTTTTTTTTTGAGATGGAGTCTCACTCTGTCACCCAGGCTGGAGTGAGGTGGCATGATCTCGGCTCACTGTAACCTCCACCTCCCGGGTTCAAGCGATTCTCATGCCTCAGCCTCTCGAGCAGCTGGGATTACAGGCATGCGCCACCACTCTCAGCTAATTTTTGTATTTTTAGTAGAGATGGGGTTTCATCATGTTGCCCAGGCTGGTCTCAAACTCCTGACCTCATGTGATCCATTCACCTCAGCCTCCTAAAGTGCACAGCAAGGCTTCTTAAAGGAGTGAAATAGGATTCTCACCCATTTCTGGGGGCAGTCAATGCTTCACATCCCCCTAATATTATTGTATTATATTCATATCTCCTTAATATTTTATTATCAACTGTAACCTCTAAGTAAGGAGGTGGCTCTAAGTAAGGAGGTGGGGGATGTACGTTCAAGCTTCTGCAGGCATTGAATGCTTTGTTCAACTTAAAAGGGGCAGGTGCAGCTGAGGATTTACTTTCTCCCTGCAATTTGTGGTAACCGCTTATTCAGAAACATTTCTCTGTCTAGTTGGGCCAGGATGCTGCATGTGGATTTTCAGATTCTTAGAGAATGATGTGGCTAGCCCTGCTGTCAGAGGCTGGCAAATTCAGACAGGCGTCATCATTGCTCCCTTGGGGAATCAGAGAGCTGAGCTGGGAAAGGGAGGGTCTGCAGAAGCGCCTGGACCTGGAGGCAGCTCTGCTTTCACAATGTCTGGACTATTTGAAGCCAGCCAAGTTGCTTCTGGACCTTGGAGATGCCTGTTTGGCATTACAGGGTGTCGGCATGGCAACCGTATGGCCAGATTTCTCAAGAAGGTCCTGATTTTTAATATTCTGTCCTGCTGTCGGCCCAAGTGTCACCAATTTTGATGTGAAAAATTTGGCTATGGAATCTGTAAAGCTAAAGGGAGATACTGATTCCATCCCTATATGGCTGCTTACGATGCGGCAAGGTTTGTGATTTTTCCATGCTGTACCCGATGCAGCGAGGCAGTAGATTTGGGGACATCCCCTTGAATCTACACTGATGCACGCTGGGACAGGACAGCAGCCAAACTGGGAGGCAGGGCTGACACAGCCGGCCTTGAGTCTTCAGTCCTCACAGTTGGCGAGAACATTTGTGGTTGTTTTGGTTTGGGACTTAGGTTTTCCATATGCCAGTTCACTAACAGGCATGGGTGGGAGGCTAAGGTGTTATATGGAATTTCACTTTACATTTTTTAAAAAGACTACTCATTTTCGGTATAGGTGCACTCATTTGTGTCAACAGTCTCCTATTTAGAACTGTGAAAGATTTAGGCAAGAATTTCTTAAACCGGAGTTTCTTAGCCTGAAATTGGGATACTACTGAATGACCATGGACACAATACTTAACATCTCTGGACCTTGGTTATTTTGTCGGCTGAAATTGAGTTAAATGATTTGCAAGGTTTGTTGATCCTGAGATAAGCAGATGATAGCTCCATTTCTAGATGTAAATACATGGCTTTAAGGGGGAGTTCTCCTGAAAGGTGTTGTGAAGTTTCTGCTTATGGAGGAACATGCTCCTGTCAGTGGAAGGTCCCACAGGAACCCTTGAGGCCTCGCAGGAAGCCCCCACTTACCTAGCAGAAGGGGATGCAAATGATGGCTTTTCTGGTAGTGTTCTCAGAGAGCGGATGCTTTAATAAGATCTAAAATAATTTATATTTTATTTATAATGTGTGCATTTTGGAACTGTGGGAATATGATTTGCCTAAATATAATAACAGAAAGTGATTTTGTATTTAATTGGTTTAGGTACCACACTTGAGAAAGAGAGTGAGGAGGAAGAAGCACAAACACCCACAATTCCCTTTGTCAAAATGTTCAGATTTTTTTCTTTTCTTTCTTTTCTTTTTTTATTTTCTCTTTTCTTTTTCTTTCTTTTTTTTTTTGGACACAGGGTCTCACTCTGTCACCCAGGCTGGAGTGCAGTGGCACAGTCATGATTCACTGCAACCTTCACCTCCTGGGCTCAAGCGATTCCCCTGCCTCAGCATCCTGAATAGCTAGGACTACAAGTGTGTGCCACCACACCTGGTTGATTTTTATATATTTTTGTAGAGACAGGGTCTTTCCATGTTGTCCAGGTTGGTCTCAAACTTCTGGACTCAAGGGGATCCTCCCACCTTGGCCTCCCAAAGTGCTGGGATTACAGGCGTGAGCCACTGCGCCCAGCCAAAAATGTTCAGATATAAAGGGCCTGATTTCCTGTCAATGGGGTCTGTTCCTGGGCCATTTCGAGACCTGCCTCTGGGACATGGGGTCAGCCCAGAGGGAACTAAGACTGGGGGTGGGGAGGAGGGCTGGCAGCCCGAGAGTTACCTTCCTGGAAGGCCAGAGGTCCAAGGGCACGGGACTAGCTTTAGGGTGCTGCTCATGCTTCTGCAGGTCTTTTATTTCTGTGCTGTAACAGCAATTTACCCCCGAGCTGCTCCGAGATCTTTGGGAGCATGGCTTTCTTCCATGGTGGCTGTGTTTGTCCTTGCTGCAGGCAGAGGAAACCCTTGGCTCTGGAAATGCCATTTAAGGTAGAGGTAGGAGGACACTGGTAGACCAGGGCCAGGCTGAGTTGCCCACGGGACTGTCTCACTGTAATGGAGGAAGCTTCTCTGAGGTCAGAGGGGAGCCTATAGCCAAGCCTTCATTACAGTTACAAGATTGAAGATTTATACCCTGTCTGCTTCTTGAGGAGACCTTAAGCACCTTCCCCATGAACAGCAGAGCAAAGACACAGGAGGCTAAACAGACGTGGAAAGGAGCAGAGGAGCCGAGCTTTCAGACATGAGTTAACTGCTGATTATACTTGGGCAGTAAATTCAGTTCAGTTAATCAGTGTGCTTGCCTGGTACAGTCACCGACTGTGTGTAGCCCACTCTGAAAACGGTGTCAAGTGGTTTAGTCCCTCTTCTCTGAAATCTTGTGGTCTTTGACCCGTACCTGTCTAGCCTCCATAATCACTGTATACTCTGTTATGTTGATGGTGATGACATTCGTTGGAGACCTGGATGCTGTGTGTTTTACAGGCTTACCTCTCTGAATCCCCTCAACAACCTAATGAGATAGGTACCATTGTTAAGTTCTCATACGAGTAAACACGCTTACTCATGCTCTGACAACTAGTAAGTGCACCCGACACTAGGTGTTTCTCACTCCAAAGCCCAGGCTCATGTCTTCCTTCCCCTGGAGCATCTTCTGGTCAAGATCCAAGCCTGGTCTATCAGCACATCTTTTCTGGGGCACCTGAATCAGCACCTTGCTTTGTATTCGCTCCACAAACATTCGATGGGGAAAAAAATGCAAAAACGATACAGAACAAAATGTTGGCAGTAGGGAGGTAGGATTATGGGCAATCCCTCCTTCCATCTTTTGGGTTTTTACCCCCAAATTTTCTGTAATAAGCATCCATTGACATGATAATGTTCAAACCAATAAGGATAATTATTTTTAAAACATATTTGGTGACTGGTTAAGATCACTCTTGACTCCAAAATCAAAGTATAACCTTCTTAACCACATCTCACACTTCTGACTCCCCATCAAAACTTAGCATTGAGCCAACTTTCAGAAAAGGCAAGAGACTTATTTGAATTATTCTGTAGGGTTCCAAGGAATAGAATTGAGGCCAGGAGGTGAAAGATGCAGGGAGAGAAATTTCTTTGCAGCAGAAGGAAAACATTCTCACAGAACCATCCAACATGGGAGCAGTCCAAAGGCTGGCCAGGGTTTCTCTCCACACTCCCCGTTGGCCCATAAGTGCTCCCAACAGCAGCAGGAAAGGGAGAAAAAAGACTCTCTGTCATGAAATAGGGCCCAATTATTGCACTGCAAGAGCCCTGCACCCTGGGAAGTAGGCGGGCCCCATGCACTGAGGCCAGCCCAGGACAGGGTAACGACCAGAAATCCATAACTGCTGCTGTGCTCCTCTCTCCCCTGTTCCTTTGGAGCTGCCAAGCAAGGACAGAGAGAGGAAGCCAAGGCTGGTCAGAGACAAAGCTGCAAAGTTGGAGGTGCTGGTCTTTAGCATCTTTCCTCTCCCAAGACCGAGGCCTGCATAGGTGTTTCTGCCTGGTGGAGGCACCTTGAGTCTGACCTTCCCATATTCCACTTCTATTTTCCCAATCCAACCCAGGTGTGATTTCCAGGTTACCTGTCCTGTCTCCCAGACCCCTGACTGTTGCTGCCTGGGGCGGCGCTGGCTGGCAGTGCCCCTGAGCTGTGTGCTTATGGAGAAGCCACAGCCCTGGCCTGCCTGTCTCCCCACACCCCTAAACTTCAGATGCGCCTTTGAACTGTATCTGGCTAGAGACAGTATGGTCACCCAGGGAACTTCTGTGAACATTTCAGACCAGATAGGAGTGGCAGGCCAGAGGTACTTTGGGAAAGAGGGGGCGACTGGAAGAAGCTTGTCGATCATATTATATAGGCAAGATAAGGCTCAGGCAAAATTTGAGGAGGCATTGAGGCAGGTCTGCCCAGGTATAGCCTTTCCACTTTTCCAGACCCATTAGGAACAACTTCACGTTTCGCTGAAGAGCACAAGCTCCTCTTTCTTGCTGTTTCATAAAGTGAGGTGTGGCTCTGTGTAGAGCAGGGATGACTTTGTCTCAGAGTTCAGAGGTGAGTGACATGCCTTAATGTGAATTGGGCTGTTGCAGGATTTTCCTGGCCCCTAGGTGGGCCAGGCAGAGTGGAGTGGCCCAGGATGGAAACAGATGTTGGCTGTCAGCAGGGGATGGAGAGAGGGAATGGAGAGAGGATGTGAATGAAGTCCAAGTGATCCCACTTCTAGGCTCAGCCCTGCCCTCAAGGGACTGTGTTTCCTTAGGTGAGTCAGTCCCACTCCCTGGACCTTAGTTTCCTCATCTGTCAGGTGAGGGTTGAACTACAGGATCTCGGCGGTCCCTATCAGCTGAAATAATCTTGGACTTTGTTGAACTTCTCCCGCGAAAGTGAGGTGGCCTTCAGCCAGGGCTTAAGTCCTGATAGTGCTTGAATTAAGGAGAATAAGACCAGAGGGTGAGGTGTACAGAGACCTCGACCACATGTATTAAGAAGGGCTGTAACCTTTAAATTCTCATAAGGAATAAACTGGCCCTCATCCTTCCCCTTTCTCTTCCCTTGAAACATTGTCTGATGGAGCTACGCTGCTCCCTGCCCGCTGTACTAGAAGCCTAAGATATTTGTGAGTGTGTCTGAGAATGCACACAGGCATGTATGCAGAAGTGTCTACAGGTGGACTTCAGATACCTCAACAATCTAGGAAGACCAGAAGGAAGCTACAAAGACCCCTTTGCAGAGCATAAATAGCCACAACACCCATGGACTTTACTCAGAAGACAGGCATGGAATTGCCCATAGGCCACAGTCTGGAAATTAACATTGTTTATAAAAACTGGTTTCAGTAGTTCAGGGGGTTGGTCATCTCCTGGCAACTTTCAGTTTTCCTAGGTTACAAATATAGTAGATTGGATGAAGCAAGATGAGGGAATTGCTAGGAGCTGCTGACACACTGAGAAGTGACAGCTGATAGCAAAGGCCTAGCCAGGAAGGGCCGTGTGAGGTAGGAGGGGCCCCTCCTGCCTCCACACACACACAGGGTCCGAATGCTGAAGGCAGCATCTATTCATTCTCTTGACAATTATTTACTGAGCATGTACTATGTGCCAGGACTGTTACAGGCCTGGAAATAACAAACCAGGTAAAATCCAAGCTCTCAAGGGGCTCATATTCTAGTGGGGAGAGGGAGAAAATAAACAGAAAGATATATTAGGTGGTGGCAAATACTATGAAAGTAAAGCAGCATAAGGGAGCAGAAAGATGGGAAAAGGATGGCCAGGAAAGGCCTCTGGTAAGACTTCATTGGAGATGGCATTGGCATGCAAAGAGAGAGTGAGCCATGCGGACATCTAGGGAGACAGTGTTCCAGACAGCCTGGGCCAGGGCACCATCCCGGAGAGTGTGTGCTTAGAGGGGCAGCTGGAGCAGCAGGAAAAGTGCCCACAGCAGAGGCCAGACACGTTAGGCCTTGCAGGCTGTGGTAAAGATAGGCTCAGAAATCTGTCCCTGAATCATCAGGAAGTGATAAATTCCACTCGGTGCACAGGCTGGTAAGTCAGGGAACTGTGTCATTCATTTCAGAACATTTTCCAGCAAGATGGTCAAATTTAGTTGTTAGTGTTGGTTCTTTTTTCTTTTTTTAAGATTTTTTTCCCTCTCAGGATAATGTGTGTGTATAAAAGCGTTGGTTCCTAAGGAGGTAAGTGTAGGTTCGTTGGAAAATGTTCTGTGTCTTGGAACACTTCATTTCCTTAAAATGTGGGATCAATGTGTGTTGTGTGTGGTATGTGTGGTGTGTGGTGTCTGTGGTATGTGTATGTGTAGTGTGTATGTTGTGTTGTATGGGTATGTATAGAACGTGTGATGTATGATATATGGGGCGCACGTGTGTGTGTGTGGTGTAGTGTGTGTTGTGTGTGGTATGTGTATGTGTGGTATGTCTGGTGTGTGTGTGATGTGTGGGGTTTGTGTATGTGTGTGTAGTATGTGATGTGTGTGTGTGGCATTTGTGTGTGTGTGATGTGTGGGGCTTATGTGTGTGTGATGTGTGTGATGTGAGGTTTGTGTGTATATAGTGTGTGTGTGTGATTTGTGGGGTTTGTATGTATGTGTGTTATATGTTGTGTGTGTGTGGTATGTGTGGTGTGTATATGATGTGTGGGGTTTGTGTGTGTGTAGTGTGTGTGTGATGTGGGGTTTGTGTGTATGTAGTGTGTGTGTGATGTGTGGGGTTCGTGTATGTCTGTGTGGTGTGTGAGATGTGGGGTTCCTGTGTATGTAGTATGTGTGTGTGTGTCTGTGTGCATTTGTGTGTTTGTGTGTGTGTGTGTATGATGTATGTGTCGGGGGTGTAGTGTGTGATGTGAGGCTGGTGGAGGGTGCCGGTGCCTGAAGCGATGTAAAAGGGAAAAGGTAACGGAGCCCTTGTTGAAATATTGGAGTGGGCAGGCTGGGGAGGACTCTGTCTGGAGGGAGAGTTTTGTGTGGGATGGAGAATTCCTCTGAATGGTGGTACCTGATCAAGCCCGCCTTTGTCTCCTTGTCTGGTTCGTGGTGTTCTCTTCTGGTACAGTTGGGACTCTGGAAATTGTTTTCTGGCAATGCAGGAACTTGGAATCCCTGCCCCTCCCCACAGCTTCTCCTCTGTTCAAGCAGACCCCCTGGAGGCTGAAGCCTGTCGGGGCCTTCCCTAAGACACAGAGTAGGCACTCGTGCGGGGAGTAGTCACTGCTGGGCAGGAGTGGGCACTGCGCAGCTGTTTCTCGGGCAGGTGGTTGATAAAAGGGGCTGCCCTCAGGAGGCAGACGGCTCTGCCCGGCCCATCTGAGGTGTGTCCTCTGAGGTTCGATGGCTCCCTCAGTGCCCAGGTGACTGGTATGACACAGTGTCGTGTGTCTCTGGCAAGCTGCAGGCACCTTTTTTCTGTGGTTTAGGTCACACACAATTCCAATCCCCTGGCAGTCGTGCCCTGTGAGATGCTTCTTGTCAAAGTTCAGATTTTCATCCCTTCATCTTCTCACAGCAGCTCTGCCTGTAGCTTCTTTAAACAAACTGTATGGGAGGGCTTCTGATATTTCAAGGTCTTTCATGTCAAGGGAAGCTGGCCTTGGGCTGCCACAGCCCACTGGGGCAACCCGAGTTGCCTTCCAAAGTTGCTGGATCAGCGGTCCGTTCCAGGGGGCTTCACTTCTGACGCCTCACACATCTGTGACCTGATTATTTCCTTGGAAGTCATCTTTTCCTCTCCCTGTGGAAGTTCTCACTGGATAGGGAGATGCGGGGCATGTGGCAGGCTTGGGGCATTATCCCAGGGATGAGGGGAAGTGCAGCCTGGGGCTCAGGGAGAAAGAACACGTGATCGCCTAGTGATGTCTTGCTGGGGATCTGGTGGTTTGAAGGGGCGAAGCAGTTAGGACTGAGCACAGCCCCCACAAATACCGCACCAACCTAGAGGCCGGATGAAGGAGAACCAAAGGTCAGGGCAAACACACCGCAGGGACCAGGGAAGGCAAGGGAGCAGCAGGCCAAAGCACTTCTCCAAGTGGAAAGCAGAGGCTACCCACGGTGATGTGTGAGTGCAGTCTTGGTGGTGCCTTGCGGGGGCATGAACATGGCAAGGGCCTTCTCCCAAAACAACAACGGGACATGGCTCATCGCTGGATGCACCCCGGAATTGCCAACTCCAGTTGTTTTTTGTATAGCAGAGAACACAGCGTCACCCAACTACCTCTTCCAGACAATGCAGCATCCCTGAACCACACCGGGGCCGGGGCTCTGGAACTGGGACTCACAGCGGGGTGAGGATGGGCTAGCTCAAGACCTATGGAACTTGGGAGATCAGAAGGCCAGCGCTGGGGCAAAGCTGAGGGCAGGCCAACCAGAGAGCCCAAGAAAGGGCCCTGGCAGAGAGGAAAACTGGGCATAAGGTGACAGGTCTGAGCGAGAGTGCTCAGAGGAGCCGGCCCCTGGGATCCCCGAAGCCAAGCTGAGTCACAGGAGCTCTGATGGGAGGCTGGCATCTGCCCAAGGCTGGGGAGAGCCCTCCTCATCACAGGGTCCAGACTGTGCTCACCAGTGCAGTGGTTGCCGGCCACAGGTGGCCACCGAGTGCTTGGAATGTGGTTAGTGCAACTGAGGAACTGAATTTTTCATTTTATTTGATTCTCATTGATTTAAGTTTTGAAACAACACTCATTTTAGTTGTGGGGAAACATTTGGGAATGTTTAGAACTTCGGTATGTGGAATCTATATTTTCAACTGTAAATTTTTGTGAAATCTCAATACAGATCAAGTATCTGTGCTGAAAATTTAGTATCTGAATTGAAATCTGCTGTAAAATATATATCGGATTTCACAGACTTAGAAAAAGAACTAAAATACCTTGCTAGTATTTTGTACATGTTGAAATGATATTTGGATATATTAGGTGAAATAACATTATTAAAGTTAATTTCGTCTGTTTCTTTTTATTTAATGTGGCTACTAGAAAATTTTAACTTGCATACATGGCTTGCAGTCTGTTTCCACTGGGCAGTGCTGGTGCTCACATTCATTCACATCCCCTCTCTTAAGTGCTAGGAGGGACCAGGTGCTGTGGCTCGTGCCTGTAATCCCGGCATTTTGGGAGGCTGAGGAGGGGAGATCATCTGAGGTCAGGAGTTCAAGACCAGCCTGGCTAACATGGTGAAACCCCATCTCTACTAAAAATACAAAAAAATTAACCGGGCCTGGTGGCATGCACTTGTAATCCCAGCTACTCAGGAAGGGGAGGCACAAGAATTGCTTGAACCTGGAAGGTGGAGTTTGCAGTGAGCCAAGATCGTGCCACTGCACTCCAGCCTGGGTGACAGAGCAAGACTCTGTCATAAATAAATAAATAAATAAATACATAAATAAAAAGTGCTAGGAGGTTGTCCAAGGAAGGTTATACAGTCATGTGCTGCAACAATGTTTTGGTCAACCAGGGACTACATATATGACAGTGGTCCCATCAGATTATAATGGAACTGAAATATTCCTCCCCTACTGACCCTGTAGCCACTGTAATGTTGCAGCACAATTACTTTATTTTAAAAAATAAATTTAGTGTAGACTACATGTACAGTGTTTATAAAGTCGTGTAACATCCTAGGCCTTCCCATTCACTCATCACGCACTCACTGACTCACCCAGAGCAATTCCCAGTCCTGCAAGCTCCATTCATGGTATGTGCCCTATACAAGTCTACCATTTTTTATCTTCTATACTGTATTTTTACTCTACTTTTTATACGTTTAGATACGTACACATGTGAAAATACTTATTGTGTTACCATCGCCTACCATTCAGGACAGTAATATGCTGTACAGGTTTATAGCCTAGGAGCAATAGGGTATCCCATATAGCCTAGTTGTGCTGGAGGTTATACCATCTAGGTTTGTGTAAGTGCACTCTGACATTTGCACAGTGATGAACTTGCCTAATGACGCATTTCTCAGAATGGATAAGGAATGCATGACTGTATACAAAGTGAAGAATCTGGCTACGCATCCTAGTTTACCTTGACTTCAGGATTAGATCTTTCCAGTCCAGCTGCTGCTGAGCTATTGGTTCCTAATTCACCATTATCCGTGAGCATGGGATACCTCCCAGCATGGGCTCTAGTCCTCATATCATCATTAAAAACAAGGTCAATATTTTGTGCAGTGTCTTCTCTTTTAGAAATCCCTTCTAAGCTCTTGCTGTGATGAAAATGGGTTTTGGAGGAGGGGTAGGAGCAGTGGAGGCGAGAAGCCTTTTACTCCCCTGGAAGGTAGAGGGATTATTTCCAGTCTGTTGCTTTTGGTGTTTCGTCTTTGTCCTGTTACAGCCAGAATGACAAGTAGGTCTCAGCTCTAATGCCAACTCAGAACTTGTGGAAGTGGCAGCCTGGAGCACTGTGGTGAGGATTCTGGAGCTGCCTCCAGGCTGAGCGGGAAAGAGGCTATGATCGATTAGCCATGTCTGTAAAGGGCTTGGAAAGGGACCCTAGGACATGCACCTTGTATTTACTAATCCTGCATTAGGTGAGGTTGTCTTCTTGGAGTGATTTTTCTCCACTTTAGAGATCTGACATGCTTTAAGACATCAGCCACTTTGAAGAAGCAGGGATGAGGCTTACACTGAGCCAGAACATGTGCAGAAGAGACATTCTCATCTCCTTGGGCCAGAATCCTAGCTAAGGAGATGTGTGACATTTTAGTAAGCATTCCTGTCAGGAAAGTCTCAATACCCACTTCACATATTTGGTGTAGGTGAGCTTGGCTCTGGTCTGGGCTCAGCCTACTGGCAAGATAGGACATAGTTAGAGCCGTAAACCCAAGAAGAGTAGGAATCTGCAGGGTCTGGAAGAAATGGGAGGGGTTGGCTCTTTTTCTGTCTTTCCTCTTCTTTGCTTAAAAACAGGAGCTGTGGATTTGAGAACATGTCTTGCTTCTTGGTGCTAAATTTCTGATGATGGCTTTGTTCAGGATGCAGCATAGCGTAGTGGTTATGGGCACAGACATTGCAGCCAAAGTGTCAGGGTTCATATTCTAGTTCTGCCACTTACTAGCAAGTTACTTAAGCATTCCATGCCTCTGGTTTCTCATCTGGAAAATGAGGATGCTAGTAATCCGCGTTTTAGAGGGTTGCTCTGAAGATTGAGTTAATTCACATCAAGAGTTTAGGTTAATTCACATCAAGAGTTTAGAATTCTGCCTAACTCGTAGTAAATGCTATACAAGCATTAGTATACAAATTGTTACACAAATTAGTATGCAAACTTGTAATATGTTATTATTTGTTAATTTGTATATTAGTTATCTAATTCTGCATAACAAATCACCCCAAAACTTAATGACTTAAAACAATAATTATTTATTCTCTCTCATTGGGTCAAGGAATTTGGGAGTGGCTTGGCTAAATGGTTCTGGGTTTTCTCATGTGGTTGCAAACAGATGTCAGCCAGGGCTATTGTTATCTAAAGGACTGAAGGTGTTTCTCTCATATTGTTGGCAAGTTGGCATTGGCTGTTGGCAAAAGACCTCAGTTCTCCACGTGGGTCTCCACAGGCCTCCTGTGGGAGGCCTTCGTAGTAATGCATCTTAATAGTATGGTGGTTGGCTTCCCCCAGAGCAAGCAATCTGGGAGACCAAGGCAAATATTGCCAAGCCTTGTATATGTGTGATGCAGCCTTGGAAATCTCATAAACAGAAGAGTAGTAAGATTTTGAGAGACTGCTGCGGCTGCTGGTTTGAGAATAGACTGGAGGACGGCAGGGATAGAAGCACTTTTTGACTGTCCAGCTTGTTCTGGTACTTTCCCCCTTGACCAGAACAGCAGGCCTGAGCTGAATGTTACTGTCCTCATTTTACACATCAGAACCTGACTCAGAGATGGCAGGTTACTTGCCAACAGAGCCAGGATTCTACCAGGGCTGCCCGGCTTCAAAGCCATGGACACACTTACTTGTCAGGATACCCACCACCTGATGGCACAGCTTACAAGGGGAAAACAGATTCTGTGAAGGATCTTAGTTCCCTTATCTCTTCAAGTCAGGATGGGGAGCTTCAGAGGGCAGAGAGGTACTCATGGATCAGACAAAGGATTGGAACGAGAAAGGGGTGACCATAGCAGGTGCCATAGCTGTGGGAAGATAGAGGGACTGGGGCAGAGTTTGGAAGGTCTTAGGGACTAGAAGGGTGCAGCCTGGGGAGAGCCCCTGCAATTGGCTTAGCCTCTCCAAAGTAGAACCCCTGAGGTCAGGGAAATTCTTGGTGTTATTTATTATACCCTAGAGAGCTCTATGCAAAGGGAGCAGGACCACCCACTTGGGATGGAGTACCTTGCAGGAGTAAAATAAATGAAATTGATCAGTATATATATATATCAGTATGAAAGGAGCTGAAAAATATGATGTTAGGGAGGAAAAGAACTGCATTGCAGAATTGATGATTTAGTATGATACCATTTATGTAAATTAAAATAATACAAAACAATTCCATATATCATCCTTGGGTGTGTCTATGTGTGTGTGTGCGCATGCGCACATATACATCTCAAAGTATAAAAGTGGAACTGGCCAGGCACACTTGCTCATACCTGTAATCCCAGCACTTGGGGAGACTGAGGCAGGAGGACTGGTTGAGCTTAGGAGTTTGAGACCAGCTTGGGTAACATAGTAAGCCTCTGTCTCTACAAAAATTTGTTTTTAATTAGCCAGGCATGGTGGCATGCACCGAGTAGTCCCAGCTACTCTGGAGGCTGAAGTGGGAAGATTGCTTGAGTCTGGGAGGTCATGAGGCTGCAGTGAGCTATGATCATGCCACTGCACTCCAGACTGGGCTATAAAGTGAGACATGTATTAGTCCGTTTTCACGCTGCTGATAAAGGCATACCTGAGACTGGGCAATTTACAAAAGAAAGAGGTTTATTTGGACTTACAGTTCTACATGGCTGGGGAAGCCTCACAATCATGGCAGAGGATGAAAGGCAGTGGCAAGAGAGAATGAGGAGGAAGCAAAAGTGGAGACCCCTGATAAAGCCATCAGATCTCGTGAGACTTATTCACTATCACAAGAATAGCACGGGAAAGATGATTCAGTTACCCACATTGATTCAGTTACCTCCCATTGGGTCCCTCCCACAGCATGTGGGAACTCTGAGAGATACAATTGAAGATGAGATTTGGGTGGGGACACAGCCAAATCATATCATCTGTTTCCAAAAAAAGAAAAAAAAAGAAGACCAAAGAAGATACACAGCGCACTTATGACAGTGAGTGTCCTGGAGAAGGATGGGAGAGAGGATCAAAAGAGAGTGTGACTTTATCTGTAATGTTTTGTTTCTGTTGTTTTTGTGGTTTTGTTTGTTTGCTTCAGTTTTTTTATAAGAAAGAAGCTTGGAGGCTGGGTGCGGTGGCGCACGCCTGTAATCCCAGCACTTTGGGAGGCCGAGGTGGGCGGATCACGAGGTCAGGAGATCGAGACCATCCTGGCCAACATGGTGAAGCCCTGTCTCTGCCAAAAATACAAAAATTAGCTGGGTGTGGTGGTGTGCGCCTGTAATCCCAGCTACTCAGGAGGCTGAGGCAGGAGAATCGCTTGTACCCAGGAGGTGGAGGTTGCAGTGAGCCGAGATCACGCCACTGCACTCCAGCCTGGGCAACAGAGTGAGACTCTATCTCAAAAAAAAAAAAAGAAAGAAAGAAGCTTGAAGCAAATCTAACAAAATATAAACAGTTGTTAATTCTGGTGGCAGTGCAAGTAATAGTATTCTTTGTCTTTGTCCTTTTTGGAATAAAAAAACTCTGATTTTAAAGCATGTTTAAAGTAAAAGGAAAGAGCGAGCTTGTGACTTAAGGTTGCTGGATCTCAGCTGATTGAGAAGGAGGGTGCAGTGGAGGACTGAAGGCAAAATGCCTGTTCCCCCAAGCCTGTCACGCACGTGGCACTGTGGTCACTTGCCTGGAGGACAATCAAAGTGATTCTCGATTCTTCTGAACCTGAAGATCAACCCTGATGGACTGGCATTGAAGGCACTGGTCATGGAGAAAGGACTTCCCTGCTGAGAGCCAAGGCAAGAGAGACGAGATCCCAGGACCTGCAGGCCAATCTGTAAAAGGGCTGAATAGTCAAAATGGGTGTGTCTTCATGAAGGACAAATGACAAATTCTTTTGATAGAAAGGTATGAGATCAAAGACAAAAAGCCTTTATTATTATATTTTCTCCTTTTTTTATTATTATGCTTTAAGTTCTAGGGTACATGTGCACAACGTGCAGGCTCGTCACATATGTATACATGTGCCATGTTGGTGTGCTGCACCCGTTAACTCGTCATTTACATTAGGTATATCTCCTAATGCTATCCCTCCCTGCTCCCCGCCACCCCATGACAGGCCCCGGTGTGTGATGTTCCCCATCCTGTGTCCAAGTGTTCTCATTGTTCAGTTCCCACCTATGAGTGAGAGCATGCAGTGTTTGGTTTTCTGTCCTTACAATAGTTTGCTCAGAATGATGGTTTCCAGCTTCATCCATGTCCCTACAAAGGACATAAACTCATCCTTTTTTATGGCTGCATAGTATTCCATGGTGTATGTGTGCCACATTTTCTTAATCCAGTCTATCATTGTTGGACATTTGGGTTGGTTCCAAGTCTTTGCTATTGTGATTAGTGCCACAATAAACATACGTGTGCATGTGTCTTTATAGCAGCATGATTTATAATCCTTTGGGTATATACCCAGTAATGGGATGGCTGGGTCAAATGGTATTTCTAGTTCTAGATCCTTGGGGAATTGCCCCACTGTCTTCCACAATGGTTGAACTAGTTTACAGTCCCATCAACAGTGTAAAAGTGTTCCTATTTCTCCACATCCTCTCCAGCACCTGTTGTTTCCTGACTTTTTAATGATCGCCATTCTAACATTTATGCAGCCAACAGACACATGAAAAAATGCTCATCATCACTGGCCATCAGAGAAATGCAAATCAAAACCACAATGAAATACCATCTTTTTTTTTTTTTTTTTAGAGACAAGCCCTCCCTCTGTGACCCAGGCTGGAGTGCTGTGGTGCTATCAAAGCTCACTATAACCTCCAACTCCTGGGCTCAAGTATCTACCCACCTCAGCCTCAGCCTGTAGCTAGGACTACAGGTGCACACCACCATGCCCGGCTAATTTTTAAATGTTTTGGAAAGACGGGGTCTCACTATGTTACCCAGGCTGGTCTTGAACTCCTAGGCTCAAGCAGGCCTTCCACTTTGGCCTCCCAAAGTCCTAGGATTACAGGCGTGAGCCACCACACTGGTCATATTCTGTCCCTTTAGACATAATATGTGTTTAATTTACAAGGCAGGAAATCAAAAGGAAGGAAATAAAAATCACCCCAAATCCTACCATTCAGGGTTACTGCTATTAATGTTTTGGCAAATAATTGATTCAGATCTTTTTTGATTGATTTTTAAAAAAAGGAAATTATAGATTCTATACTGTTTGTAACTTGTTCTTTTTATTTAACACTATATCACGAATACTCTTCTGTATCATAATCTTCTTCCAAATATTTTTAAATGTCTGTCTAGGATTTCATTGTTGTCTACTGTTCCATAGACTATATAATCACAGTTCATAAATGATGAATGTTTAGATTAGGTTGGACTATATAATGTTGTATTTTAGGTAAAAAATTGTCAAATTGGCAGTTTCGTATGGTCTAACCAAATGTGTTGTCCGTGTTTCATAGTTATAAACAACACAGTGAGCATTCCTGAAGGCAAATCTTTGCACATAGCATTGATTAATTCCTTAGATAAATACCTCAAAATAAATTGTTGAACAAAAGATCAAATTTCAAATAAAGACAGGATCTGACAGGGCTGGAATTAGGGTGAGGCAAATTATCTATGCACAGAGCCAGATCCTGTCTTTACCTTAATTTTTTTTTTTTTTTTGAGACAAAGTCTCACTCTTGTCGCCGAGGCTGGGGTGCAGTGGCACAGTATCAGCTCACTGCAACCTCCGCTTCCCAGGTTCAAGCGATTCTCCGGCCTCAGCCTCCCAAGTAGCTGGGATTACAGGCGCTCGCCACCACTCCTGGCTAATTTTTGTATTTTTAGTAGTGATGGGGTTTCACCATGTTGGCCAGGCTGGTCTCGAAATCCTGACCTCAGGTGATCTGCCCACCTTGGCCTCCCAAAGTGCTGAGATTACAGGCGTGAGCCACCACGCCTGGCCATTTATCTTAAATTTTAATATTTTGTTCATTAAGAATTTTTTGCATTAATTTTGATTTTTAAAAATACTTCATTAAAATATTACTTACCTTGATTACTGAGTTTTGGGGGGTCCCTTTACATTTGCACCTGAGGTGAGTGCCTCACTTGTCTTACCCTGAAGGTAACGATAGCACTACCTTTTAGAGTTGTTAAGATGAGACAATCTTTTGTAAATCTCAGAACATTGTCCACAGTAAGTGTGTTCAATAAATGTTATGTAGATCTCCACTGAAAAAGCATTGGTTTTCTTGTGTGCAACGAGCACTAAGCTAGAAGCTGGTTTACAAGGATAAGTAAGACCCAGTTCCTGCCCTCAAGTTGCTCAGCCCTGTAAGGGACTGAGTGGGTGTGGGAAAGGCTGTGGGGGCCGTGTCAGGGCGTATGCCGAGTATAGCACAGTCTTGGACAGCTTCACTGAGGGCTGAATCTTTGAAGATGAGCGTGTGCTTGGTGGACACAGGAAGGAACATCAGGTGAGGGGTGTGGCAAAGGCTTGGCGTAGTAACCCCAATTCCATCTTGTA
Organism: Homo sapiens; assembly: GCF_000001405.40. Classification (NCBI taxonomy): domain Eukaryota; kingdom Metazoa; phylum Chordata; class Mammalia; order Primates; family Hominidae; genus Homo; species Homo sapiens. Next base: position 69,279,796 of record NC_000014.9, read on the forward strand.
GGGTCATCTCATGGGATTGTAGCCTGAATGGAGGGGGCCTAGGCCAAGAAATAAGACTGGGCTGTTGGGGGAAGAGACTGCAACTTCACCCTGAAGCTGGTACTTATTCTGTTCCCAAGCCACACAGACTACAGGAGAGCCCAGCCTAGAATAACCTACTCATGTTCCCTATGCAACAGAAATAATGGTGCCTGGTATTGATTTATTTTTCTTATTTTTAAAATTTTGTATTGTAGTAAAATACATATAAGATAAACTTTACCATCTTAACCATTTTTAAATGTACAATTCAATGGCATTAAAGACATTCACATTGTTGTGTGACCATCACTACCATTCATCTACAGAGCTCTTTCATCTTCCCAAACTCAAAGTCTACGCCCATTAAACACTAACTCCCCATTTCCCCTCTCCCTAGCCCTTGGAGGCTACTATCCTACTTTCTGTCTCTATGACTGTGACTACTCTAGGTACCTCATATAAGTGGAATCCTGTAAGTGGTGTCTTTTGTGATGGCTCATTTCATTCAGTGTGGTGTTCTCAGTGTTCATCCATGTTGTAGCATGTGTCAGAATTTCCTTTTTTTAAGGCTGAATAATAAATACTCCTATGTATGTCTATGCTACATTTTGTTTATCCATTCATCCATCAGTGAACCTCCCGGGCTGCTTCGACATTTTGGCTAATGTAAATAATGGTGCTGCAAACATGGTGTACAAGTATCTGTGCAAGACGCTGCTTTCTGTTCTTTGGGGTATATATGCAGAAGTGGAATTCCTGGATCATATGGTAATTCTATTTTTAATTTTTTGAGGAATCACCATAACTTTTTCTTACCGTTTTAGCTGGATAAGGGAGCTGAGGCATCCAGCAGAGTGCCCACCCCTAGAAAGTATACAATGAACATTGTTGCCTGGATGAGGCCCATGGAGGTTGAGTCACTTGCCCAAGGTCCCAGAGTTGGTGGCAGATTGGGGGAACATCCAGATTCGAATCCAGAGGGCAACTCCAGGGCCCAAAGGCTATTTACCTCCAGGTTGTATAGCTCCCTGAGAGGGCCTGGCTCCATCAGTTTCATGATGTTTTCTCTTCCCTTTCCTCCCCTTGGGGAAGAAGCTGAGGTTACAGCCCTTAGGGGAGCCCCCACTGCCTTCGCTGCAGTGAGTTGTAAAGGTGGCCAAACTGCTCATGGCTAATAAAAACACGGAGTCTTCGCCACATGCCCACACCAACCCCCGAGACCAGGGCAGCAGCTGCTGTGCACCAACCCAACTGTGCTACAGATTGCTTTTCCTTAGCTGTTCCTTGTATACCCAGTGGACAGAGTCCGCGATCGTACTTGACCTCCACAGTGCCTGGTCCATCGTGAGCACCTGGGGACTCTGCAGTGGTTGAACCTACAGGGCCTACTGTGTGTCACACCCAGACCAAAAAGCTTGACACTTTCTCTGATTTAATGCAGTGAACAAGGAACTGTCAGTATCTCCATTTTGCAGATGAAAAAACTGAGACTCAGAGAGGGTGTGACAGCTAATCAGTCACAGTGCTAGGATATACAGCAGACATCTGGGCTCCTAACCACACAGGCATATAAAGACGGGGAGAACCTAATTCAGCTCCAGACCTTGTTAGGTGTGCAGGGTCCCACTCAGAGTCCCCAAAGCACCCCTGGATTGGGATGGAGGAAAAGGATGAGAGGAAAAGAAGGACAATTGCAAAGCTGGTGGACCCAGTGCTCTGCTTGTCTGCCCTCCCCGCTTTCAATGTTCTGTGAGCCTGGCGGTGGAAATCTCTCTCCTTTGTTGCCAGCAGGGCTGGAGGCTGCATCCCTGTGTAGTCATGACACCAGCTGAACCCTCCACTCCTGGGCTTCATGTGCTCACGTGACCCCAAGGAGAAGTGGCTTGTTAAAGAACTCTGACGTCAGCCTTTCTCCATCCCAGCACACAGACATGTGCCATTTCTGAGACCTGATATTTTACAAGCCTGTATTGAAGAACCCAATACAGTCTCCCATTACTCCAGACACAGTCCTCTGCCCGAGGGTGGGTGCTGGGTAGGAGCTGAGACTGTCCCCAGTGCCTGTCTAAACCCCAAGTAACCATGAGGGTCATTAAAGAAACAACACTCATTCTGAAATTGCCTCCTGTTGGTAAGTATTTGCATGCACAGAGCACTTCAAAGACTAAGTGTTAGGATTATGAATTTTCATACGTTACATCATGGGGTTTGTCCCAGAGAAACTATGAGAAACGTCAGCCTTGACGAAGACGATGTCTGCACTAGCTGGGCTTTGTTTTCTTTATGTGAAGACAACTCAAGTTGCATGGTGAGGTTTCATCGCTTTCAGAGAGGCTGTAACCTGGGACCACCCGCATCCCCTGGAGGCGATTCCTTGAGTAGTTCCCTTGCCCGCTGCCTGTGTGGACACAGTGTTGTGTGGCGTTGGAGTGCACAGGCCTGGAGTCAACCAGACCTGGATTCGAGTCCCCGACTTTCCTCATCTCCTATTGTTCCCTCCATGCACTGTGCTCCTTCCACACTGACCTCCTTTCTTTCCAACAGGACCTCAAGTTGTCCTGCCCTGGGCGCTTTGCACAGGCCATCCTCTCTGCCTAGAACACCCCTAGCTCCTCAGATCTGACCATGGTTGGCTCCTCTCTCCAGCCCTCTCCAGCCTGTACCTTGCTTTGTTGCCTTCCCCACGATGATCGCCCTTGGAAATGATTTTTTTAGGGTTCCCTTTTATAAGGATAATGTGAACATGGGCCCTGTATCTGCCTAAGTGCGGGCCCTGTATCTGCTCTAAGTGCAGGCCCCGTATCTGCTCTAAGTGCAGGCTTAAGAATTTGTCCTATTTATTTATTTATTTATTTATTTATTTATTTGAGACAGAGTCTCCCTCTGTTGCCCAGGCTGGAGTGCAGTGGTGCTATCTTGGCTCACTACAACGTCCGCCTCCCAGGTTCAAGCAATTCTCCTGCCTCATCCCTCCTGAGTAGCTAAGATTACAGGTACACACCACCAACCTGGCTAATTTTTGTATTTTTGGTAGAGATGGGGCTTCACCATGTTGGCCAGGCTGGTCTCAAACTCCTGACCTCAAGTGATTCTCCCAACTTTGCCTCCCAAAGTTTTGGGATTACAGGTGTGAGCCACTGCACCTGGCCGAGATGATTTTTTATATGTTCTCTACTGCTCTCCATCCCACCTCTTCCACTAGCATTACAGCTCATGAGGGGCAAGGCCATCTGTGGTGTTCACTTCTGTACCACCATATCAGCACCTGCCATGCAGATACCTGTAAATTTGTGCAGTTACCATGGAGCAAGTGATCTCACCTTTCTCAGACTCGGTTTCTTCATCAATAAAATGAGCATGATTAAGGTCACAGAATTACATGAAAAGACACTATGGACACATTAGTACGATCCACAAATGATGGATCACTAATGTCAGTCACTTGGGTTCCTTGAGCGCATCAGGGAGTGCACCTAGTTTAGCTGCATCAGGTCCTGGACAGTGCCTGGCACTTGGTGGGCACACAGTAAATGTTGCCTGAATCGGAGGGAGGCTGGCCAGTATTGATATGGCTGCAGTTTCTTTGCTCACTTGGTCTTTCATAGTCTGCATCACCCATGTTGTGGTTGCTAGGATAATGGTTTGTCTACCAGGGTCACACTTGGCCTCTTACGAGTCCTGACTCTTGGGCTCAGGCTGGTGAGGAGCTTTGTGTAATGTGCCAGGGAGCTTTTCCAAGGTAGGATAGACAGGATGGTAGTCATCACAGGGATGAAGACCACCGATGCTGGAATCTAACTGTCTGGGTTCAAATTTAGCTCTATCACTTACTAGCTGTGTGACCTCAGGCAAGTTACTTAACCTCTCTATGCCTCATACCTACATCACAGGGTAGTTAAGAAGATTTGATTATTTACTCTAAGTGGTGCTGTTAGAATGGTGCCCAACACTTAGTAAGTGCTGCATTCCTTTTGTTTGTATTACTGTCCCTCTGCTTTCTCGTCTTCCCTGTGTCATGTATTCATTCATTTAAGATATATTCATTATGCACCTACTATGTGTCATGAACTGTACAGGGGGCTGGCAAATCAAAGATGAACAAGACATTCTAGCTCCTGTCTTCAAGTTGCTTACAGTAAGGTGGGAATCGGTGATAACAGAGGCATGGATAAATACCAGGAGAGGGTGTGCTTAAGAATGATTTGGCTCATCCTTACCCATCCTGATTTGGAAAAATGGATTCCTGCTTTTTGGGTGCTCACACCTGCCCTGCTATACAAACTTTGACCCTCTCCTAAGACTAGACTCAACTTCTCAGGGCTGGACCTCCTCCTTATCTTCCCCCAAACACCTGCTGCAGTTCCTCGAGAAAGGGATGCCTGCTCTTCAGGCACAAGGAAGCAGAGCCACCACTTCAATGCCAGCAGCCAGGCCATCCTGCTACCCTCCAGACTCCAGAGGCGAGTGGGCCCATCAGCAGCAGCAAGGAGAGAGAGATCAATGCACCTGTCTCAGGAGCTGCACACAGATAGGTATAAGGAGGCACTCCCAGCAGCGTGTCAGCTCCAGGGCTGTAACTTCCAGTTAACTCACCCCGTGTGGCGTGTGCAGACGAAGGTGACATTGGGGAGCCAGGGCCAGGAGGCTTTTACACGTGGCTGCTCACTCATGACAAATAATGCTCCCGGGTGGAAAACTTGCCACCCACCCTGGACAGGACTCTGGGGCCTTCACTGAGCACCTGCTTCGGTACAGGAACCTCTTATTCAGCAAAATGCTGTGACTTGCGGCTTCATAATATGGTGAATTCTGGTTCCACAACTTACTAGCTGTGTGAACATGGGCAAAGTATACCTCTGTTCTGTTTCCTCAGTCACAAAACGGGGACTGATATGGTTTGGCTGTGTCCCCACCCAAATCTCATCTTGTAGTTCCCATAATCCCCATGTGTCGTGGGAGGGACCTGGTGGGAGGTAATTAAATTATGGTGGTGGTTTCCCCATGCTGTTCTCTTGATAGCAAGTGAGTTCTCATGAGATCCAATGGTTTTATAAGGGGCTTTTAACCCCCTTTGCTCGGCCCTTCTCTCTCCTGCCACCCTGTGAAGGACGTGTTTGCTTCCCCTTCTGCCATGATTGTAAGTTTCCTGAGGCCTCCCCAGCCATGCAGAACTGTGGGTCAATTAAACTTCTTTCCTTTATATGTTACCCAGTCTCGGGCACTCTTTTTTTTTTTTTTTTTTGAGACGGAGTGTCGCTCTTTCGCCCAGGCTGGAGTGGGGCAGCAAGATCTCGGCTCACTGCAAGCTCCGCCTCCCGGGTTCACACCATTCTCCTGCCTCAGCCTCTCGAGTAGCTGGGACTACAGGCGCCCGCTACCACGCCCGGCTAATTTTTTGTATTTTTAGTAGAGACGGGGTTTCACCGTGTTAGCCAGGATGGTCTCGATCTCCTGACCTCGGCCTCTCAAAGTGCTGGGATTGCAGGCTTGAGCCACTGCACCCAGCCTGGGGCAGTTCTTTATAGCAGCATGAGAATGGACTAACACAGGGACTATAAAAGTGCCTGCTGTGGGAATAGGATTGTCAGGGGGATCAAATGAGATTACACCTCTAAAATGTGTAGTGTCATGTGTGGTTTTCTCATCATTACTGTTGTCATTATTGTTATCATCTTCCAGGAGCAGTGAGGTCATGCTGATAGCCCATCACACACGGAAGCAGGATGGCTCCCATTTAAGAAAGATCCTTTAATTTTTATGCCACACTGTCAATTTTGTACCTGCACAATGTACCATCGTCTACATTTCCATTGTAGGCACCATTGTAGCTGGGGCTGTGGCAGTCGCATGGAGAAAGGGCCTGTTTGACCCTCAGAGAAAGAGGGTCTTGTGAGGACACCAGAGAACTGGAACTGCAGTTGAAAGGGGAGGAAGCTGAGCCCCCCTCTCCATCTGTCCCTCAGGGACGGTGCCATCTCTCACACAGAGTTTCTTCATCTTCTGGATACATACCCCCTACCCCTCACTAGCTCTGGCTTTTCCACACTTCTGCTGGCACATGGCATGCAACCATAGTGACCCCAACCCAGATCTGCCTCATGGCCCCTCAGCTCAGCATCCTGGTCTGACTCCCCCACCCGCCCCAGTGCAACCAGTTTCCCACTTCTCGAAAGAGCCTCTGGTAGGTGTGGCCTACCCTGCCAAGCCAGGCCAAAGAGGTTAAAGATCACTCTTTAACCAGCACCTGGCTGGCTTGCCTTTGGGTGAGGTGCCCAGCCTGGGCAACTCACTGTGGCCAGGTGCTCAGAACCACAGGGCGCAGAACTCATAGGGTAGGACAACAAAGGGTAGGGCACGCGGGACAAGGGCAGAATCCTGTAAGAAGGGATAGATGAGGGAACTTTCTGGAATGATATTACTGCTCTATTTCTTGGTAGGGATTTGGACTACACAGGTGTATGCACTTACCAAAATTCATCCAAAGGCACTTTTTTTTTTTTTTTGAGATGAAGTCTCGCTATTGTAGCCCAGGCTGGAGTGCAATGGTGTGATCTCAGCTCACTGCAACCTCTGGCTCCCAGGTTTCAAGTGATTCTCCTGCCTCAGCCTCCGGAGTAGCTGGGATTACAGGTGCCTGCCACCACGCCTGGCTAATTTTTGTATTTTTAGTAGAGATGGGGTTTCACCATGTTAACCAGGCTGGTCTCAAACTCCTGACCTCAGGCAATCTGCCTGCCTCAGCCTTCCAAAGTGCTGGGATTACAGGCATGAGCCACTGCGCCCGGCCAAAGGCACTCTTATTTGTGCATTTTACACACACATAACTCCTACTTAATAATATGCATGTGAAGGGTTTAAGTGAAATATACTGAGGTCTACAGCTTCCTTTGAAGTGCACCAAAAAATCAGGATGGGTTGACTGACAGATGAAAGGATGGTTAGAGGAGAGCTGTATGATCAAGCAAATATAGCAAAATGTTAACAGTGGGATCCAGATGGGTGTTCACTATACAACTCTTTCAACTTCTCAGAATGTTTGAAAAATTTTATAATAAAATGTCGATGTTTTAATAAAAAAAAGAAAGGGAGTGTGATCAGGCAGGTCTTGACTGGCATCTCCACACAATTTGCCCTCTTTCCAGTCAAAAACACAGGACCCGTCTACCCCAGGCCTGCCACAGAACACACGGCATCTTCTTGACCAGTGTAGCCCCCATCAGTGAATCAAGAGACTTTCCCGGACATATGAGTCACTCACCATTCCTGGTTTTCCAGATCAAGACCCCACACACCTCACCATGGTTTGTGACTCTGCCCACTGTTGGTCCATCTTTGTGCAATTACAACTCTGCATCACACCCTTCACTTTCATAGGGCCCCTTTGAGCATCTTTTGTACAATTGCCATTGACATCATTGTATCTCCACTGTGTGAAATACATCCCAGAGATAAAATCCCTGTTGGTTCCCTGGGGACAGGAGCCTCAGGTCTGGTTGCTGTTGCAGGCCCAGCACAGTGGCTGCCTAGCCAGATGCTCAGTAAGTGTTTACTGGCTAAACGCAAGGATGAGTGAACTGTAGAATTCAGTGCAAGAAAGAAGTGTTTATCTCCTGACGTTTGGGTAATCTTTCTTTTTAGCAAACAGAACTGAGTAGCACACAGCGTTTCCCTTTTGGTGCAATATAGCAACTACAACTGCTCCCGTAGCCTGAGCTCCCTCACTGGAAGTGGGAGGGGGTACCTGCTCCCTCCCTTACACGTCTCTGGATGTTTTGTCTCCCTGTGAGTAATGCTCCAGGGAATACATAATAAATAAGTGAATAGAAATCAAGTCCAACCTCCAGAGAGATTAAGTGACTTGTCCAAAGGCAAACAGCCATCTGCTGGCCAGCACAGCCAACACGGAGCCCGCCTTTCCTACCTGCACTTTTTTCTCCTGGACCACACTGCCTCTTGTGTTCAGATTTGAGGTGAAAACACAGCTTGGAAATGATGCAGCTGCCTCTGAGTGAGATACGCTAACCAAAAATCCTAACTGCAGGGCCCAAATCCTGTAGAAAATTTTCCTCTTGATCCTCGCCTGGGTATTTGGTGACTAATTCTGAGGACTCAGAGAAAACCCTCCATAGCACCAGGAGCTCTGAATTCTCCCTGAAGTTTCTCAAGTCCTCAAAGACTGAAGTGCTAAGAGCCAAAAGTGTTTCTTGGGATCAGTGACCCTCCAAGTCCAAAGCAAACTGACAGTGTCTGCCACTGCCTAGCTCAATTCTTTGTGTACTGCTTTCCAGCAGGGACTGAAAGAAGGGCCAGTCAAATCTAGGAAGTGACCTGGACAGCCGCCTAGTGGCCTAATTTACAGGGGGAGGAAATGAAGGTCAGGAGAGAGTATCATTTGTTTAAAGTTGCACAGCTTGTTTGGACAGACTAGGGCTGGAATCCAGGCCTCCTGGCTTCCAGCATCCCGGCAGGACTCTTCCCACTACCCCCTGCTGCGTCTTTAGAAAGCCACAGGGCACTTGTTCTGCATTAAGGCAAACCAGAAGGCAGTTGGAACAGGTTGACAGCCTGCAGCAAAGAAACCTCTGATGCAATTGGTGGTGAATGAATTTTAGTGGGGATGCTGCCAAACCTGACCCCCATTGACACAGGAGGCCCATGTGAAACAGCGGCTCTCCCACCAGTAACCCTGGCCCCTATGCTTTCCCAACACCCAGCAGGCTGGCCACGTTTCCTTCATTCATTTTGCATTGACCGAGCACCTAGCCAGGCCTGGCGAGTTGCAGCACCAGGCCTCACTAGTTTACCACCTGGAATTACTCAGAGAAAATGAGATTAATGGGCCCTTCCTAGGCTATCTCTTCAAGGATCAGAACTTCCAGTCGGTTTCAATCAACCCAGAACTCTGTAGATTGGAAAATAGCTTCCACAGCATCAGAAACTTCAAAACTCAATATGAGGTCCAGAAAAACCAACACCTGGAGAATGAGAGAACCCACATGTGGAGCAGGGGCATATTTGAGTCTGGTGTTGGCATGGGCTGTCATCCTAGCGAGTGGATAGAAGTCTTCTTTTTTTTTTAGAGACGAGGTCTCACTCTGCCACCCAGGTGGGAGTGCAGTTGTGTGATCACAGCTCACTGCAGCCTCAACCTCCTGAGCTCAAGTGATCCTCCTGCCTCAGCCTCCTGGGTAGCTAGGACTATAGGCACACACCCCCATGCCTGGCTAATTTTTAAATTTTTTGTAGAAACAGGGTCTCGCCCTGTTGCCCAGGCTGGTCTCAAACGCTTGGCCTGAAGCAATCCTCCTACCTCGGCCTCCCAGAGTGCTAGGATTACAGGCGTGGGTCACCATACCCAGTCAAATAGAAGTCTCATTGTTTTCCCTTTTGCGGCCTCTGAGGGATGCCAAGGTGCTGGAGAGTCTTGAGAGTGGCTGAGTCCATGTGGAAGTCATTATGTAACACTTGAACTTGTATGAGGCCCAGTGAATCCATTTTGAAGTCTCTGGTTTTAAGTTTGCACAACTAACTGAAGTCATCAGGGAATGTGATGCAGGGGAGACTGGAAACCAGGATGCTTCAGAAGGTCTCTGTGGTCAAAACTTTTGAAGGCTTCAGCTCGCTGGAAGGTTCAGACTCTACAAATCTCAGTTGCTGGCCTCAGGCCTAAGGCTTGAGAGCGGCTTGTTGGCTCGGCCTATGTCCTGTGGTTGCCCTTTGGTGGGAAGAAGTGGGCAGTCTCCACAGGGGCCTACAAGGACTGCCCTGGCTTCCATGGTGGTGATAGTGGTGGTGGGGCAGACTCCTGGATGCTCCACCAGGAGTCTTCCTGGAAGGAAACGGGTGCTCTTAGGAAGAGGAAATGGATACTAGGCTTCCCAAAACAAACGCTGTCCCCAGAACCCAGTGTAGATGTTGTTCTGAGTTATTTACTTATTTGGAGATAGAGTCTCACTCTGTCGCCCAGGCTGGAGTGCTGTGGCGCGGTCTCACTGCAACCTCTACCTCCCAGGTTCAAGCAATTCTCATGCCTCAACTTCCCGAATAGCTGGGACTACAGGTGCCCGCCACCAGGCCCAGCTAATTTTTTTTTGTTTTTTTTAATAGAGACAGGGTTTCACCGTGTTGCCCAGGGTAGCCTTGTACTCCTGAGCTCAGGCAATCCGCTCGCCTCGGCCTCCCAAAGTGCTAGGATTACAGGCATAAGCCACCACGCCTGGCCTGTTCTGAGTTATTTTTGTTAATGAATTTCATATGAACATATGCTTTGTTGGTCAATATCAATGATCTAATGTGTAAGGTTTTAAAAAGCAAGAGACAGTGCCACAGTGGTAGTTATTGTCACACGCCATGTGTTCATCTTTCTCACCGGAACTGCTATTTGGAGATGCTCTCAAGTTTGCACTTTGACCCACACAATCTTGCCAGATCTTTGCAAGGTTCTTAGGAGGCAGCTGTTGTTTTACCGAATATGGTGTTCCCAGGAGAAGGACCCTTTGCCTCAGGAAACCAACATCTTGGATGGCCTTGCAAGCAAACAGGAAGGCGGGGGAAGAAAAAGCTGTCCCAAGACATCAGAATTGAACCCAGGCTGCCTGCAGCTGGGAACAGCACGGCAGGGACAGACTCCCAGAATCATCTGTGTTTGGTGCCTCTGCAGAGGAGCTGAGACAAGATGTTGGCAGGGGCTTTGCCCTTCGGTTTCATTGTTGATGGTTTTAAACTGACAAAAGCAGTTGAAAAGGTTGCAAAAATAGTAAGGCTCTCATTGACCCCAAGATGCTATGACAGAGAATGATTGAAAGATTCACGTTAAGAATGTGACTCTTGAAAGTGCCTCCCAGAATTCAGACTGGCTTAGGAAAATAACTCGTGTGCTTCACCTCTGGGCTTGGAACCATCTCAGTCCAAATGGTAATGGTCTCAGAAAATTACCAGCCCTCGAAAATGAGTGTGGCGAATGGAAATGCTATTTCAGCCTTAAATGGAAAGAATTAAGTGCCAAAACCTTCCATCCAGGTTCCATGACTGACAACAGTTAAACTGTGTTAGAGGAAGGTAACGTCACCAGGGAAGGTTCCCTGAAGCTTCAGGACCCACAGAGCTCCCTTGAGAGACATGGTTCTGGGGTGCGGCAGCCCGCCGGCCAGGAGACAGGGTTAGAAGCTCAAGTGTCAAGGACACTTCTTCCAGGCTGGGTGTGGTGGTTCATGCTTATAATCCCAACACTTTGGGAGGCCAAGGCAGGAGAATTGCTTGAGGCCAGGAGTTCGAGACCAGCCTGGGCAACATAGTAAAACCCTGTTTCTACGACAAATTTTAAAAAGTTAACTGGGCATAGTGGCATGTGTCTGTAGTCCCAGCTAACTCGGGAGGCTGAGGCAGGAGGATTGCTTGAGCCTAGGAGGCAGAGGTTGCAGTAAGCCAAGATCATGCCGCTGCACTCCAGCCTGGGTAGCAGAATGAAACCCTGTCTCAAAAAATAAAGTAAAATAAAATTTTATGTGGGAACTTTTGAAGTTTGTCCCCAAAGCTCTTATCTAATAAGCCCCCCTCCCCGGCTTATTAGATAAGAGGGAGACTTGGCTCTGACTTTCCGAGTCTCTAGGCTGGGTGGCTTCCAGTAGACCAGCTATTCATACAGCTGACTTGACAAGGACACAACCCAGTGAGGTCAGGGTCCCCACCCACCCTGCTCTTGGTCAGAACAATGGGAAAGGCACCTTCTTCCACAGACATGCGCCAAGCCCTGACCTTGAGCCAGCCTGCCAGGCCTCCATGCTGTGCTCACCGACCACCAGGCACAGGCACTCAGGAGGAAAGGGAGTGGGATGGGGAAAGACAATCCTCGCCTCTGCCAGGAAGGCTCAAGGTCATGTGGAACAGGAGTTCCACCCCCTGGACTTCAGTCCTTCTTCACTAGCTGCGTTGCCTCCCTTGACTTCCCCCATTTCTTCATCTGTAAAATGGCTACCATGAGAATGCTCACAGGCTTATAAGAGCCGAACTGAGAAACCGTGTGAAATTGCTTTGCAAACTGATCCGTGCCATAAAAGCAGAAGGAACCACGGTCATTACTATGGTAGGTCATTACTATAGTAGGCACCCGAAGTCCTGTAATGGGTGTGACCCCACAGGCACTGCTAACTTGGGAGGGGTTCAGATACCCCTCCTGGGCACAGGCCTGATGGCATCCTGGGTCCTTCCTCAAGACAAGAATCTCTGGCAGGAAAGGGGACCTGTGGATGGCTCTGTCTTAACCTCAACACAAGCTTAACAGTAGCTGCTAATTATGGAGCATTAACTCTGTCCCCAGGCATGCTAAGAATTTTCTTCTCCCAATATCCATGTGGGGTAGGACCTGGAGCACAGAGGAAGTGGGCACAGAGAGGTGAAGTACTTTGTGCAAGGCCACACAGCTAGTGAGTGGCAGAGCCGGGACTCCCATCCAGGTTGCCTCATTCCTGAGTTAGTGCTCTTAGCTGGCATGCTGGACCACATCTTTGTTTCCCATTATGAACTCTGTCCTGAGACAGAGGGGAAAAGGTGAGTCAGCTGCTTAATGCTGCTGCCCCTGCTGGGCCCTGCTCCTCCTAGGAGAGGAGCCTGAGGCCAATGCAGGCAGGGCAGGGAATGGGAGTGCCATCCCAGAGCCCCAGGGAAGGAGCACAGCTGACTGCTCCTGAGCGCATCTCCGTCCTAATGACACCAAGACGAGTCTCCTTCCATACCCTTGGCCAGTTTAATGGCCCGTGGAAAGTCCTTTAAGGCTAGCTTAGCCAGCCTCCTGCCCCAGTCTAGACCCAGTGGCTCTTTCTCTGTTCTCTGGGGAGATGGAGAATCATTCCCTCCTACCCACAATAACCTTTCTTATACCAAAGTCACAGATCTACTTAAAGCACCTCATCTTTTTCTCATTAGTCTAGTGATGGTGGCTTCCCCCTACCAGTTTGATTTGCTGTACACAGTGGCTAAATTTCCTGTCGTCCCTCCAGGCTGATGACAGGGTTGGCCCATTGGGCAGCCTTTTTCTAGTGTGGAGAGTCAAATCACAGTGCTGAGAGCACAAGACCTTTTGTTAACCTTCCTCTACAAAGTGCTACACTTCCTTAATGAACTGTAATGAGAAATGCATCTGTGGTGACAAGAAAATTAGGTGGAAGATAATTGACTGAACCTATTAATCCCTCAATATGTGCCATGACCTATGCTGAGCACTCTGCACATATTACATTATGTCCTCCTTGCAACCTCCAAGCAGGTTTTTTTTTCCAACCCATTTTACAGATGAGGAAGCTGAGAGTGAACAGAAGGTAAGTATCTTGTCACTGATCAGATGGCCATATTGGTAGAGGGGCCAGGACCAAGCCCTGTTCTGTCCTGCCCCAAAGCCTGGGCCTTAAACCTCAGCACGCTGCCTCACTGCTGCAAAGAAACCCAGATGCGGTAGGAACTGCATTGGCTTCTTGCTGCACCCCTTAATGTCTAAACCAGATAGAAAAGGGATTTCTTTACAGAGGCTCTGTAGAGTTAAGCACTTTTGTTTCAGACAGAATACTTCTTAAAACAGGCTTGGCTTTTTTCTCCCCAAACACTTCAAAATACAATTGGACAAATTCAAGCCATTTGAGTCAGTTAAGCAGTAGTTTCTTCCCTGACTAGCATTTATTGAGCACTTATTGTATGTCAAGTACTTTGTATTCATTGTTTTTATTTAATTCTCATAACAACCTGAAATAGGTGATGTCATTGTGAGGTGGTACAGTATGGTGGTTAAGCATTTGGCCCTTAAAATCTGGCTACTGCTTGCCCTACTGCCTGCTAGCTGTGTGACCACAGGCAAGTCACTTAACCTCTCCGTGCCCAGTTTTCTTATTTGTAAAATGATGATGATCATAGGAGAGTTGTGAGGCTTAAGCGCATTAATATATGTAAAGTGCTGGAACCAATGCCTGGCTTTATAGTAAGCATTAGTTATTCCCAGGACCATGTTACTGATAAGGGAATAGGAAGATAAAGGAGCAGCTACACTGGGACAGTTGGCATTTTCACCCAATGAGGCCAATGCCAGAACCCATACTTTTTTTTTTTTTGAGACGGAGTCTTGCTCTGTCACCAGGCGGGAGTACAGTGGCATAATCTCGGCTCACTGCAACCTCTGCCTCCCAGGTTCAAGCAATTTTCCTGCCTCAGCCTCCTGAGTAGTTGGGACTAGAGGTGTGCACCACCATGCCCAGCTAATTTTTGTATTTTTAGTAGAGACGGGTTTCACCACGTTGGCCAGGATGGTCTTGAACTCCTGACCTTGTGATCCACCCGCCTTGGCCTCCCATCTCGCTCTGTCACCCAGGCTGGAGTGCAATGGTGCGATCTCGGCTCACTGCAACCTCCACCCCCTGGGTTCAAGCCATTCTGTTGCCTCAGCCTCCCAAGTAGCTGGGATTACAGGTGCGTGCCACTGCGCCTGGCTAAGTTTTGTATTTTTAGTAGAGATGGGGTTTCACCATGTTGGTCAGGCTGGTCTTGAACTCCTGACCTCAAATGATCCATCTGCTTTGGCCTCCCAAAGTGCTGGGTTACAGGCATGAGCCACCGCGCCCAGCCCCCTTTTACCTTTTTAAAAAGCCACTTTACTGAGGTACGATTTACATACCAAAAAAATTCACTAGTTCTAACTGCAATTCAAGGACTTGTACTAAATTTACACTTGTGCAACTTACACCATAATCAAGTTTGGAACGTTTCTGTTATCCCAAAAGGATCCCGCATGCCCACATACAGTCACTTCCCCTTCCCACCCCCAGCCCTAGGGAACCACTAATTTACTCTCTGTCTCCATGGATTTGCTTTTTAGGGGAGACATTTTATATCAATGGAACCTACAATATGCAGTCTTTTGTGACTAGCTTCTTTCACGTTACCTGATTTTTTAAATATTTATTTACTTTTAAAGAGGGGAGTCTCATCATGTTGCCCAGACTGGATTTGAACTCCTAGGCTCAAGGGATCCTCCTGCCTCAGCTTCCCAAGGAGCGGGGATTTCAGGCACAGGACACCGCGCTGGCTCACATGATATTTTTGAGGTTCACCCATGTTGTAGTTTATATTAGTAGTTTGTTCATTTTTATTGATGAATAATATTCCATGGAATGGATATGCCTCATATTTTTTCATTCACCAGATGATAGACATTTGGATTGTTTCCACCTTTTGATCTTTATGAATACCTTTTAAAATTTTAATAATCTATTACGAAAAAATTTAAACATACAATGAACCCCCACGGGCCCATCAACCACCTCAACATTTAACATTGGCCGGGTGCCATGGCTCACGCCTGTAATCCTAGCACTTAGGGAGGCTGAGGCGGGTGGATTGCTTGAGCTCAGGAGTTCGAGACCAGCCTGGGCAACATGGGGAAACCCTGTCTCTACCAAAAATACAAAAGATTAGCTGGGTGTGGTGGCGCATGCCTATAGTACCAGCTACTTGAGAGGCTGAGACGGGAGGATCGCTTGAGCCAGGGTGGTTGAGCCTGCAGTGAGCTGAGATTGCGCCCCTGCACTTCAGCCTGAGGGACAAAGTGAGACTCTGTCTCAAAAAAAAAAAAAAAAAAAATTAGGCTGGGCACAGTGGCTCACACCTGTAATCCTAGCATTTTGGGAGGCCGAGGTGGGCAGATCACTTGAGGTCAGGAGTTCAAGACCAGCCTGGCCAACATAGCGAAACTCTGTCTCTACTAAAAATACAAAACTTAGCCAGGCATGGTGGCACGTGCCTGCAGTCCCAGCTACATGAGAGACTGAGGCAGAAGAATTGCTTGAACCCAGGGGGCAGAGGTTACAGTGAGCTGAGATCGCACTACTGTACTCCAGCCTGGGCGACAGAGCGAGACTCCATCTCAAAAAAAATTAAAAAATTAACATTAACATTTTGCCATTGTTCTTTCATCGAAACCACTCACAATATATTTTTTTTTCTGGAGTACTTAATTTCTCATAGGTAATATATTAATCAGGTTCTAAGACCAAGGAGTATAAGAAGATATTTCTTTCACTCTGGAAAGTCCTATCCCCCATCTGCTCAGTTCTCAGTTCCCTCCAACCACCGTTTTGTTCATGGACCCTTCCAGAATTTCTTTATGCATATCGTTATCAGTCCATTCTTGGATTGCTGTAAAGAAATACCTGACATTAGGTAATATATAAAGAAAAGAGGTTTCACTGACTCTCGGTTCTGCAGGCTGTACAGGAAGCATAAAAGCTTCTGCTTCTGGAGAGGCCTCAGGAAACTTCCAATCATGGGAGAAGGTAAAGGGGGTGTGAGCCACTTCACATGGCCAGTGTAGGAGGAAGAGAGGAGGAGGAGGAGGTGCTAAATACTTAAACAACCAGATCTCATGAGAACTCACTATTATGAGAACAGCACCAAGGGGGATGGTGTTAAACTATTCATAAGAAATCTCCCCCATGGTCCAATCACCTCCCTCCAGGCCCCATCTCCAACACTGGGGATTACAATTCAACATGAGATTTGGGTGGGAACGCAGAGCCAAACCACATCACATATGCAAGAAAATATAAATATATAGTCTTGCTCAGGTGTGTTGGCTCATGCCTGTAATCCCAGCACTTTGGGAAGCCGAGGTGGGCAGATCACTTAAGTTCAGGAGTTCAAGACCAGCCTGGGCAACATGGCAAAACCCCATCTCTACAAAAATATAAAAATTAGCCTGGCATGGTGGCACACACCTGTAGTCCCAGCTACTCAGGAGGCTGAGGTGAGAGGATTGCTTGGACCTGGGAGGCAGAGGTTGCAGTGAGCCGAGATCACACCACTGCACTCCAGCCTGTATGACAGAGCCAGACCCTGTCTCAACACAAAATAAAACTAGATAGATGGACAGATAGATGATAGATAGATAGATAGATAGATAGATAGATAGATAGATAGACAGATAGATGATAGAGATAGACAGACAGATAGAGCTAGATAGATAGATAGATAGATAGATAGATAGATAGATAGATGCCTTTTCTCACCTTTTACACAAAAGGTAGCATATTACATATACTGTTTTGTACCTTGATTTCTTTTTCACTTAATAGTATAGCTTAGAAATCTTTCCATATCAGAAGACAGCTTCCTCATTCTTTTATTTACATTTTTACAGCTACATATTATTTCGTTGTGTAGCTATACCATAAGTTATTCAATCAGCCACCTACTGATGGACATTTGGATTATTTCAGTCTTTTACTCTTAACAGGCAATGCTGTGGTTCATTGCCTTGTACATATGTCATTCATCATGCAAAATATCTATAGGATATATTTCCTAAAAAGGAATTGCTGGGTGAGAGAGTATGTCCATTTGTAGCATTTGTAATTTTTACTGATTTGCCCTCTTTGGCGGTCGTATCGATTGACACTCCCAGCAGACGTATACACTCGCAAGTTCTTGATTTCCTATTGCCTCACCAATAGAGTGAGTTATCAGACCTTTTAACTGTTACATAATAGTTCTGTTTTTTAGCTCTCGCCTCATTTTCTTTCTTTCTTTTACTCTTTTTGCTTTAGTTTATACATTTTTATGTTAAGAATTTTTGAATGGGCTATTCTTATACACCTTGACTCATGTTTTAAGGTTTTTAAAAATAACAGCTTTAATGAGGCATGATTCACATACTATACAATTCACCCATTAAAGTGTACCAGTCCATGGTTTTTAGTACTTAGCTCACTTTTAATGCTCATCCTCAATCTTTAAGAGTATTTTTTTCTAATTGCATTAGTATTATGTATTTGGAAAAGCCAAAAAAAAAAACAAACTACAAAGAAAAACATAACACTGTCACTTAGAGATATCCAGTTAACATTTTTTTAAAAACAAAAATAATACCATATTGTAGATCACATGCTGAGGTTTCTTTTATCATTCTCAGTTCTTCTAAGTCTCTCAATTATGTGTTCAGCCTCTAGGTCTTCTAGTGACATAATCGTCGGTGATGATAACAATAGCAATAATAACTATAATACTACCGACTTACTGAGAGCTTGTTATGTGCCAGCATTGTGTCTTACATACTTTATGTGCTCGATCTCAATTAATCCTTGAAACAGTTTGTTGGTCGGTACTGTACTCACCCCTATTTTACAGCTACAAAAACTGAGGCTCAGAGAGGTTAAGTAATTTGCCTCATGTTAAACAGGTAGCAACTGAAAAAACTAAGGTTTGAACACTCATCTATGCAACTTCAAAATCTCTAGTCACTCAGCTACAAGTTCAGACTAGAGACATTCAGGACTGGTTAAAGAAAGCAGCCCCTCTCTCAGGAAGAGTCAGGAGGGCAGAGGAGTTACAGCCTCTCAACAGCAACGTTGGGGCCTGCCAATGCCAGTTCCTGATGCCCCCCTCTTTCTCAGGGCTGGTGAGTGCCCAGCGCCCTTCACCTGCATTGGCAGGATTCTGTTCTAGCTGTGTGTGGCCCTCTCTCTGCCCCTGGAGGGCCCTCCCTCCTTCAGCTTGTAGATAGGGAGTGGAGTGGGTAAGGAGGTGTTGCTGGAGAAGTGGCCTATATCACAAGAAGGTGTGGGAACCCCTCTGGCGGGAGTCATCTCATAGCTCTTCCAACCTGTTGGTAGGGAATGATAGAACAATTCCAAATCTCTGCACTTCACAATCAGCCTCCCGTTCCCTGTCGCCACTTCCCACGTCCTCCACCATGTTCCATCCTCACAGACACTTTGGGGGCAACTTCCCCTGCAGTTGCCCAAGCCAAGTAGTCAGCAGGAGCTTCATGGCTGTTAGCTGGAGCGGAAGGCTGGCTGCCTGGTTGCCACAGCAACAGCTGTTGTAAGTAAGTGGTCCTTGTGACAGAAGACAATTTAATAAGCCAGATCTGGGGGCCTAGTGGGAAGGTTGCTAGTGGCTTTACTGGGTATCTTCTGTGGTGCTGGAGCTGTAGGCAGGCAGGTGTGACTGAGGAGAGTTGGAGTCGGGGGAGGCCAGGCATCTGCCTTTACCCAAGGGCTGGAGGCTTTTGTCCTGCAGAGGTAGGCCCAGCCAAGAGGGAGCTGCCTCCTGTGTCTTCAGAGATCCCGACACTCAACTCTGGACATCACCCAAGGCCGAGGCCTTGCACTTCTGCTCCCAGCTAGAATGAACTAGCTTGTATCAGAGCAGTTCTTCTGCTGAGAACAACTGGACAATTTGGATGAAGCATAAGAAACATCTGTGTGCAGTTGAGACTGAGGCAGACAGGACAGGTGTCCATATCTAGGGCCCGATTTCAGCACGTGCAGTAGCCCTGGGAAAATGGCATGCTGTTTCTGCATCTCTGTGCTCCTAGTAAAACAGCAAAACTCCTGGAAAGAGTTGCCTATCCTTGCTGTGCTGTTTCTCTCCTTTCATTCTTTCTTGAATCCACTCCAGTGAGGTTTTTGTCCCTACTGTTCCTCCAGAATTGTTTGTCAAGGCTGTTCTCACTTCATTTGCTCCCTAAGGGATCTCGCCTCAAGTCTCAGGTTCCTAGGAAGCTGACTCGGAGACGGAGGTTTGCATGCAGCAAGTTTATCTGGCAGTACTTTGGAATGAATACTCGCAAGGCACACAGGATGGTGCAAAGGGAGATGCTCCACTGTGATGGTGTTGCAGCAAAGACTGTGGCTGACCTCCGGGGGTGCTCCAGAGCTGGGGCAGCCTCATCCGTAAGGTGGGGTGGGGAGTGCTGAGCAGTGTGCTGTGGAGGCATTACCTTGAGTCTTCCTAATGTCCTTAAGGAAGAGGTTCTGTCATTGTCCCCATTTTGCAGGTGCAGAGGTGGAGGCTGAGTGAATTATACATCTTGCTCACTGTGGGGAGCTGAGACTCAAATCAGGTCTTCCTGCCTCCCAGAGCCCTAGCCACGCTTCTGCTTCATAAAGCCTCCAAGAAGCGTATTGAGGAAACTCCTGGGCCAGGTCTCTGGGAGGCCTGTGACTGTCACTCCCCTGGGCTGGCTGCTGGGAACCCCATCTTCACCATGGAACTTTCAGGCTACAGTGGAGGCTTCCCACAGATTCTGTCCTTATCTCCTTCTAAGACACCAAGGTGTCCGTGTTACAGGGTCTGATGGAGCAGCTCTGAGATGTTACAAGAGTTCGAGCAGCCTCAGAAGCAGGATGAAAGGATGAAGCCCCAGAGAGCCAGGCCTCTCTTCCCCAGCCCATCAGCGGCTGCTTTTAGCACGTGTGTGCACATTTTAGGAAGGGATGTTTCCTAGGGTGCTGCCTCCTTTCCCCACAAATGGCTCTGAAACTTGAAAAAACAAAAGTCAATTCCAAAATAAGCGAATCTCTAACCACTGGGTGAACCCCTCTGTGTCCCCTTGAAGAACTTGTATTTAAAGTGTGTGTGTGCTACACCCGCACACACACATGTGCTCTGATACACACAGACACATCCCTGTCCACAGCAAAGCTTGTGCCTGTGTATACACATAAGCACACTCACATATTCACAAATATGCAGACCCAGAAATGGAAACACTGAGCAGCATCAGCACTGGGGTGATGCCACTCCTGCCCTTGCTGTCACTGGGGCTGTAGCTAGTGATGCTTCTGCTGCTGCCACCTCTAAGGCCACCTCTAAGAGCCGTTACCCTCTAGGGAGCCCAGGCAGCATTCTCTGATCTCAGAAAACCACGCTTGCTTTTGCCTATTAGGGTCTGGGGTGATGTTTGAAGCCTGCAGGAATGGTTTTAAATATTGATTTGAGTCATCTGCAGAATCTTCCATTTCACTTGGGGTGTGCCCATTTAACCTCTGGAGAGCTACTGCCAAATCACCTGCCCTACCTGCAGGCCCTCCTCCTAGGTCCTAGCAGTCCCCTGTGCAATGACAGTTGGTAGAGGTCTTGGAGTTTGGTTCTTGGTACAGCTTCTTGAGAGATCTTTCAAAGCAAGAGGACATCCAACTCAGAATTAAAGCAAAACTCCTGTTCCTACCCCCACACTCCCCTCCCCGCCCCATCCCAAAGGCATGGGACATAGGAAGTCAGAGGTACCAACTTGGGATTTACCTTCTGGTTCTTCCTGTCCGTGGAGCCCTCCCAAATTGAATGCTTTTCAGCGGTACTCAGAGTACAAGAAATTCTTCCTCTGCATCATATTCTCTCTCACACACTTTAAAGTGCTTGCTGTGAGGCAGCCCCCTGGGAGTGCTGAGCTAATTCTATCCCTGGCTTTGTTCCTTTTTTCAAAATCCATGTTTAACCAGTTTGGCCCAAAAGGAACTTGGGGATTTCAGGCTCCAGGGAGTGCCAAAGGCTTGGGATTGCACCAGGGATTCTGAATCTGGACTCCAAGAATGGACCTCAGGAGTTTGTGAGCCTCTGAAAGCCCCTGCAGCTGCGTGAGAGTTTATGTGTGCTTTTTTCCTGAGGAAAGAGTCCATAGCTTTTAACAGGGTCTCAGCAGGTGTGCGATCACTCTTCCCTACATCACCCAGAAAAGGTTAAGAACCATTGCCTCAGGGACAGAGTATGTAGCTTTATTTTTTTAAATTATTATTATTTGAGACGGAGTCTCTCTGTGTTGCCCAGGCTGGACTGCAGTGGTGTGATCTCTGCTCACTGCACCCTCCACCTCCTGGGTTCAAGTGATTCTCCTGCCTCAAACTCCCTAATAGCTGGGATTACAGGTGCATGCCACCGCACCTGGCTAATTTTTGTATTTTCAGTAGAGACAGGCTTTCACCATGTTGGCCAGGCTGATCTCAGAGACTCGCCTGCCTCAGCCTCCCAAAGTGCTGGGATTACAGGTGTGAACTACTGCACCCAGCCCAAAGTATGTGGCTTTATAAACAGGCAGAGTTAAGTAACTGCATTCTAGAATCAAGAATCTAGGGAAGGGCCGGGCGTGGTGGCTCACTACTGTAATCCCAGCACTTTGGGAGGCCAAGGCAGGCAGATGATTTGAGCTCAGGAGTTTGAGACCAGCCTGGGCAACATGGTGAAACCTGCTCTCTCCAAAAAGTACAAAAAATTAGCTGGGCATGGTGGTGTGCACCTGTAGTACCAGCTACTCGGGAGGCTGAGGCAGGAGAATCGCTTGAACCCAGGAGGCGGGGTTGCAGTGAGCCGAGATGGCGCCAGCTTGGGTGACAGTGAGACCTCATCTAAAACAAACAAACACACACACAGAAAACAGAATCTCAAGAGGGATTCTTAACAAGAAGTTGAGGTGGGGGTGCTGCATGCAAAGTTTTGTGTGACTCTGCCTTCTGAGAATAGGATACAGATTTCATTAGATCCCCAGAGAGTTCATAACTCCCTGATTTAATAATCACAGATACAGAGAATTAATGATGTTAAAGTATTAGTGTCATCTGAGAAGGTAGATATTTTTAATAGTGATTCTTTTTCAAAATGTAAATGCATTTATTCATTGAAGAAAACTTGAAAAAAATCTTCTGGAAATCTTCCAAAAATCACCTATAATCCCAGCACCCAGAAATAATAACTGTTTTTTTAAAAAAAGATTTCTCCAGTGTGTTTGATGTCTGTCTGTCTCTCTCATTCTCTCTTTCTCTGTGTGTGTATGGGCATGTACACACAAACCTAGAATCATACTGATTTTAACATGATTTTTTTATTTATGTAATATCTATTTTATGAGCACTGTCTCCTGTTGTTAGTTTTCTAAAACAGTGTTTTTCAAACTTTGTTTAGTAATGGAACCCTTATTTTTAAACCGAATCTTGCACAGAAGTCTAAAATATAAAAGAGATAAAAGGTGAGATGCTCTAGTTAAAGCACAGGAAGAGAAGAAACACAATTTGAAAGCTACTGCACTAAAAATATGAATTTTAATGGCTATATTGTATTCCATCATATGGACATATAGGGTGACCAGATTTAGCAAGTAAAAATACAAGACATCCAGATAAATTAGGGTTTCAGATAAAAATGAATAAATTTTTAGTATAACTATATCCCAATTTGAATTTTAGATAAACAAATACTATAAAAAAGAATACATTTTTAGAATAACTGTGTCTTACAGCAATATTTGAGACATACTTATACCAAAAAAATTATTTGTTGCTTATCTGAAATTTTAATTTAACTGGGTATCCTGTATTTTACATGGCAACCTTGTGATAATGCATAATTTAACCACTCTCCCATTATTGGACATTTAGATTATTTCCAATATCTTACTAAGAAATATTAAGCATGTATCTTTGTACCTACATCTTCATTACTTATTATTTTATAACACCCTAGAATCAAAATTGCTAGACCAGAGGTTGTGAACATTTTAAAGGCTTTTGATGCATTTGCCAAGTTGTTTTCTACAAAGAAATGTACCTTCCACAGCTGTATGTGAGGGCGCCCTGACCCATTGTTACTGGTTTACATTTGCTCGTCATTCTGCCTCAGCAAGGTCCTGAGCCTCCAGGTGGGATCCAAGATAGCTAAAATGGATGGGGCCTGAAGGTGCTAAAGAACCCAAAGGGAGGGGCTGGTTAGCCCAATAGCATCTGCTGCTTGGGGTCAGGGATCAGGGCTGATAAGAAATAGGGTAGAGATGGCAGAGACTTCACCCAGGGAAAGTCAGCTCCAATCATGTGTTGCAGAGACCATCCTTTCTCCATTAAAGTAGCAGTAAGCTGTACACTAGGCCCATGTAATGCGTTATATTTAGTAAGCAGCCTTACTTACCATAAAGACAGCCATTCCAAGAAGGGGAGAGGCTACAGAGGAAAAAGTCTGAAAAGATTTTTTCCCACTTAAAAAATAACAATTACATAAACATAGTAACAACCGAAAGGATGGAAAATCACCCATAATCTTCCCATCCTAACAAATCACAGTTTTTAGTTTTCAGTATACCCTTCCTGTCAAGGTCCGTAATTTTTACACAACTGCAATCACAAAGTGTATACAATTTTATCCTGCCCTTTCCTCCCTTTATTGTGCAAGCATTTTTCTGTACTGCTACAGAGCTTTCATAGCTAATATTATTATTGTTATTTTTTCTTGATTTCAGAGGTATAATTATTCAGCAAGATAAATGAGAACATCTAGATAAACAAAAATGGGATCAAAATGCACATATTAATTTGTAGCTCATTTTTTCCCATTTAACTGTGTCTAGTGAACATCTTTCCATGTTAAAAAATGTTGATTTCTGCGTCATTTTTATAATTGCAATGTGTTCTATTTAAGGAGTCTTCCATCACTTTTTTTCCGGGCTCTTTTTGGGGGTGGGGGTGAGGGATCAGCTCACGTTTAATGATGACACTTTAAAATTGTACAAGTATTTTCACAGTTGCCCACTACAAATTTAGCCTCTTAAAATGACAGGAAAACACCAACCAATCGCAGGTTAAATAAGTTTACCCCTTCAGTTCTGATTTGCAATATCCAATATTCTTTTGAAATATGAAACAGACTGGTAAAGGCCAACAGTAAATTTCTGCCCTCTTGACAGAGTTGGAGAGTTCAGTCCAGGTTCTATTATGGTTTAATTTTATAAGTGAAGAGATGGAGATTCAGAAAATTTAAATAACTTCTAATAGATCACATGTCAATGAGTGAGAAAATGTAGGGCTTTTAATTCCATATGTGGTTTTTTCTTTTATATTATTGCAGTAAGAACACATAACATGAGACCTACCTTCTTAGCAAATTTTGAAGTGTAAAATCCATTATGATTGACTATAGGTACGATGTTGTACAGCAGACTCTAGAGCTCATTCTTTTTGCTTGGCTGAAACTTCACACCTGTTGATTAGTAATTCCCCATTTCCTTTACACCTCCCCCAATAGCCCCTGGCAACCATGAATCTGACATTTTGATGTCTATGAATTTGACATCATCATATTTTAGATACTTTAAATAAGTGGAATCATGCAGTATTTGTCTTTCTGGGACTGGCTTATTTCACTTGGCATAATGTCCCCAAGGTTCATCTGTGTTGTTGCAAATGGCAGGATTTCCTTCTTTCTCAAGGCTGAATAGTTTCATTGTATGCATCTACCACATTTTCTTTATCCGTTCATCTGTCATGGACATTTGGGTTGTTCCCACATCTTGGCTATTGTGAATAATGCTGCATTGAACAAAGGAGTGCTAATATCCCTTCAAAGTCTTGATTTCAATTCTTTTGGATAAATACCCAGAGTGGGCTTGCTGGATGTTATGGAAGTTCTATTGTTAATTTTTTTAAGAGCTTCCATACTGTTTTCTGTAGCAGCTGCGCCATTTCACATTCCCACTGAAAGCGTGCAGGAGTTCCAATTTCTCCACATCCTCACCAACACTTGTCTTTTTTTTTTTTTTATAATAACCATCCGACAAGTATCTTTTTTTTTTTTTTTTTGAGAGAGAGTCTCACTCTATTGCCCAGGCTGGGGTAGTGTGATCTCGGCTCACTGAAATCTCTGCCTCCCCAGTTCAAGTGATTCTCCTGCCTCAGCCTCCCAAGTAGCTGCGATTACAGACATGTGCCACCATACCTGGCTAATTTTGTATTTTGTGTAGAGACAGGGTTTCATTGTGTTGGCCAGGCTGGTCTCGAACTCCTGACCTCAGGTGATCCACCTGCCTTGGCCTACCAAAGTGCTGGGATTATAGGTGTGAGCCACTGCGCCTAGCCCTGACAAGTATTTTATTGTGGTTTTGATATGCATTTCCTGATGATTAGTGATATTGAGCATTTTTTCATATACCTGTTGGCTGTTTGTATATATTCTTTGGAGAAATGTCTATTCAAGTTCTGAGCCCAATTTTTAAATCAGGTTACTAGTTTTTTGTTTTTGTTTTTTTTAACTGTTGAGTTGTAGGAGTTCCTTAGAATTTTTGGAAATTAACCTCTTATAAGAAATATGACTTGCAAATATTTTCTCTCAGTCTTTTCACTCTGTTGATTGTGTCCGTTGCTGTGCAGAAGCTTTTTTAGTTAGATTTAATCCGGCTTTGTTTATTTTTGTTTTTGTTGCTTGTGTTTTTGATGTCATGTCCACGAAATCATTGCAAGACCAATGGCATGAGGATTTTCCCCTATGTTTTCTTCTAGGAGTTTTGCAATTTCCAGTCTTATATTTGTCTTTAATCATTTTGAGTTGATTTTGGCGTATAGCATAAGATAGGGGCCCAGTTCCATTCTTTTGCATGTGGATATCATGTTTTCCCAGCACTATTTGTAGAAGAGACTATCCTTTCATCATTGCGTATTCTTGGCACCCTTGTCGAACATCAGTTGACCATATATGGATGGGTTTATTGGGGTATCTATTCTGTTCCAGTGGTCTCTTTGTGTCTATGCCAATTCCATACTGTTGTTTGATGACTGTAGCTTTGTAATATATTTTGAAATCAGAAAGTGTGATGCCTCCAGCTTTGTTTTTCCTTTTCAAAATTAATTTGGCTGTTTGTTGTTATATAATAACTTACTGAGCCAATTTCCTACAGTTGGAACTAGGGTTTTTTTCCCACAATCTTTTGCTGTTATAAGTGAAACCAAATTTTAATCATTTCCTTGGGAAAGACCCCTAAAATTGAATCACATGTACACTTTTTTTTACTTTTGATCATACTGTTAAATTTATCTCTAAAAGATTTATACCAGTTTATACTCCCACTAATAATGTATTAAAGAGTACCTAGTTCCCCACAGCCTATATCAAATATTGTAAATCGTTGCTAAATATTCTATTCAGTTGAGAGAACATAATTTATTTACTCTTCTTCCTGCTGTTAACATTTAGATTATTTTCAAATTTTCATTCTTACAAAACCATCATGAACATCTTTCTGCCTAATATTTGTCTATAAGTTGAATCATGATTAAAATAGGAATCCTGGGTGAGAGGGCATATTTACCCTTGTCACTTATACTTTCCAAAGGTTAAACTGAAATCTTCTGGGTAGATGGGAGTTTTGGGGCACCCTGCCATGTCTAGGGGAAGGTAATGGACAGAATGAAATAGAAGAGGCCATGTGCCAAAGGATAAAACACTAGAAACGTACTGCCAGACTGTTTTCCAAAAGGGTACTAATTTAATAACCATTCCGGTGGCTTAAAAACAATTTAATGCAGTATTCAAAGATATTAGGTAAGGAAGAAAAGCACTATCCACCATTAACCTGCAATAATGTCATTCCTCACAGAGGACCCTCAACCTCAATAAAACACACATCTCTGTCCCTCCCGGATCCAAAGCTAGCATGCGCATCTGCCTAGCTCATGCACTTGGCGGGAACTACCAGGGGAACTCACAGGGTAGCTCATCTCCTGGGGCTCCTCTGTTCTAGAATCCTTTGTATTTTTATCTCCTGTCCAAAGCTCGAGATCCCCAAGGGAGCAAGTCCCATTTTAGTTGACACCTAATCAAAGCTGCTGGTACTCCTTCAGCTCCTGTGGAGCGTAGGTCTCTGGGGCGCAATGAACACACTTTTTCACGTGACAAACGTACCTCGAGCAGCTACTGTGTGCCAAGCAAAGCGACAGATCACAAAGAAGCTCTCAGCTCTTCAGCAGCCTTGTCCAGAGACCTAGTCCTCACTGTTTCAGCATTTGCTCCATGATCTGCAATAAATATGTATTGAACAATGATAGGATGAGTGGATATTGTTCCGGCTCATTTGATATTTGAGGTGGAAGAAGACTCAGAGATCATCTTGCTGAACCCCCTCCTTTTATACAGTCATTTAGTGATGGCCTCCCATGACCCGATGTGCTTGACACCCCAAGGCAGTACCATTACCTCCTTTCCGCAGCTACGGAAACTGCTTCACTCAGAGGTTAACTTGACTGCCGCTATGGAGTGGCTGTGGTCTAGCTGGAGGAACTTGACTGACATCCCTTTTCAGCTCTCCTTGCCCTGCCTGCCCACCTCAACTAAGTTACTAAGTTAAGCACTCACATCAGGAACTTTAGAAAATATGTTTTTTAATGGTCAAGACGGAAAAGGAAATGGCACCAATTGCCCATGTGCCTAAGTACCTAAGTACCAGCCTCCTGGGAGTGTTCTGTGGTTGATGTCTGCAGTACAGGTGAGGAAAGGCTTGGCTTCTCGGCCCCCACCCCCAGTCCCACCCTGTTTTCAACTGTTAGGCTTGTGCTTTGGGGAGAAATCAGGCAAAGTCAAGTTGGGTTGCCAACCATCACACGAATGATGAATTCACCTGCAAAAGCACCTCCCACCCCGACTCTGCAATTCAGCCTCCACATCTTGCTCCTCTCCCTCCTCCACTTTCCTCTCCTTCCTGTCCATCAGGACTAAGCTACTCCGGACGGTACCTCGGCCCTCAGATGTTACAGCTGAGGAAGGACTTACTTTTCATCAATGTATTTATCCCTGAGTTTCACTCTGAGGATGATGATGATAATGATGACAGTAATGAGCTCAATCCTTTTATCTTAGGTAGAGAATTAAGGTTCACCTGTTTCTTAAAAATTTTTATTATAAAAAATAAATCCTTATTTATATAAAAAAACCTGACATGTATGAAGGAAAAGGTAAAAGTCTTCAGTTTTCTATCTCACCCCCATGCCATTTTCCAGAGGTGACCCCTGTAGAGCGGTTTCCTGTGTATTCTTTCAGGTATACCTATGCATTTACACATGCATATGTTTATAAACTATTTATATAAAATGAATCACACTGTATATATTTATTTCTTCTAACATTCCTTTAGAATTCTAGTATAAGGATAAAGTATACTTTAATTAATCAGTTGTCTACTGATAGAGATTTATTTCCACCATTTTTATTAAAAATAATGCAGTAATTAATATATTTGTACATTTCACATATTTACATGAGTTTAATTGTAGGGCTAATGCCTAGAAATATAAGGTGACCATATAATCT